>NC_000005.10:170609808-170912839 GCF_000001405.40 Homo sapiens | reverse complement strand
TGCATACCCTTCAGAACTCAGAACATTTTGGGGTACTATCTGTTTGCAAATTTCCTTCTTTCTCCATCCTCTCTTTCTAGAACTCCTAACCGTCACACCTCCTTAATTTCATCTTCTAGTTTTCTTGGTTTTTTTTTCCTCCTATCAAACATCTCCTTGCTTTTTTGTTCTACATTCTAGGAGATTGGGTTAACTTTGTCTTACAACTTTTCCACTGGATGTTTTATTTTGACAACTGTCCTGTAAATTTGGAACATTCTCTGAACAATATCCTGTCCTTGTTTCAGGGATGCATTATCTCAACATCTCTCTGGGCATATTCTTTATATCTTTCTGAAGTTTATTTCTACTTTCACCTTGTCTCTGTTGCTATTAACTACCCTCCATTTTAAAATTAAACTTTCTGAGATAATTGTAGATTCACATGCAGTTGCAAAAAATAATACAGAAAGACCCCGTGAACTCCTACCCATTTTCCTACAATGGTAATTTCTTGCAAAACTACAGTATAATATCTCAACGAGGAAACTCACATTGATAAAATCCACAATCTTATTCAGATTTCCCAGTTTTACATGTACTCATGTGTGTGTAGATGTGTGTTTTCAGTCTGTGAAATTTTTTATTACATGTATTGGTTCATGTTTCCATCACCACAGTCAAGATACAGAACACAAAGTCCCCCTTTGTTGTTGTAGTCTCTGATCTCCATATTAGAAGTTTTTCACAAAATTAATACTGTTCCTCTATTATATCTGGTATCCATGAATATGAGGCCTCTCCAATTTTATTTCTTGAGGAAAAAAACTCTGGTCTTGGAAAGTAAAGAAGTAGCACAGGTAGAGAAAAGGGAGGAAAAGGCAGTCACCTAGCTGCACAGGTGGTAGAGAAGATCCTGGAGAGTTTAACTGTTCAGAGTACAGACTTTTTATCAAACCCCGTCAGCCCCATTTCCCAATTCTGAGTTCAGAGGTACCTTAGGTGCCACCATTTTTCTGGAACATGGGAGAACAAATTAGCTTCCTTTTTCTTGGTATCCCTTTCTATAAGCAAGTTGCAACTCTCCTCTTCTAGGTCACTTAATCTAATTCATTCTCTTTATAACCCTGAAAGATATGTTGACATCTCTTGCCAACTCTTCATATTAAACTTTTTTCTTTCTCATGATGACCCTTCATACTGAACTTTTTTCTTACTTGATCTCCAAGCTGTTGAAATCTGCACTGTGCAAAGATCATTTGTAGAATCACCTATTGAACTGCCAATGAAGTCAAAGTTAAGGCAGTTAAGGACCAGTTTCAAGACCTTCATTACCAGATTTTGCTAACACTGATCCTGAAGATTTAAAGGTTTGACCAGCACCTGAAAATGATCATAAACAGAGTGGGATCCTGTCCCACTCTGTTTATCTGAAAGTCTGAAAGTTTCAAATCATAGCTCTTGACTTTCCTCCCAAATCTGCTCTCCATTTAGCTCTAGTGCAGTCCTTGTTTTTTCTTTTTTCCTAAATCAAAATATAGAAGTTACTATAATATGAATTACAGAAAACATTTCAATATTAGCTATCAGCAGCTACTTCAGGTTACAAATCCATTTGAGCTATTTTTTTAATTCCTGGCAAAAAGATAACTATACATACAGAAACTATATTGCTTAATACTGTGCCTTTATGTTGATGACCCTTCATACCAAAGTTTTTTCTTACTTGTTCTCCAAGTTGTTGGAATCTGCACCGTGCAAAGATCATCTGCAGATTCATCTGCTGAACTGCCAATGAAGTCAAAGTTAAGGCAGTTAAGGACCAGTTTCAAGACCTGCATTACCAGATTTTGCTGACATTGATCCTGAAGATTTAAAGGTTTGGCAAACACCTGAAAAAAGTACAAAATCAAAGAAAACACTGCGAAATACATCAATAAATTTACACTTCATGAATTAAAATAATTTTTCAATGTCAAATGAAAACTAATAAAGGAGTTTACAAAGTTATACTGTTCCATATATAAGGAAGTAATGTTACCTTCTTCAAGAAAAACTGGGTTAACTTCATGCATAAAAGAATCACATTCAGCTAATAAAGGCAATCAGAACTCTGAATGTTGGAGGACACTCACAAAGCTTCTGGAGAACAATCCTATTTCCAAGATAATGCCCATTCTCACACAAACCAAAAACAATTATACCTTTTAGATATATTGTGAAATATTTATAGAGGAAATTATATGAAATTTGGGATTCTGCTTGAAGAATAATATAAAAAGAAGTGGGTAGGCAGGAATAGAGAGAAAACAAGATTGGCCATGAGTTGCTACTGTTTAACTGGCTGACAGGTTAACTGGTTATACTATTCTATCTACTTTTGTGTATGTTAAAATTTTCTGTGTTAAAAGAAAAATTTTAAGATAATAGAAGGTCTTTGGGTCTGACATAGTGTGGCAGTTGTCATGTTACTAAACCAAAGAATTGAAATAAATGGAAACTAGTGCTTATTGAAGCATACTTTCAGCAATGCTATATTACACCAATTATCAGGCTTGAATAGCATGATGGAGTCCCTATATTATACAAGAGAATACAGTATCATTATGAATCATGCTATCACTAATATTCAATAGGGCACTAAGTAGCAAATGGGGAAATACTATTTCCCAAAGAAGTTGTTAAAGTCAACGATCTTGGCTAAACTATGAATAAATTTTGATAGTTGATGAATCAGGAAAATATTGTCATTTCATTTTTCATCTGCATCCTATCAAAATATAAGCAAGCAGATAAAGAAACTAATACTCAAGTAGCTTCTATAATTAAAGAATCTACACTGGGAAGGCAATGAAACTACTACCTGAAGATAAGTTATTAGATTCCCTTTGGATTTCACCTTATCATATGCCCAGTGAGTAAAAGTGAATTTTTTGGAACTGCTTACAGACTTATGCAAATTTACTATACTTAAGTCTGTCCACAATAATTCTTTAAAAGGCAAAACTGGGGGGAAAATTCAACTGAAATTCTTTTGAAACTCTTAAAATTTCCCAAATATTCTAACTAGGAAGTTGAATTATCAAATAACTTACCTCTTTTAAAAGAGAGCATGCTAGCACTAAAACGTCTTTGAGAGAAGTATCACGAAATGAGGTAGCTATTTTCCTGTGTTTTGCTGAAGGTCTAGAATAATCAACCTAAAAAGATAAAGATGAAATTAGTTTAACCAGACCTATGAAAAAGCAAACCAAAATTTACTAAAAAAAAAAAAAAAAAAAAGGAAATAAACTTGAGTAGAACCCAAGTTTCTAGACTGTTTCAATTTAATGTTCTTCCTACAACCCGTACTGATCCCAATACTAAAAACCAAAGTTCATCACACTTTCAGAGGCAGTATAAACAACACAGATTATAAAATAAAAATAGATACTAAGACTATTAACTCCTAAACCATGTACCATATTTTATATCATGCAGTAACAACTTCCCTGTTCCTCACATTCCACCTGTAAAATGAGAAATCTCCAAGATAATCTCCAAATTCTAACTTTGTCTATGAATAAGAAAACTGAATTAGCCACAGAAAAATTCTTCTAGTTGAAAGTGATATTCCTATATGTACCATATATGTCATTAGTTCATATATCTTTGATACTACGAAAAGAAACCAAGGCAGAAATTATAAATAATCAGAAATCTGATTTCTTATATAAGCAATAGTATATTCCCTCTGAATATTTTATTAGCTAATGACAAATAATTTTTAAGAATAAACTAAGACTAGCTCTTAGGCCTCTAACCTAAAATGTAGTATATTCAAAATTATACTATTCATACCATTAGTATTTCCATTTATCAATAGGAACAGGCAAAGCTGAAGTCTGACACTCATACTAACATTAACACTATGGTCTACAGTTGCTATGGCATTACTATTTATTCTTATTGCTATTTGGAAGAAGAAAATAAACCATTTTCCTTGCTAGTGTTTATAGATCTGAAAGAAGCAATGGGCTTAAAATTGATTATGTGATACTTCCTAAGCTCCAACATATAATTTAGATTATACTCGATTGCCATATTTACTTATAAAACATGAAACATAACAGAAGGCCAAATGATTACACAAAGTAGTTATGGAACCTATACCCAATGTGTAAGATTTAAATTAGCATTTTCAGTGTTCCTTTTTTTTTTTTTCCCAACTTTCATTTTAGCTTGTGGGGGTACATGTGTGTGTTTGTTGCCTGGGGTATATTGCTTGTTGCTGAGGTTTGGGGTATGAATGATCCTGTCACCCAAAAGTCAGTTTTTCAACCTTTACCCCTTTCTATCTCTCCCCTATCTAGTAGTCCCCAGTTTCTACTGTTGCCATCTTTATGTCCACAAGTATCTAGTGTTTAACTCCTACTGGAAGTGAGAACATGTGGTATTTGGTTTTCTGCTCCTGCATTAATTTGCTTCAGATAAGGGCCTCCAGCTGCATCCATGTTGCTGCAAAGGACATGATTTCATTATTTTTTATAGCTGCATAATATTCTGTGGTATACGTGTATTTTCTTTATCCAATCCACCGTCAATGGGTACCAAGGCTGATTCCACGTCTTTGCTTTTCTGAATAGCACTGCAGTGAACATGTAAGTGCATGTTCCTTTTTGACAGATTTGGGTTTGGGGGGATATATACTCAGTAATAGGATTGCTGGGTTGAATAGTAGTTCTGTTTTAAGTTCTTTGAGAAATCTCCAAACTACTTTCCACAGTGGCTGAACTAATTTACATTCCCACCAACGTATATAAGAGTTCCCTTTTCTCCACAGCCTTGCTAGCATCTGTGGTTTTTTCACTATTTAATAATGGCCATTCTGACTGGTGTGAAATGGTATTTCATTGTGGTTTTGATTTGCATTTCTAAGATGATGAGTAATGTGGAACATTTCTTCATGTTTTTTGGCCACTTGCCTTCTTTTGAGAAGTGTCTGTTCATGTCTTTTGCTTATTTTTAATGCCTCTCTTGATTAATTTAAATCAAATCTCAACACTTTCCTCAATATATAAAAATATTTTTTCCTTAATACAAATTAAAAGCAAACAGCATTATAATTGCAATTTATAAAGTATTCTTCATATATTATTTCGCTTATTCCTTAAAACTAATCTGTGAGATACATTTTATCTTTTTAAAACACATGAGTTTTGAAATAAAGGATGATTTTAAAAGATGAGAAATTCAAGTTTATATGCACACTATCTTAGACTAACTTCTCACTCTCATCATATCCATAATATGGAAAGAAACTTAGGTGTACTGAGCACTTTCTACACACTAAGTCCTGTGCAAGTTAATATAATCTTATTAAGATCCATATAAGTAGTTGTCATTCTCACTTTACAGGTAACAATATGTAAGTTTTAAAGAAGCTAAGAAGTTTGTAAAAGGTAAAAATAGAGCGAAAATACAACTCCATGTTTTATTCCAGAGTTATATTAAAGGACTGCATGCTTATTTTACTTGGGTTACTCATTTAGATATCCAATATTTTGAGACGAAGGATTGCACATCCATTTTCTATTGCATATATATGCCTCTACCTTGGAGGCACAGGATATTTTACTTCTTAATGACTGGATAGTGAATATACTCCAGGAACAGAAACTCTAGCTTCTAAAACAGCAGGATAACTTATATAATCCTCCTAACTTTTAGGAAAACTCAAGTGTAGTTCTTTTTCTTAAGAGACACATCCTGTTATGGATACTACATGAATTTATCTGGCTCACATCTGATAACTAGAATATTTAATTACCCTCATGCATTATAGATCTCCCTACTTCCTGGTTCAGAAATGCTTAATAAATGCTAGTTGAAACTGTAAATGTCATAAAATTAGGCTGAATGAACTGTCTCCACAGAAGCCATCTATATTTTTCACCATATAAAGCCAAAATCACACTTCAGACCTTAAAGCTTTTCTTAAAAGGTGCTTGGTTCAATGCAAGAAAAGCTTAGACTGTCTTGTGCCAGAAGGTAAGAAAGAACCCAAAGAATGGTGAGGAAATATCAAATGGACACAAAAATCAGCTTGAAAAAGGTCCTATTGGTCAAATCTTGGAAAATCTGAGCAACAAAACAAATAATGTTAGCAATGAATTATAACCTATTAAATAGAATGAAACGAGGAATCCATAGTAATATAAATTAACAAATCAAAAAGCTGAAAGTCTGATAAGGAACAAGATATTTTCAGAGACTTAAGTACCTTTTCACAAAATATGTATTAATTACAACAGGGAAAAGAGTAAGTCTACAATGGGTGAGCCCAGAGGAGTCCATCTTAATTAAGAGATCAAAGTGAACATCATCAGTAATGTGACAAATCATCACATGCTTCCTGATAGGAGGCAAGGAGATGGGCACAGTATCATTTCTGTGATATTTCTGACAAATTCACATAAGCTGAATCTAATAATGAGGAAATATCAGACAATCCCAAATTGAGGGACATTTTACAAAACTGGCCTATAATCTTCATAAACGTCAAGGCCATGAAAGTGAAAAAGATTGAGAAATTTTTCTCCAGATTGAAGGAAACTAATAAAACATAAGAACTAAATGTGATATATAATCCTAAACTGGTTCTTCTGCTAGAAAGAGTGTTTATAACCAGTGAATCTTGAATGAGGTATGAGGATTAGATAGTGGGAATAATTCCAGTGTTCATTTTCTGATTGCAAGGTTGTATTGTGGTTAGGTACAAGAACGTCCTTGTGTGTAGGAAATACACTAAATTCCCTGGTGGTGGAGAATTATGTTAGCAACTTAGCGTCAGTTGAGAAAAAACTTCTCTTTACTGTACTTACAACTTTTCTGTAAGTTTGCTAATTAAGAAAAAGAAGTTATCCTGTTGCTCTCTAAACTGCACATTTACCAGAACTTCACATTAACTAGTCTTATTTCAGTGATAATCTAAACACAGCACAAACTCTCATTTCCAGGGCAGACTATTTTCCTATTATGCTGAGAAGCATGAAATGAATCAAACTGCTAGTTTCAAAATTAGCAAAAAGTTGTAAAATGAAGATAAGTACATGAGGTTATCATACTATTCTCTTCACTTTTATGAAAATATTTAAATGTACTTTTTTAGAAGGAAGCTACAGTTCTTTAGACATATTTAGAGTTCAATAAGATTATCCCTGTCATAATATCCCTGCTGACACAGTATTATTAACAGATACCTATGTACACACAAACACACAGCATATACTCTGGGGTGGAGGACTCAGGAAGGTGATGGCCGTGATAAGTTAAGAGATCACTTTAAATTTTAGAAATCCATCCTATAAATCTAAAAATATTTTCTAATTCCTGATTGAACACAAGTAGAAAATGGTTCTTTTGTATTTTTTTATGCACATGGCTATAATGTTACTCCAAAGGGAGTTGGCAAGTGATCCTGGGTATGCAAGCTCTTCTACATATATACATCTATATGTGTGCATGGACATGCATGCCCACACGCAAACACATATCACTCAAGATGACAGTTTTTAAACACTACATTCCTCTTTATTATAAAATTACTCCACATAGAACCCAACTTCTGCTTTCATTCTGTTTAGAACCATTTTATGTGCAAACGGAACAGGTGATAATAGGTTCAGATCATAAAAGCACTGTTGGGGAGAAGTACAGCTTCTGAAAACTCCCCTTGTACAGGGTAAAAATCCAAACTAGGAGCCATAAAGTGAAAAAAGGCCTGTTTTGTTTTTTAATATAAACATTTATTATTATAAAATCAATTGGTTTGATAAGAAAGCAATTATTTTAAAAATTTAATACAAATACATGTTAAGTGTACAAATTAGAATTCTTTTGAGAAAACAAGTTCTTATCTAAAGAAGAAACAAAACCTCCTTAACGGTTGGAATAAAACCTATCCCTGAATAGTTAGTGGTATTACACAGAAATATTTATATTATGTTCTTCTATTCCCAGTACCTACTTTTACAGAATCAGGAGAATTTAAATAGAATATCAAAATATAAATGATAAAAATCTGTACAAGATTTTTATTGAAGACATGATTATCAGTGTATAAATGCCTAAATATGAGGTTATAAATACAACATAATACTGAAGAACTCCATTCTCTCAATTTTAGAAAGGGAGATTTTTCTGAAGACAAATGTCTGAAGTTCAGGTACTAGGATTTCACTAATTTCACACACTGGTATTATCGACAAATTGTGATTAAACAGAAATCACTCTTTTAGACAAAAATATTTCCTAATATGAAAAACAAACTAGACTTTCTGAATCTCAAAGAAATACTGAAACAGAAAGGTGAGAAAAAACGTGAAATTAAGAAAATATTTTGGAGGGTTTCTTTTATACACGGCTATGCTTAGGCTTGGTAAATCTTGCACAGGTATGTTTTTTCTGGCATCCACTCATACAGTGGTGGCCACTCCTGTATGAGTGCTGATAAAAACAACACAGCTTCTGTGAAATAGCTTTCTTCCATGCCTTCAACTTGTAGACAGTGATGAAGGTGAGCTTTTTTCTTGTAGAGCCTCATGAATCTCTCTTTCATTTCCATGAATGTGGGCTTCACATATGTGTTATTTGCTAAAGCTAATAATGAATAAAAATGGTCCACAGGAGGGACAGGCTGGTCTAGCCTTCTTGATTTCAGGAGACAAATTGTAGAGATGGTTTTAATCTTTCAATATTTCTGCAAAGATGTAAAATCTGTACATTTCCTCTAACCATGAGCACACAGGTGAGGTAAAGACTATGTTTAGGGTCTGCCTGAAGCAGCTGGTGATCTTTACTAAAGGCATTTGAAAACATCTGATCCAATCTTTTAGTAGGAATGTTAACATCCGCCAGTGTGTATAGAGGTGTTAGGCTTGATACAAGATAATGAAGCTGAGGAAAAGGAACTAAATTCATGCTGATTTCATTATGGTCCTTATTAAGGGACCCTTCAAATCTTGCGGAGCTTGTTAGGTTGAGCAAATTTGCCACAATGTTGTTGACTGCAACAAAGGGCTTATTCTGCTTTTTAAAGCCACAGCACTTGAAGTCGTCTACAGTTGTACCCAACTTTCCAGAATTCACTATGAGGTCGACTTTGCTAATGATGTCAAATAAAGACTGTCAATGGGCAACACACAGTCTGCTTGCTCATTAAGTTCCTTCATTGCCAAGATGCCATTATGAGGTCAAGTTATGACATCCTCCTCACCGGAAGGATAAATGGAGGTCATAAATCTACATACTTCTGGGAATTCATCTTCAAGCACCTTTAAAAGAAATGTGCCGAGTGGCACCTGGAACGCCAGCCAGCAAGACGTAAGCGTTCACTCCCCTGGAAAGGGGGCTAAGCCAGGGAGCCAAGTGGTCTAGCGCAGAGGATCCCACCCCCACGTAGCCCAGCAAGCTAAGATCAACTGGCTTTAAACTCTTGCTGCCAGCACAGCAGTCTGAAGTCAACCTTGGATGCTCCAGCTTGGTGGGGGGAGGGGCGTCCACCATTACTGAAGCTTGAGTAGGCGGTTTTGCCCTCACAGTGTAAACAAAGACACTTGGAAGTTCAAAATGGGCGGAGCCCACCACGGTAGCCAGACTGCCTCTGTAGATTCCTCTTCTCTGCGCAAGGCATTTCTGAAAGAAAGGCAGCAGACCCAGTCAGGGGCTTATATATAAAACTCCCATCTCCCTGGAACAGAGCACCTGGGGGAAGGGGCGGCTGTGGGCACAGCTTCAGCAGATGTAAATGTTCCTCCTTGCCAGCTCTGAAGAGAGCAGGGGATCTCCCAGCATGGTGCTCAAGCTCTGCTAAGGCACAGATCTCCGTGCCTCCTGACCGGGAGACATCTCCCAGCAGGCGTCAACAGACACCTCATACAGGAGAGCACTGGCTGGCATCTGGCAGGTGCCCCTCTAGAACAAAGCTTCCAGAAGAGGAAACAGGCAGCAATCTTTGCTGTTCTGCAGCCTCCGCTGGTGATACCGAGGCAAACAGGGTCTGGAGTGAACCTCCAGAAAACTCCAGCAGACCTGCAGCAGAGGGGCCTGACTGTTAGAAGGAAAACTAACAAACAGAAAGCAATAGCATCAACACCAACAAAAAGGACATCCACACAAAAACTCCACCTGAAGATCACCAACATCAAAGACCAAAGGTAAATAAATCCACGAAGATGAGGAAAAACCAGTGCAAAAAGGCTGAAAATTCCAAAAACTGGAACACCTGTTCTCCTCCAAAGGATCACAACTCCTCGCCAACAAGGGAACAAAACTGGACAGAGAATGAGTTTGACGAACTGACAGAAGGAGGCTTCAGAAGGTGGGTAATAAACTCCTCTGAGCTAAAGGAGCATGTTCTAACCCAATGCAAGGAAGCTAAGAACCTTGAAATAAGGTTAGAGGAATTGCTAACTAGAATAACCAGTTTAGAGAAGAACATAAATGACCTGATGGAGCTGAAAAACACAGCAAGAGAACTTTGTGAAGCATACACAAACATCAACGGCCAAATCAATCAAGAGGAAGAAAGGATATCAGAGATTAATAACAACTTAATGAAATAAAGTGTGAAGACAAGATTAGAGAAAAAGAAATGAAAAGGAATCAACAAAGCCTCCAAGAAATATGGGACTATGTGAAAAGGCCAAACCTATGTTTGATTGGTGTACCTGAAAGTGATGGGGAGAATGGAACCAAGTTGGAAAACACACTTCAGGATATTATCCAGGAGAACTTCCCCAACCCGCCAAGACAGGCTAACGTTCAAATTCAGGAAATACACAGAACATCACAAAGATACTCCTAGAGAAGAGCAACCCCAAGACACATAATCGTCAGATTCACCAAGGTTGAAATGAAGGAAAAAATGTTAAGGGCAGACAGAGAGAAAGGTTGGGTTACCCACAAAGAGAAGCCCATCAGACTAACAGCAGATCTCTCTGCAGAAACCCTACAAGCCAGAAGAGAGTGGGGGCCAATATTCAACATTCGTAAAGAAAAGAATCTTCAACCCAGAATTTCATATCCACCCAAACTAAGCTTTGTAAGTGAAGGAGAAATAAAATCCTTTACGGACAAGCAAATGCTCAGAGATTTTGTCACCACCAGGCCTGCCTTACAAGAGCTCCTGAAGGAAGCACGAAATATGGAAAGGAAAAACTGGTACCAGCCACTGCAAAAACATACCAAATTGTAAAGACCATCGACACTATGAAGAAACTGCATCAACTATCAGGCATAATAACCAGCTACAATCATAATGACAGGATCAAATTCACATACAACAATACTAACCTTAAATGTAAATGGGCTAAATGCCCCAATTAAAAGACACAGACTGGCAAATTGGATAAAGAGTCAAGACCCATCAGTATGCTGTATTCAGGAGACCCATCTCATGTGCCTTTGTAAATAGCCTACACACATAGGCTCAAAATAAAGGGATGGAGGAAGATTAACCAAGCAAATGGAAAGCAAAAAAATGCAGGGGTTGCAATTCTAGTCTCTGATAAAACAGACTTTAAACCAACAAAGATCGAAGGAGACAAAGAAGGGCATTACATAATGTTAAAGGGATCAACACAACAAGAAGAGCTAACTATCCTAAATATACATGCATCCAATACAGGAGCACCCAGATTCATAAAGCAAGTTCTTAGAGACCTACAAAGAGACTTAGACTCCCACACAATAATAGTGGGAGACTTTAACACCCCACTGTCAATATCAGAGAGATCAACGAGAAAGAAAATTAACAAGGATATTCAGGACTTGAACTCAGCTCTGGAACATGCAGACCTAATAGACATCTACAGAACTCTCCACCTCAAATCAACAGAATATACATTCTTCTCACAACCACATCGCACTTATTCTAAAATTGACACATAATTGGAAGTAAAGCACTCCTCAGCAAATGCAAAAGAACCAAAATCATAACAGTCTCTCAGACCACAGTGCAATCAAATTAAAACTCAGGATTAAGAAACTCACTCAAAACTGCACAACTACATGGAAACTGAACAACCTGCTCCTGAATGACTACTGGGTAAATAACAAAATTAAGGCAGAAATAAATAAGTTATCTAAATCCATTGAGAACAAAGACCCAATGTATCAGAATCTCTGGGACACAGCTAAAGCAGTGTTTAGAGGGAAATTTATAGCACTAAATGCCCACAACCAGAAAGCTGGAAAGACCTCAAATCGACACCCTAGCATCACAATTAAAAGAACTAGAAAAGCAAAAGCAAACAAATTCAAAAGCTAGCTGAAGACAAGAAATAACTATGATCAGAGCAGAACTGAAGGAGATAGAGACACGAACAACCCTTCAAAAAGTCAATGAATCCAGGAGCTGGTTTTTTGAAAAGATTAACAAAACAGATAGACCACTAGCCAGACTAACAAAGAAAAAAAGAGAGAAGAATCAAATAGACACAATAAAAAACGATAAAGGGGAGATCACCACTGACCCCACGGAAATACAAACTACCATCAGAGAATACTATAAACACCTCTATGCAAATAAACTAGAAAATCTAGAAGAAATGGATAAATTCCTGGACACACATACCTCCCAAGACTAAACCCAAGTTGAATCCCTGAATAGAGCAATAACAGGTTCTGAAATTAAGGCAGTAATTGGTAGCCTACCAACCAAAAAAAAAGCCCTGGACCAGACGGATTCACGACTGAATTCTACCAGAGTTACAAAGAGGAGCTGGTACCATTCCTTCTGAAACTATTTCAATCAACAGAAAAAGAGAGACTCCTCCCTAATTCATTTTATGAGGCCAGCATCATCCTGATACCAAATCCTGGCAGAGACACAACAAAAAAAGAAAATTTCAGGCCATTAAACCTGATGAACATCAACTCAAAAATCCTCAATAAAATACTGGCAAGCCAAATCCAGCAGCACATCAAAGAGCTTATCTACCATGATCAAGTCGGCTTTATCTCTGGGATGCAAACCTGGTTCAACATATGCAAATCAATAAACATAATCCATCACATAAACAGAACCAATGACAAAAACCACATGATTATCTCAATAGAGGCAGAAAAGGCCTTCAATAAAATTCAACCCTTCAGGCTAAACACTCTCAATATACTAGGTATTGATGGAACATATCTCAAAATAATAAGAGCTATTTATGACAGACCCACAGCCAATATCATACTGGATGGGCAAAAGCTGGAAGCATTCCCTTTGAAAACCGGCACAAGACAAGGATGCTCTCTCTTACCACTCCTATTCAATGTAGTATTGGAAGTTCTGGCCAGGACAATCAGGCAAGAGAAAGAAATAAAGAGTATTCAAATAGGAAGATAGGAAGTCAAACTGTCTCTGTTTGCAGATGACATGATTGTATATTTAGAAAATACCATTATCTCAGCCCCAAATCTCCTTAAAGCTGATAAGCAACTTCAGCAAAGTCTCAGATACAAAATCAATGTGCAAAAATCACAAGCATTCCTATACACCAATAACAGACGAACAGAGCCAAATCATGAGTGAACTCCCATTCACAATTGATACAAAGAGAATAAAATACCTAGGAATCCAATTTACAAGGGATGTAAAGGACCTCTTCAAGGAGAACTACAAACCACTGCTCAAGTAAATAAGAGAGGATACAAACAAATGGAAAAACATTCCATGCTCATGGATAGGAAGAATCAATATTGTGAAAATGGCCATATTGCCCAAAGTAATTTATAGATTCAAAGCTATCCTCATCAAGCTACCACTGACTTTCTTCACAGAATTAGAAAAAACTACTTTAAATTTCATATGGAACCAAAAAAGAGCCCATATAGCCAAGACAATCCTAAGCAAAAAGAACAAAGCTGGAGGCATCATGCTACCTGACTTCAGAGTATACTACAAGGCTACAGTAACCAAACCAGCATGGTACTGGTACCAAAACAGATGTATAGACTAATGGAACAGAATAGAGGCCTCAGAAATAATGCTCTACATCTACAACCATCTGATTTTTGACAAACCTGACAAAAACAAGAAATGGGGAAATGATTCCCTATTTAATAAATAGTGTTGGGAAAACTGGCTAGCCATATACAGAAAACTGAAACTGGGCCCCTACCTGACACCTTATACAAAAATTAACTCAAGATGGATTAAAGACTTAAATATAAGACCTAACATCATAAAAACCCTAACCTAGGCAGTACCACTAAGGACATAGGCATGGGCAAAGAATTCATGACTAAAACACCAAAAGCAATGGCAACAAAAGCCAAAATTGACAAATGGGATCTAATTAAACTAAAGAGCTTCTGCATAGCAAAAGAAACTATCATCAGAGTGAACAGGCAACCTACAGAATGGGAGAAAATTTTTGCAATCTATCCATCTGACAAAGGGCTAATACCCAGAATCTACAAGGAACTTAAACACATTTACAAGAAAAAAAAACCCCATCACAAAGTGGGCAAAGGATATGAACAGACACTTCTGAAAAGACGACACTTATGTGGCCAACAACCGTATGAAAAAAAGCTCATCATCACTAGTCATTAGAGAAATGCAAATCAAAACTCAATGAGATACCATCAAAGGAGACAAAGAAGGGCATTACATAATGTTAAAAGGTCAATGCAACAAGAAGAGCTAACTATCCTAAATATATATGCACCTAATACAGAGGCACCCAGATTCATAAAGCAAGACTGCAACTCACGCCAGCTAGAATTGCGATCATTAAAAAGTCAGGAAACAACAGATGCTAGAGAGGATGTGGAGAAATAGGAACGCTTTTACATTGTTGATGGGAGTGTAAATTAGTTTAACCATTACGGAAGACAGTGTGGCAATTCCTCAAGGATCTAGAACCAGAAATACCATTTGACCCAACAATCCCATTACTGGGTATATACCCAAAGGATTATAAATAATTCTACTATAAAGACACATGCACACATATGTTTACTGCATCACTATTCACAATAGCAAAGATTTGGAACCAACCCAAATGCCCATCAATGATAGACTGGATAAAGAAAATGTGCCACATATACACCATGGAATACGATGCAGCCATAAAAAAGGACGAGTTCATATCCTTCACAGGGACATGGATGAAGCTGGAAACATCATTCTCAGCAAACTAACACAGGAACAGAAAACCAAACACTGCATGTTCTTACTCATAAGTGAGAGCTGAACAATGAGATCACATGGACACGGGGAGAGAAACATCACACACCGGGGCCTGTTGGGGGTTGGGGGGCTAGGGGAGGGATAGCATTAGGGGAAATACCTAATGTAGATAGATGGCTGGTTGATGGGTGCAGCAAACCACCATGGCACATGTATACCTATGTAACAAACCTGTACATTCTGCACATGTATCCAAGAACTTAAAGTATAACAATGAAGAAAATATGGTTGTACGTACACATACGCGCAATGGAATATTTAAAAAAAAAAAAGAAGAAGAAGAAGAAGAAATGTGCCAAGCCCAGATCCTGATTCTCCTCCCACGGAATGTATTATAAAGAAACACTGCAAGCAATCACAGTGCTCTGCCAACTTTCTGAGTTTCTCTAAAACCTGGTCTTGATACAGACTGCCAAAAACTTTGTGATCCACAGCCCAATTATTTCCGGAGCCATAAGTATCAGTGATGAGCTGTTTGGTATCAAATACATCTCTCAGTGGTCCCTGCAGAATTTCATTCACTATCCCTTCTACCATGTCAATCAAGACAGCTGGTATCCACATTTCTAAGGAAGCTGCTTATTGCCTCATAATAGATTCCTTTCTGGCTGACCGCGGCGTGCTCCCTTAGTGCCAGGTCCCAGAAGCAGCAGCCAATCTGGTTTTCGCACTGGCCAACCAGTATGACCACCAACTGGGTCATTCTGGTGCATAGTCAGCTGGGGGCGCTTGTGAGCCGCGCCGGCCTCTGCATTGGGCCTGCAACCCAAAAGGCCTGTATTGTTTCTTGTTATTGTTGTTTGAGACAGAGTCTTGCTCTGTCACCCAGGGTGGAGTGCAGTGGCACGATCTCAGCTCACTGCAATCTCTGCCTCCCGGGTTCAAGCAATTCTCCTGCCTCAGCTTCCCCAGTAGCTGGGATTACAGGCGCCCATCACCACGCCCATCTAATTGTTGTATTTTTAGTAGAGATGGGGTTTCTCCATGTTGGCCAGGCTGGTCTCGAATTCCTGACCTCAGGTGATCCCCCTGCCTCAGTCTCCCAAAGTGCTGGCATTACAGGCGTGAGCCACCTGGCCCAGTCAAAAAAAAGCCTGTTTTTTTATGAGTCCTGCTGTGTATCCATTGTTGAGAATCAATTCCTCAAACCACCTATATTTTATTTGTAAGTGAATAAAGGTTTGTTTCTCTTTTGCATATATTTCTTATGGTTAGCATATTATGACATATATGAGGTAAAAGAACAATTCTCCAAGTGCCCATGGGAGCAAGAACCATGTCTAATTCTCTGTTCTTTGTAATACTCTGTACTATTGCAGATATCTTCAATAACAATGAAAATATTCCACCACTTAATTAGCCCATCAATAAAACAGATACACACACAAAAAACTTGATTATTCAGAGTTTTATGCCACAAAATGAAGGCTGTCTATTTTGCCACAAATAAAAGCAGAAAAGAAACAGCATTACTTAAGCAAACTCAGGCTCCTGTTAGATGGAAAGGCTCGCTTACCAGGTTCATTTCCTGAGTCAATTCAGAAAGGATTATTACTCCTATTATGCAGTGTTCCACAGTACCCTTTGGAGAAAATAACAAAGTTTAGCCTAAGTGGAGACAAGTGATTGGTTCTTAATGTATATACCAGGTAACATTTACAAACAATTAAAGACTGAAACACCACATTTACTCAATAATAAAATGGAAACAAAATTATAAAATATAAAGAAAAATCGCTATGAGTTCTATAAACAAAAGAATTTCAAACCTATTTTTTGAAAGATAAATTTGGATACACAGAGCTAAATGGGAAAAAGCTCCTCCCTTATAAATGCATGATACTCAACAAAATGTTTCCAGCACTTATAGGACAAATAATAAACTAAGTTTCAAAATACAAGAATTTAGCTTAATACCTTTTATAAGACCAAGAATAAGAATAAGCAAAAAATGCTTTTAGCTCTATAATTTGCTTAAAGCCTATTGAGATAGAGACACTCAACAATAAATAAATAATAAGTAGCTTAGGCACTAATTCAAATCTCTTGTTCTAATATCAGATAGGATCACTTAGGCTCTTTTAACATTAATTGTGCATGTATATGAAATTGTTACATACCTATAATGATGGCATGTAAAGTACACAATGCAATGAGATAAATACATGACTATCTATATAATGTTTTTAATTTAATCAGCTTCCAATTTAATCTCAAATTTTCCATCATTAAAATTCAGACTTTATATGCACATTACTAACAAACTACCCTTGTGTGAAATCATACTGGAATTATGAAAATCATAAATGCAGCATCCAATTACATTGCAATCATTTTTAAAAACTGACACAGAAGATAGATACACTTTTCAAATCTTAATTTTATAGTTGGTCATTCCTTTTAACTATCACAGAATTCCATTATCACTGGATGTAATTAAATTCAAATTATCTCAGAACAAAAAAAGGTCTCACAATTTTTGCATTTTAATTATTTATGGCCTTTCAAGACAGTCTGAGTGTCTGAACTGAGCTCCAGATTTCCTACACACTGAAACATCCATCCTATGTGTACACCAGGTTAATGTTCCCCAAAGTGTGGTACCCTGACCAATTGCTAGAACCAGCTGATTGATGACCTACAAACTCAATTCTAATTTGAAAATAGTTTGTTACTCGTCCATGACAAAATAAAGAGCATGTAACAGATTATAAAACAGCTAAGTCACAAAGTACACTAGGTCAGCTGGCTTTTTTGTCATAGCAAGTCTTTCTCAATGAAGAAGGCACTATGTTCATTTACAGTCTTACATAAGCTCCTTATCTTGCTGAAGACCGGTAATTTGAATAGCACTGCCCTAAATGACAGTAGGATCTCCTGAGTATATCAGTAGAAAGGAGACACATAAGTATGTTTGGAGTGTGGCAGCAAGAGGGCCATAATAATAGAAAAAAGAGAATGCACAAAAGTTCAGGCTGTTAAAGATGTGACAAACTTAAAATAACTTTTAGGACAAAATTCACAAAAGCTGCTAATACTCAAAGGAACCATATGATAATATTCTAGAAAACTAAAACACTAAAGCCAAAATTGACTTTCTCATGATGCAGGGTTAGGTCAAGCCATATATATATATATATATATAAAAAACACGTACTAACTATTCTATGGTGATACTATTATATAATAAACTTTCAAGCTAAAACATGTTGTTTCTTTTGGTCTTCCAGAACTGGTAAAGGTACATTGAATCCCAACTTAAGTTGAGCTTACTGGCCACTAAAGAGGGAGCTTGAGAAATGTTAGCCAACAAGAATTTCATTCAATTTCAACCCTGACTTTATTTTTAAAGAACTGCATGGTCGCCTCTTGTCTACTCAAATAAATCTTGATGAACAATCTTAGTAAAAGACAAAAGGGGGATGCTACTGTGCTTGCCAAACTTACAAATGCAACTCTGAAGTGTGAAGCTCATACTTGTCCTGAATAAACTATCCTTCTGCCCTAGTATAAACTGATCTCCTCAGAGCTAAGAACACTTATTCCTGTGGAGTTCTAAATGATCAAATATTTGTTAACCAGGTTTTAACAACATAGATAAGACAGAAGCAGCATAACCTAGCATTTCATATTCTGAGGTTTCCAGCACTGCACTATATGATGAAGTTATATCTTAGACAGGGGTTGAATTTTAAAGTTACTGCATAAAAGTAAAATCTCCGAAAGTCAAAATTGCCCATACTCAACCATGAACCAAAACTGAACCATCTATTAATCAAAACTGCCAATTTTTCCTCAAGAATACTAACAGAGCATGGATTTTTCTTTTTTTTTTTTTTGAGACGGAGTCTTGCTCTGTTGCCCAGGCTGGAGTGCAGTGGCGCAATCTCCGCTCACTGCAAGCTCCGTCTACCGGGTTCACGCCATTCTCCTGCCTCAGCCTCCCGAGTAGCTGGGACTACAGGCGCCCGCCACCACGCCCAGCTAATTTTTTGTGTTTTTAGTAGAGACAGGGTTTCACCGTGTTAGCCAGGATGGTCTCGATCTCCTGACCTCATGATCCGCACGCCTTGGCCTCCCAAAGTGCTGGGATTACAGGCATGAGCCACCACGCCCAGTCCAGATCATGTTTCTTTAGCTGGACATCAGATAAAATAGTTCTCTTCTACTTGGGAATTACGTTTGTATGAAAAAATATATACATATATCTTCAAATATCTGAATCATACTGAGCAAGGCATGACAGTCATCCTGAGTAAGAGTAAACAGGAAACAAGAGCAGATTCAGGTTTCCCTAAATCAGCCCAGGACATGGAATCACTGGCATGATTTAGTTTAATGTTTTCTTGCCTCTGTTTATTTTGTTTTGGTTTGGTTTGGTTTTTTTTTTTGGCTGTCCATATATCTGAATTTATGTAAGTTAAATGTGCATATACTATGACTTTATTTTAATCACTTAGGTTAAAAATATTGTTTTTAAAATAACTATTCTTTATTGATATATAATAGCTGTACCTATTTGATACCTATATACAATGTGTAATGATGAAATTGAAAACATTCTTGAGAAACTGATATAGTCAATGTGGTATAGTGTAAAAATTAAAAAATTAAAAAATTTATCGTAAGTTGGAGGCTTATTAAATGCTAGCTGTATGCGTTAATCAGTCACTATGCAATCTTACAGAAATTATTTAACCCCTCTAAGCCTGTTTTCTTGTTTACAAAATAAAATCTATTTCATTTTAGGTTGTGATGAACATTTAATTACATAATCTATGAAAAGCATTATATACATGTTTTATATATACAGTACATAGACATATGTGTCATAAATGTACACACATTTTGAAATTAGAAAACATGATTATTTACATTCTTCTGATTTGGAAATTATGTAACAGCACGATCCTCATTTACTAACAATAAATGATAAAGGATCCAGAGGATAAATAATAAATCATAATTAACATGGTACTGGTAGTCACAAAACAAACTATATCGCTTTAAGAAGAGCAGTATTCTAAACCAAAAAAAGCAAGTAGTGATGTTCTAACCATGTAGCAATGACTTCTTACCTGGAGAAACTTCTTCACATCAGCAATAATTTCTCTGAAGACAAATTGGTCTTTCTGAACCTCAAACCACCCCAACTTAGTGATTTTAGCAATGACTTGAATAAGAGCTTGGATGACAAAGGGAGCCAGCTTGGGCTGTGATGCCACGTAATTCAGAATGTAGTTTCCTACAAAGAAAACACTCCATGGGTCATCTGGACTTTTCAGAAACAACATAGTGTGAATCATATGAAGAAAGAGAGGTGGGGGTGGGGGAAGGGGAGGGAGAGCATTAGGACAAATACCTAATGCATGCAGGGCTTAAAACCTAGATGACGGGTTGATAGGTACAGCAAAACACCATGGCACATGTATACCTATGTAACAAACCTCCATGTTCAGCACATGTATCCCAGAACTTAATGTAAAAAAAAAAAAAAAAAAAGAATTTTGTGAACTTTAAACAAAAAAGTTGCAGTATTTGTTACAAAAAACAGAAAAAGAGGTGGCAATGACATGCTGTGACAAAAAGTTAATAGCTCTCCTCAAGACATATGTTTATTTATACAGTTCTTTTATTAGGCTTCTTTTGAAAAAGCAAATTTGTTCCAATGCATTTGATATATTAGGGAAAAACGTGAATAGAACACTTTTGTTGAATATGTCACTTTTGTTTCTGCATGATTTTATCTACCAAAAAATGCTAGGTGAATGCAGAAAACCGAAACCAGGCTGATATGGTTTGGATTTGTGTCCCTGACCAAGTCTCATGTCCCCAATGTTGGAGGAGGGACCTGTTGGGAGGTGATTGGATTATAGGTGCAGATTTCCATCTTGATGTTCTCATGATAGTAATTTTCACTAGATCTGGTTGTTTAAAGTGTGAAGCACCTCCCCCTTCTCTCTTTCTCCTGCTCCAGCCATGTAAGCCATGCCAGCTTCCCCTTCACCTACTGCCATAATTGGAAGTTTCCTGAGGCCTCCCCAGCCATGCTAACCGTACAGCCTGCAGAACCATGAGCCAATTAAACCTCTTTTCTTTATAAATCACCCAGTCTCAGATATTTCTTTATAGCAGTGTGAGAACCAACTAATATACAGGCCAACTGAACAAAACGCATATACCTCAAACATCTACTATGTATCATCAACCCCACCCATCCTTATCTGGTATTATATCTTTCCATACTATTTCAGATCATCTTTCTTTCACCACTTTACAATAACTCACAAGCTGCAACCCTTCTGAGTCCCACTTCTAAGAACAAACTTCAGGTCTTTCCCAAGGTAAAGTGTCATATTTATTGTACTATGCTTTCCTTAACCATTTAATGTGTAAAACTCTACTAACCTTTGATTTGATTTGTATCTTTTTCTAAATATGTCACTGACAAAACTTTTAAATTTTATTTTCATAATCTGATTTCTCTCATAAGCCCTGTGCTTTTTATTATGTAGCATTGCATAGCACAGTCACTTTTAGGAACATGTCATGTTATAGCAAAAGTGACTATACACTGTCTTCTTGAGGTAGCATTAAAAATACAAATAAACCCCATCTCTACAAAAAATTGTTAAAACATTAGCTGGGTATTGTGACATGCGCCTACAGTCCTACCTACTTGGGACACTGAGAATGACTATGCCACTGCACTCCAGCCTGGGTGACAGAGTGAGATCCCGTCCCACCAAAAACAAACATAAACAGTATAATATGATAAAATAAATATATAAATTCAAGAAAGCATAAGTAGAATAGTAAAGTCAAGCTTGTAATAAAGTTAATACACCAAAACTGTTAAAAGTGGATAGCAAATTCAGTTATGAGCTTTCTAGTTGACTCATGAAGTCAGATAACAAATACACCAAGAAGTCTCTCGGAAAACTACAAGAAGAATTTTTAAAAGAGAAAAAACTCCATTTCCACTTTGGCCTGAAAGGCCAGCATGCCATTTGGGAAAATAGTAAAGAAAAGGTAAATACCTCAATATTTAATTAAAAACAGCTTTGATGGAAACAACTCCAAAATCCAAGAATGTATGCAACAAGCATTCTTGATAATTGTAGTAAGATTCTTGATATTTAAAAAAGTTCTTGTAACTATTATACTTCAACCTTAATTTTTATTAATATTAAAATAGTTATACAATAAAAAAGATAAAATACATTTTGAAAAAAAGCATAATTTCCTTAGCATTAGGACAAATATCAGAGAAGTTTCTCCTACGAATCACAGTAATATGGTTCTAAGCTTTGTTGCATGTAATCTTTTATTTCAATAACAAAACATAAGAAGATGACACTGCTTCCTGAATATAAAAGAAAATCCAGTGTATTTACTTCAATTACACTTTTATTTTTAATATCCTGAAAATGTTCATCTTGCAGTGGATACAGGCAAACCCTATGTGGGTAGTAGTGACCACTAGGAGGAGGGTAATCTCAAAATAATAATAAAACAAACAAATAGGAGACAACCCAAGTTTCACATTTAAAGCTAGATACCAACAAGGACATGTTCCCAGATTGCCCAAACAAAGGTACCTAGGGCTAATAAATTCATTATCTAAGGCAGGGAAAAAAAATCACTAGAATATGTTTCTGTTACTTTAGCTGAATGTTTTACACAAAATATTCTCATGTTATGCTTTTTACACAAACTATAAGAATGTTCCAATTTAGTAAGCACCAATAATTACAATCATTTAAAACATCAGCAATCTCCTCCTCACTGGTACAATTAATAGAGAAAAGCCATACTAAGAAGAAATGGAAATGTTTGGGAAGATACATGGGAGAACAACAACCACAACAAACAGCTGGGAAAAACCCCAGACAAAAGTCAGTAGAAAGTTGGAAAGCTACACACTAGAGGTCCTTTGCGTGTCAAAAGCCTATATAACAGTAACAATAATATTTCATGTTTATGAAGCATGTCAGAAATTGTGAAGTGCTTCCCATCAAATACTTGATGTGGCTCTCATAGCAATGTGAAGATACTGCTATTATGTATTACTATTATTCTGTCTTATAGGCCAAAAATATGAAGGTCAAAAATGTAAAATGACTGGGACTCTGAATCAGGTTATTGTGGTTCATTCCGATTTTTTGTTTGCTTCCTGTTTCCAAATATTGGACAAATCATATATTTTAGTAATAATTCATAATTCAAAACTCTAAATCCAAACTTGTAGATAGTCTTTTAGAGTGTGCTATCAAAATATAAAAATAATTAAAAGAAAGGGGAAACACTCAATTTCTACCTCTGCCCCAAAAGCCAGTATGTCATTTGGGAAAGGAAAGAGACGATACACACCTCAAAATTTAACTAAAAATCCTCTGATGGAAACAACCCTAAATTCTAATAGTGAGAAGTATACACTATAATCTATGTCTAGAGAGTTAACTTATGAACTATCTGGAGAGAGAGTGTGAGAGAGAGAAAGAAAGGGCAAGCAAAAGAAAGCAAGGAGAGAAAGAGAACATGGAACAAAAAGAAACTACAAAAAAAAAGAAAGAAAAAAGATATATGAGGCTAGTTCAATATTCAAAAATTAATTAATGTAATCCATCACATCAATAAGCTAAAGAAAAATCACATGATAACATAAATAGATGCAGAAAAAGTATTTGACAAAATTCAACATCCATTGATGTTGAATGGTGATGAATGAGATGAAAACTCTCAGCAAACTAGGAATAGAGGACAACTTTCTCAATTTGATAAAGTACATCTACAAAAAACCTACAGCTAAAATCATATTTAATGGTGAGAAACTTGAAGCTTTCTCACTAAGATTGGGAAAAAAGCAAGATGTCCCCTCTCACCACTGCTTTGCAACATAATACTGTAAGTCCTAGAAAATGCAATAAGAAAAAGAAATAGAATGCATATAGATTAAGAAAGAAGAACTAAAAGTGTCTTTGCTCACAGATGGCATGATATGTAGAAAATATGAAAGAACTGACAAAAAATTATGAACTAATAAATGATTACAGCAAGGTTACACAATATGGGTTAATATACCAAAGTCAATCACTCTGCTTTACCAGCAACTGGAACTTGAAATAAAACACAAAATAACTTACATTAGTACCCTCAAAAATGAAATATTAATACTTAGATTTAAATCTAACAAAATATGTAGGTACAAGACCCATATGAGGAAAATTACAAAACTATAATAAAATAAACCAAAGAAGATCTAAATAAATGAATACATATTACATGTTCCTAGACAGGAAACTCAACACTGTCAAGATATCAGTATTTTCCAACTATATCTAAAGATTCAATGCAATCCCAATGAAAACCCCAGTAATTTATTTTGTGTATATGAATGAACTGATTCTAAAAGTTATATTGAGAGGCAAAAGCCAACACAATACCGAACACCATACCGAACACAATACCAAAATAGCCAACACAATACCGAAGAAGAACAAAGTTGGAAGACTGACACTACCCTACTTCAAGGCATACCATAAAGCTACAGTAATCAAGACAGTTTGGTATCAGCAAAAGAAATGACACATCAACAGCTACAGTTTGAATGTCTGTCCCCTCCCATACTCATGCTGAAACTTAACTGCCACTGTAACATCTTAAGAGGCAGGATCTTTAAGAGATGAGTACACCAAGAGTGCTTTGCCCATATGAATGGTTTAATGTCATTATTTCAGGAGTAGGTCCTTTAAAAAGGACGATTTCAGCCCCCTTTTGTCACTCTCTTTTGCCTTCTCTTTGCCCTCCCACCATGGGATAATGCACCAAGACGGCCCTCACCAGATGCCAGCCCCTTGATCTTGAACTTTCCATCCTCCAGAACTGTAAGAAATACATTTCTTTTTTGATAAATTACCCAGTCTCAGCTATTCTGTGACAGCAGCACAAAACCAACTAAGATGCCAATCAACAGAACAGAATAAAAAAACCTAGAAATAGACCCATATAAATACAGTCAATTGATCTCTGACAAAGGAGCAAAGGGAGTAACAAAATATGTTATGAATCTTTTAAATATGAGAAAAGTCTTCTCAGCAAATAGTGCTGGAACAACTGGACATCCACATGGAAAAAAGGAATCTTGACATAGACTACATGCCCTTCACAAAAATTAACTTAAAATGGTTCACAGACCTAAGTGTAAAACATAAAGCTATAAAACTCCTAGAAGATAAAATAAGAGAAAATCTAAGTGACCTTGGTTCAGTGATGACTTTTTAGATGCAACACCAAAGGCATAATCCACGAAAGAAAGAATGAATAAGGTAAACTTTGTCATGAAAATGAAAAATTTCTGCTCTGCAAAAGACAATGTCAAGAGAATAAAAAGATAAGCCACAGATCGGGAGAAAATATTTGCACAAGACATATCAAAGGAACCGCTTTCCAAACTGCACAAAGAACTCTTAAAACTCAAAAATAAGAATACAATCTGATTAAAATATGGGCCGATGACCTTAACAGACACCTTTCCAAAGAAGGTAACAGTTCACCCTTGAACAACATGAGTTTGAACTGTAGAGAACCACTTATGCATGGATTTTTTTCAATAAATATATTGGAAAAATTTTTGGAGACTTATGACAATTTTTAAAAACTCGGACATAGCCGGGCATGGTGGCTCACACCTATAATCCCAGCACTTTGGGAGGCTGAGGCAGGCGGATCGCTTGAGCTCAGGAGTTCAAGACCAGCCTGAGCAACATGGTGAAACCCCATCTCTAGAAAAAAAATACAAAAACTTAGCCAGGCATGGTAGTCACATCTGTAGTCCCAACTACTTGGGAGGCTGAGGTGGGAGGATCACTACTTGAGCCCGGGAGGCAAAGGGAGGAGTGAGCCAAGATCACACACTGCACTCCAGCCTCAGTGACAAAGTGAGACTCTATGTCTCAAAAAAAAAAAAAAAAAAAAAAAGGCACCTCAAATGAATGGTGTAGTGTTGAAATATTTTTAAAAATAAGAAGGTATAAATGTAGATACTACTCTATTTTATCATTTACTATCATAAAATATACACAAATCTATTATAAAAAGTTAAAATTTATCAAAACTTACACACACGCTTAGATTGTACATGTTCCAACCACAGTCAAGGTTTATGTAGTCAGGTTTATGATCAGGACTGCCCTTATCTACAAAGCTGCTAATCTCCTAGCCTTGAAGGGAAAAAATAAATACCAGCTGCCAGTCTTCTGGCTGTATAACAAGGCCTAGAAGAGAACCTTTTTCTGGATTGGTTTCATAGATGCTTTGTCCCTGAAGTTACTAAGTACCTTGCCGGTAAGGGAATACCTTTTAAAGTTCTTTTCATATTGGACAATGTCCCTGGCCACTCAGAACCCCATGAGTTCAATGAGGACATTAAAGTGGTCTATGTGCCCCTAAACACATCTCTAATTTAGCCTCTGAATTAGGGGTCATACACGGTACACACGGTACTGTATAAAAAGGATTGTCAACACTATGGAAGAGAACCCCCACAGAGAGAACATTCATGAAAGTCTGGAAGGATTTTACCACTGAGGATGCCATTGTTGTTATAGAAAAAGCCATGAGAGCCATCAAGCCTGAAACAATAAATTCCTGCTGGAGGAAGCTCTGTCCAGATGTTGTGCATGACTTCACAGGATATACAACAGCAGAGCCAGTCAAGGAAATCATGAAAGAGACTGTGGATGTGGCAAAAAAAAAAAAAAAGGTGGAGAGTGAAGGGTTTCAAGATATGGATCTTGGAGAAATTCAAGATCTAATAAACCTAATAGGTAGTTTTCATATGAAACATTTTTTAAAAATCAAATATATGTTTCAATGGGCACTACTGTTTACAAGCAACATTAAAGAGGACAAAACAACACTTATTTAATAGGGACAAATACACCACAAGGTACAGGATCAGTGCAATAAATTCACAAAACTATATTACAGCTAGTTAATCAGTTTAAGAATTGTTCCCAAGTCAGTCACATTTTTGGCCCTCAGAAGTGCATTCCTACAGATTTCAACTACTCTAAACTTTTAGCTACAAAGAGGTTAAGAATGATTATAAGAGGCTTTCCAAGGAGTTACAAAATCTTTGTAGACCAGACTCAACTATTATCACTGCAAGCCTGCTCTCACCAACAGCTCTTGCATTTTTCAGGAAGAAATCTCCAGGAAAAGAGTCACACACCAGTGTAGTCACTATCTCCTATGCCAAACCTAGGGAACTGAAATGGATGATATTACCCCAAAATGAGAATTCTGAGGTTTATCTTTAAAGGCTTATTCCAATCTCAAAGATTAGTCAGAGAAGATTATCTTCTACTGAAATAAATCTTGGCTAAATATAGAAAACTTCTGTACTTTACTGCTGTTCTTCGAGTAAAAGTCATAGACATGAGTCTTAACCTACTGTATACTATAGCTAAAGTCAGCTGAAAATCTGAAATTAAAAGTATGCTAAAATTCCTGAATCTTTTGGAAGTCTGCTACTAAAAAGCCTTTAAGGATTTACTAACGTCAACTCTAAGTAAAGGCGACAAAAGGTCTAAGCCTGTCAGACATTACTCACTTGAAAAAAAAGATCAAAGTTTCCTACAAATTGCTAAGTTTTACACAAGGGAGAAACCTACACCTACTAGGGAATCTAACAAAAGAAACATCAGAATTTACAGATGATTTTATGGAGATGAGTGCTTCTGAACCAGTGCCACATGATGAGGGAGAAGATGTAGTAGAAACAGCAGTGCCAGAAAAAAAAAAATTAACATTGGACAATCTGGCAGAAATGTTTCCATTATTCCAGACTTCTTTCAGGACATGGACCTTTCTATGATACAGGGCACTGAATTTAAAGTGAACACAGAAGGATTGGTACTTTATAGAAACATTTTTAAAGAAATGAAAAAGCAAAAAAGTCAGACAGAAATTACAATGTATTTCCATAAGGTTATACCTAGTGCTCCTGCCTTTCCTGCCTCCTCTGCCTCTGCCACCCCGAGACCGCAAGACCAACCTCTCCTCTTTCTCTTCCTCAGCCTACTCAATGTGAAAATGATGAGGATGAAGATCTTTATGATGATCCACTTCCATTAATGAATAGTAAATACATTTTATCTTTCTTTTAATTTTCCAAATAATATTCTTTTCTCTAGCTTATTCACAGAATATAGTATATAACACATATAACATACAAAATATGGATTAATCAGCCTGTTTTTATGTTATTGGTAAGGCTTCTAGTCAACAGTAGACTATAAGCAGTTAAGTTTTGGGGGAGTCAAAAGTTGTGACTTTTTGATTGCGCAGGGGGTCAATGCCCCTAATATCCGCATTGTTCAAGGGTCAATTGTACAGAGGTCAAATAAGCACATAAAAAGGTGCTGTATATCATATGTTCTCAGGGAAATACAAATTAAAACAAGGAGATACCACTACACATCTATCAAACTAGCCAAAATCCAGAAAATGGCAAATGCTGGCAAGGATGTGGTGCAACAGGAACTCTCACTCATGGCTGGTGGGAATGCAAAGTGGTGCAGCCACCTTGAAAGACAGTGTGGTGGTTTCTTACAAAACTGAACACACTCTTAACATATAATCCAGCAATTGTGCTCCAAGGTATTTATCCAAGGGAGCTGAAAATGTTTGGGCACACAAAAACCCACATATGTATGTTGATAGCAGCTTTATTCATAATTGTCAAAACTTGGAAGCAACCAAGATGCCCTTCAGTAAGTGAATGGATAAACTGCGGTATACCCAGACAACAAAGAATTATTCAGCGCTAAAAAGAAATGAGGTATCAAGCCATGAAAAAAACATGGAGGAACCTTAAATGCATATTACTAAGTGAAAGAAGCCAATGTGAAAAGCCTACATGTATGATTGATACCTCAGGCTGTATGATTCCAACTATATCATATTCTGGAAAAGGCAAAGCTATGGAGACAGTAAAAAGATCAGGGTTGGGGGAGGGTGGGATGAATAGGCAGAGAAGAGCGAATTTTTAGTGCAGTAAAACTATTCTGTATAATACTATATTGGTGGATACATGTCATTGTATTAACACATTTGTCAAAATCCATAGAAATACAACACCAAGAGTGAACCCTAATGTAAATTACAGACTTTGGTTAATGATGATGTATCAATGTAGGTTCATCAATTGTAACAAATGTACGACTTTGGTGCAGGATGTTGATAGATGGGAAGCTGTGCGTGTGTGGCAGAAGGGACTATACGGAAGTCCTCTGTACTTTGTGCTCAATTTTGCTGTGAACCCAAAACTGCTCTAAAAAAATTAAGTCTATTTAAAAGATGTGTATTGAAAAGTATAATAAACAAAATCACAAGTTTTATGACTTAGCTTTACACTATTTGAACCCTTATTTTTAAAACTGTAAACTCCTTTCCTTTGCTTTCTTAAGTATGCAAGTCCAACAGTGGATAAATCCTTCTCAAGGCTTTCTGCAGTACCTAAGACTCAGAGTGCTTATAAAAATAACAGTCAATATAGAGGAAAACAAGGTATCATTGTGAGATTTTGACCAGTCAAATTTAAACTTAAAGATCCATCACATACAATACATTTTAACTTTTCTGATAAATATAAATTATGTTAACCTTGAGGCTGAAGAACAGAAATGAGTCAACAATCTATTTCTAATATGAACAAAGATGACCCAAAAAACCCCACACCTCAATTATTACAATTTTGTCCATATGAAATGCAAGCTACTTACATACACACAAAAACTTAAAATACATTAACTCCAAAAAACATACTGCTACTTTATAAAATCATTTTTTCAAGTAAAGTTCCAAGACTGTTTATCCATATATAAATTATCTTCCTAATAAGAACCTGCTTTTATTTTACATATACCCCAAATGATTTTGATATAGCATCCTGAAAAACACCAGAGAGCTGAATTCTGTCCTGTCATTCAGTTGCATACCAAGTTAAGATAATGACTAAAAGCCTGGACTCTAAACAGGTAGAGTAGCTTTGAATCATAACCCTACTACTTTCTAGTTGTGTGATCTCGGGCACGTGACAGAGCCTGTCTGCAAATCTAACTTCCTCATTTGTGAAATGAGGATAACTCAAAAATCTTATTTGGTGGATAAAATGAGATAGTACAAATCTTAACAAATAGTACACAAAATGCTAGTTATTGTTTATCATTAAATAAATGCTTTTTTGGCCGGGCATGATGGTTCACATCTGTAATCCTGGCACTTTGGGAGGCCAAGGAGGGCGGATCACGAGGTCAAGAGATCAAGACTATCCTGGCCAACATGGTGAAACCCTGTCTCTACTAAAAATACAAAAATTAGCTGGGTGTGGTAGCGTGCACCTGTAGTCCCAGCTACTCGGGAGGCTGAGGCAGGAGAATTGCTACGCCAGGAGGCGTAGGTTGCAGTGAGCTGAGATCGCGCCACTGCACTCCAGCCTGGTGACAGAGCAAGACTCTGTCTCAAAAAAAGAAAAAAAATGCTTTTTTGATTAGACGTTGCTTTATGTAACACATCACTGTTCATCACAGATGAGTAAATGAGACTTGATACTCATGTTTTTAAAAATGACAGACATAAAAAATTTGCAATCCTAGTAACAGTTTAGTATATTTAAAAGAAAAAGATTTTTAAAGCGCAGTTGGTTAAAAAGCATAATAAGCCACTTACTGATGTCCATCCTCTGCTCAACAGGTAAAGGACTGACTCGGCTGACAAGTTTTGAAAGACATGTTGCTGCAAGGAGCTGAGCATAGGATGTCTGTAAAGAATAATTTTATTTATTATTATCATAAATGAAATTAAAATAAAGCATTGTGATAGAGATGTTCTTCTAAGCAATAACAGAAATTCTTCCGGTTTTCCAAACTGGCAAATTTACAATAGATAAAATATGTCAACTTGAGATACATACATACAGAAAAGGATACACATACACAGGCATACAATCTCTTAAAAGAAATCATTAGTTGAGGGAGATGTAGACAGCCATCTCAAATAACAATAAGCAAAGAGGAGAAATAAAGCAAGTTCAAATAAAATACAGTACTTTTACCATGGTCTACAGCCCTACATCATCTGGCCTCTGATTATCTCTTCAAATTCATCTGATTCCATTCTTGACTTTGCTCTGACCATGACAGCCTTTAGGTTCCTTTCCAAATCTTCCCCACCCTGACCTCCGTGTTCCTTGAAACCCATGTCTGACTATATTCTCTCTGGCCCCCAATTATCTTAATACTATACTCAAACTGTCTAAACGCATGCTCACCCTTGAAAATTTGGTTCATGTATTCACTCCACCTCCTAGAAATTCTTGCAAAGATACTCCCTCTTTTTTTCTCTAGACCAGAGGCTGGCAAACTATGGCCCTTGACCAAATCCTGCCTGTTTTTACATGGGTTGTGACCTAAGAATGTTTTTTGCAATTTTAAACAGCTTTTCAGCTGTTCAAAAAAATCAAAACAATATTTTGTGACAGAAAAATATATGAAATCTGTATTTTGGTGTCCATAAAGTTTATTAAAACACAGCCATGCTCATTCATTTACACACTGCCTATGGCTGCTTTCATGCCACGATGGCAGAATTGAATAGCTAAAACAGAGACCACATGTGGCGCTCAGTGCTTCCTACTGCTGCTCAGCGTATCATAAACCACAGTGAGGTAGCTACAACTCTACAGTGCCTAGAGAGCCATGGGTGTTGTCATGACATGACACATACCTTTTATTATTACCAGCACATGTCTATCATATCGAAATAAGAAAAGATAAAAATGGACTTCAAATATCTAATTTTTAAGGCACAATGGAGTATGGACTATTCTTTCATTGATTACATAGCAAAACAATGTGCTTTTTATGTAATGGTACTATGGTTGTCCTAAAAGAATACAATACATGCTGACAATATCAGACCAAGCAATATCCCCAATATTCCCATCACAATATTCCCAACTCAGGAAATCAAAAGTCAGAAAAAATAGAAAATTGGATATCTCATCATAGTAGACTGTCTTTACAAATATAAAAAATGAGACTGCAACCAAAGTTTCCAAGTGGCTCATTTGTTAGCCAATCACACAGCCATTTACCGATGATGAGTTAATTAAATCAACATTGTTTTATTACAGCAGCCAAAGTTATATGTGCAGAGAAAATAAGATTACTAGTTTCTGGTGGGAGCAAATTCTCAAAGAGCTGAAGACACTGGAACAACATCAAAAGTCAATTTGAAAACAAGACAAATGATTTGGAAAGGTTCTCCTTAAGTCTTGATGAGTGGACAGATGTTTCTTATAATGCTCATACCATTAATGTTACCAATACTTACTATCTGTTTATTCTAGAAGTCAATGCTGAGTGTGAAGCAACTAAAGAATTGGCCTCTATGAAGACTGTGGGAGAACTACAGGACAGAATATTTCCAAAGAAGTTGAGGACACATTAATTCAATATAAACTGAAGTAGAATCTGCTACGATATGTCACACTAGTGGTAAAACATATGGAGCGGAAAAGGGCTTAGCTGAACAAATTTACAAAGCTTGTGAAAAATGTAAGATGTTTAAAGTCTATGGTTATTCACCATATTATTCATCAGCAGATACTGTGTGGTAAATATATGAATCTATTGTAAGTTAATAAATCAGTAGTGTTAACAGTGGACTTCATTCACTTTTGTGAACTTTAGCTCTGTTAATTTCTGTAAGATAGAGAAGCAGTATCTGAATATTCTGTGTTGGAAACAATATCCTTACTTGTCTCCTCACACAATAGTTTAATAGCTTATCAGTGATAAGTTTTTACTGCTATTTTTTTAGCTCAGGGATAAGGCTAAAATTTTTCTGAATGTCTCATTCAGAACAACCAAGTCACCATTGTTCAACACGAAATGGCTTTGGAACTTACTTTTTGTTGCAAAATTGATAATGTTCCTCAATAAATTCAACCAAAAATACAAAATTGCCTAAAAAGTGCTTAGAACCTATATGCAGAACTTATACTGCAGTAAAGCCATTTTGATAACATCATTTGAAATGCAAGTAATGTCAGGCAGCTTTATATACTTCCCACATTGTCAAAAGTTAAAACAAGTAGTGAGCTCTCTATTCAGAGATATATTTTCTGAGCTTCAACTACAGCTCCAGCTTCAGATCTTGATGCAAATGTAAAGGAAATTTCCATATTATAAAATCCATTTAACTGTGCAATTAAGAGCTCCCACTTAATCTTCAATTGGAAGTGGTCAATCTGCATATAATGACATGCTAAAAGGCAAATATCAACATTTAACAGAATTTTTTAAATGCCTTGTAAATGATGAATGTGCTTAATTATAATCATATGCTCATGGACTGATATTAGTATTTAGCAGTACCTATCTATGTGAAAAGATACTTTCAAATATAAAATATGTAAAATCTCATTATAGATCAGCATTAACATATGAACATCTGCAATCAATGATGATGATAGAAAACAACTCTGAACTCCAGTTATTAATAGAAAAATGTTATCCGCCCAAAAACAGTTCTATTCTCTTCATTAACAGACCTGTATTATTAAAAAGTCTGTATTAGATTATTATATTTTGAATCTCATCAATAAAACTTTGTAGAAATTTGTTTTTTCTCTTTCTATAGATGTTCTTACAAAATATCTTCCATTTTGTCTCCTGGCCCAGAAAGTCTACAATATTTGCTATCTGGCCCTTCACAGAAAAAGTTTGACAACTCTGCTCTAGACCACACAGTCTCTTACTGCAATCGTTTCATAGCTATTTAGGTATCTACCTCTCCAACTAAACAAACTGCTACTTTAATTCATGTACATAAATCAAGTAAGCAGTACAGCATCTGATTTGACATTTAAATATTTTACTAAATGAATATGAATGTCTAGACTATGAATATCTAGATGGGAGGCAGGCAAGAGGTAATCAGCATGCTTTCGAATCATCCTTTCATGTTTCTGAGGTAATTACAATCTGCCTCCCCTATCTAGATTTTTTTAAGTTGTTAGTCAACTTCCTAAAAATGTAAATTTGCCCACTAATATGAGACATAAAAAGAGACCAATAGTAATCAAGAAACTATCTCAATTCATTCCTATTTCATTTCCTGGCTCTTCCCTAAGTTTGCTTTCCAGGTTTTCCAATTCTTTTCCTGATTAACCCCTTTGACAGTGAAACTATAGTTTCACAAAAACAAAAAAACCATGTGGCAATATCTATCAGTTACCATTGCTAACACACGAGTTCATTAACAATGACATACATCTACTGATCTTTCATGGTTAATCATTGTTACCAAATACTTACTGTTCCTTGTTCTAATAAAAGTTGACACTTGCTGAGACATTCTGGACTGTCAATAAGTTCCAAGAGTGCTTTCTCAGCCTCTATTCTTTGTGTAAGATCAGTCCCTATGTAGAGATGAGTACATAACACTTCCAATTCAGCCAAACTCTTCAAAGAAAAAAAAATTAACATTTTACTTCAATGAAAAAAATGAGGTAAATATTTAACCACAAAAAACAAGGGATACAAATATCACATGTGTATTCATTAATTCAATACATGTTTATCGATATACAACTACTTACTAGGGGATACAGTTGCAAACAAAACAGGCCCATCTCCTACTCCCCAAATTATTTACTTACAAATTGATAGTTCTGCAATGGAAAAGTACAAGAAAGGGAGAACTTGTCTACAACAAGGATTTGGAAAGGTAGGCCTCAAGAAATAATATTTATGCTGAGACCTACAACAGTGAATCAGATTTTAAAAAGACTAGAAGGCAGTCCAGGCAAAGAAAGAACATTTACCAGGGTCCTTCAGTAGAGTGGAATTTAGTCATCTCAAAGCATTAAAGGTCAGTGCGGCTGATAAACACAGCAAGGAGATACCAGATGAGGTTAGGGAGATGGATGGGGGAAATGATCATGCACAAGTTGCAGATAACCAAATTTATATTCTTTCTCAAATTTTAAGAATTTAAGGCCGGGCATGGTGACTTATACCTATAATCCCAGCACTGTCAGAGGCCAAGGCGGAAGGATCGCTTGAGCCCAGGAGTTCAAGACCACCACAGGCAACATGGCAAAATCCCCTCTACAAATACAACAAAAGTAGCTGGGTATAGTAGGGTACACCTGTAGTCCCAGCTATTAGAGGGCTGAAGTGGGAGAATCGCTTGAGCCCTGGAGCTTGAGACTGCAGTGAGCCTTGATACTATCATTGTACTTCAGCGGGTGACAGAGCAAGACCCTGTCTCAAAAATATATATATATTATTTTTATTATATGTTGATTTCGGGCTTCTGAACCAACAACTCAAAGTGCTGCAGGATTTTCAGGAACTTTGACTTGATCCCATGGTATTTCTAGCAATGTAATAACCAGTTATGTTAAAGTCTCCTATTTTACAAGCATAAAGACTAAAGCATTCTGTTCATCATCCTATCTTGATGATATAAATCTAATCTCATGACGATCTGGGACACATGGAAACCATCTAAAAAAAGAATTAAAAAATGAGTTCAGCACTCCTCTCCAAAAAATTTTTTTGTTAAAGAGGTCTTCTGAAAACAAATTACCTCACTTTAAATTTGAATTAGAGAATCAGTCTCTGAAAGAAAAAATATTGGCACAGATTTCAATGTCAGGTAGGCATATGAAAACAATGGGATATTCCTTTTAAAAAAATGCAATTTTTTTGTCCTTTCTAGCCTGAATTTTATGTGGTAACCTTATAGCTACACTAGCCCACACATTCCCTCATGTGCATATACCTTCTCATTAAAGGAATACACAAGTAACACCAAAATGAGACCTACTCTAGCTTCCATTATTCCTTTTACTTCTCTCTTCCTCTCTCCTTCTTAGCGCTTTTATAGCATTTTCCATTTCCCTAACTACATCAGAGCCCAGCATCCCAGATTTGGAAATTTCCTGCTAGAGTAAACACAGAAGTCCAAAAATAAGATTTCAAATAGGCTGATTAAGATAAAGAACCTCAAATGAACTACATTTTAAACATCTCCCCCACCTAGATTAGCCCAAACAAACCCAGATTACTACTACATACTGTTCACAACAGGAAAATGCATACAATCTTTATAGTTCATGAATACGTAAAAATTATATTGTTTTATCCAGGTAAGAAATACAAAAATAGGGGGTCAAGATGGCCAACTAGAAGCAGTGGCGATCGGAGGCTCCCACTGAGAAGAACCAAAACAACATGCAAATCCCACACTGATAACCAAGGTATCCAGGTTCTGTCACCAGGACTGACTAGGCAGTTGGGGTAACCCACAGGGAGGAGGGAAGAGCAAGGTGGTACATTGGCCCACCTGAGAGCCACACAGGGCAGGGGAGCCCCTACTCCCAGCCAAGTGAAGCGGTTGGTGCCCCTCGAGGACAGAGATCCCAGAGAAAGGAACAGGCACCTGTCTCTGCCGTTCTCCAGCCTCCTCAGGTGACATCTCCAGGTGCAGGAGTGACCCAGACTAACAAGGCCTGAAGTGAACTCTCAGCAAACCACAGCAGCCCCACAGAAGAGGGACCTGACTATTGAAAGAAAAACAAACAGAAAGCAACAACAGCAGCATCAACAAAAAGAGTCCCCACAAAAACCTCATCCAAGGGTGAGCAGCCTCAAAGATCGAAACTAGACAAACTCATGAAGATGAGAAAGAATCAATGAAAGAATGCTGAAAACCCAAAAGGCCAGAGTGCTTCTTCTCCAAATGATAGCAACACCTCTCCAGGAAGGGCAGAGAATTGGACAGAGGATGAGATGGACAAACTGACAGAAGTAGGCTTCAGAAGCTCAGAACCATAATAAAAGGCTACAGGAGCGCTAACTAGAATAACCAGTTGAGAGAGGAACATAAATAACCCGATGGAGCTGAAAAACACAGCACGAGAACTTTGTGAAGCATACACAAGTATCAATAGCCAAATCAATCCAGCAGAAGAAAAAGTATCAGAGCTTGAAGACTACCTTGCTGAAATAAGGCAGGAGAGAAAAAAGAATGAGAAGAAATGAACAAACCTCTGAGAACTATGGGACTACGTAAAAAGACCAAACCTATGACTGATTGAAGTACCTGAAAGAGACAAAGAGAGTGGAACCAAGTTGGAAAACACACTTCAGGATATCATCCAGGAAAACTTCCCCAACCTAGCAAGACAGGCCAACATTCAAATTCAGGAAATACAGAGAACCTCAGTAAGACGATCAACCCCAAGACACATAATCATTAGATCCTCCAATGTCAAAATGAAGGAAAAAACATAAAGAGCAGCAGGAGGGAAAGGCCAGGTCACCTACAAAGGGAAGCCCATCAGACTAACAACAGATCTCTCTGCAGAAACCCTACAAGCCAGAAGAGAGTGGGGGCCAATATTCAACATTCTTAAAGTCAAGAATTTTCAACCCAGAATGTCATATCTGGCCAAACTAAGCTTCGTAAGAGAAGGAGAAATAAAATCCATTTCAGACAAGCAAATGCTGAGGGAATTTGTCACCACCAGGCCTGCCTTCCAAGAGCTCCTGAAGGAAGCACTAAATATGGAAAGGAAAAACTGGTACCAGCCACTGCAAAAACACACCAAAATACAAAGACCAAGGACACCATGAAGAAGCTGCATCAACTAACGGGCAAAATAACCAGCTAGCATCATGATGACAGGATCAAATTCACACATAACAATATTAACTTTAAATGTAAATGGGCTAAATGCCCCAATAAAAAGACACAGACTGGCAAACTGGACAAAGAGTCAAGTCCCATCAGTGTACTGTATTCAAGAGACCCATCTCACATGCAAAGACATACATAGGCTCAAAATAAAGGGATGTAGGAAAATTTACCAAGCAAATGGAAAGCAAAAAAAAAAGCAGGGGTTAAAATCCTAGTTTCTGACAAAACAGACTTTAAACCAACAAAGATCAAAAAAGACAAAGAAGGGCATTACATAATGATAAAGGGAACAATTCAACATAATGAGCTATCCTAAATATATATGCAACCGATGCAGGAGCATCCAGATTCATAAAATGAGTTCCGAGAGACCTACAAAGGGACTTAGACTCCCACACAATAATAGTGGGAAAATTTAACACCCCACTGTCAAAATTAGGTAGATCAACAAGACAGAAAATTAACAAAGATATTCAGGACTTGAATTCAGCTCTGGATCAAGGGGACCTGATAGATATCTACAGAACTCTCCACCCCAAAACAGAATATACATTCTTCTAGTGCCACATGGTACTTACTCTAAAATCAGACACATAACTGGAAGTAAAGCACTCCTCAGCAAATACAAAAGAACTGAAATCATAACAGTCTCACTGACCACAGTGCAAAGTAGAACTCAAGATTAAGAAACTCACTCAAAACCACACAACTACACAGAAATTAACCTTGCTCCCGAATGACTCCTGGGTAAATAATGAAATTAACGCAGAAATCAAGAAATTCTATGAAACCAATGAGAACAAAGAGCCAACATACCAGAATCTCTGAGATGTACCTATAGCAGCATTAAGAGGGAAATTTATAGCACTAAATGCCCACTTCAGAAAGTTAGAAAGATCTCAAATCAACACCCTAACATCACAACTAAATGTACTAGAGAAGCAAGAGCAAAGAAATCCAAAAGCTAGCACAAGACAAGAAATAACTAAGATCAGAACAGAACTGAAGGAGATAGAGACACGAAAAATCCTTCAAAAAAAGTCAATAAATCCAGGAGCTGGTTTTTATAAGAACTTAATAAAATAGATAGACTGCTAGCTAGACTAATAAAGGAGAAAAGAGAGAAGAATCAAATAGACACAATAAAAATGATAAAGGATTATCACTACTGACCCCACAGAAATACAAACTACCATCAGAGAATACTATAAACACTTTTATGCAAATAAACTAGAAAATCTAGAAGAAATGGAAAAATTCCTGGACATATACACCCTCACAACACTAAACCAGGAAGAAGTAGAATCCTTGATTAGACCAATAGTTCTAAAATTAAAGCAGTAAAAAAATAGCCTACCAACCAAAAAAGTCCAAGATCAGACAGATTCACAGTCGAATTCTACCAGAGGTACAAAGAGGAGCTGATACCATTCTTTCTGAAACTATTCCAAACAACTGAAAAGGAGGGACTCCTCCCTAACTCATTTTATGAGGCCAGCATCAACCTGATACCAAAAGTTGGCAAAGACACAACAAGAAAAGAAAACTGCAGGCCAGTATCCCTGATGAACATCGATGTGAAAATCCTCAATAAAATACTGGCAAACCAAATCCAGCAGCACATCAAAAAGCTTATCCAAGCCCAGTGCCATGGCTCACGCCTGTAATCCCAGCCCTTAGAGAGGCCAAGGTGGGTGGATCACCTGAGGTCAATAGTTCAAGACCAGTCTGGCCAACGTGGCAAAACCCCATCTCTACTAAAATACAAAAATCAGCCGGGCACGGTTTCACGTGCCTGTAGTCTCAGCTACTTGGGAAGCTAAGGCAGAAGAATCTCATGAACCCTGGAGGTGGAGGTTGCAGCGAGCCAAGATTGCACCACTGCACTCCAGTCTGGGTGACAGAGTAAGACTCCGTCTTAAAAAAAGAAAAAAAGAAAAAAAAAGCTTATCTACTACAATCAAGTCGACTTCATCCCTGGGATGCAAAGCTGGTTCAACATATGCAAATCAGTAAACATAATCCATCACATAAACAGAGCCAATGACAAAAATCACATGATTATCTCAATAGAATGATGCAGAAAAATAGAATGATGCAGAAAATGCCTTCAAGAAAATTCAACAACCCTGCATGTTAAAAATTCTTAATAAACTAGGTATTGATGGAATATATCTTAAAATAATAAGAGCTATTTATGACAAACCCACAGCCAATGTCATACTGAATAGGCAAAAGCTAGAAGCATTCCCTTTGAAAACTGGCACAAGACAAGGATACCCTCTCTCACCACTCTTATTCAACACAGTATGGGAAGTTCTGGCCAGGGCAATCTGGCAAAAGAAAGAAATAAAGGGTATTCAAATAGGAAGAGACGAAGTCAAATCATCTCTGCAGACAACATGATCCTACAATCTAGAAAACTCCATCATCTCAGCCCAAAAACTCCTTAAGCTGATAAGCAATTTCAGCCAAGTCTCACAATACAAAATCAACGGGCAAAATCACAAGCATTCCTATACACCAACAATAGACAAGCAGACAGCCAAATCATGAATGAACTCCCATTCACAATTGCTACAAAGAAAATAAAATACTGAGGAATACAGCAAGGGATGTGAGGGACTTCTTCAAGAAGAAGTATAAACCACTGCTCGAGGAAATGAGAGGACACAAAAAAATGGAAAAACATTCCATCCTCATGGATAAGGAGAATCAATATTGTTAAAATGGATATACTGCCCAAAGTAATTTATAGATTCAATGCTATTCCCATCAAACTACCATTGACATTCTTCACAGAATTAGAAAAAACTACCTTAAAATTCATATGGAACCAAAAAAGAGCCCACATAGCCAAGACAATCCTAAGCAAAAAGAACAAAGCTGGAGGCATCACACTACCTGACTTCAGACTATACTGCAAGGCTACAGTAACTAAAACAGTATGGTACTGGTACCAAAACAAACACATAGACCAATAGAACAGAATAGAGACCTCAGAAATAAGACCACACATCTACAACCATCTGATCTTCGACAAACCTGACAAAAACAAGCAATGGGGAGAGAATTCCCTATTTAATAGATGGTGCTGGGAAAACTGGTTAGCTATATGCAGAAAACTGTAACTGGGCCCCTTTCTTACATTTTATACAAAAATTAACTCAAGATGGATTAAAGACTTAATCAAAACCCAAAGCCATAAAAGCTCTAGAAGAAAATCTAGACAATATCATTCAGAACATAGGCATGGGCAAAGATTTTATGGCGAAATTGCCAAAAGCAGTTGCAACAAAAGCCAAAATTGACAAATGGGATCTAATTAAAGAGCTTCTACATAGCAAAATAAACTATCATCAGAGGGAACAGGCAATCTACAGAATGGGAGAACATTTTTGCAATCAACCCATGTGACAAAGGTCTAATATCCAGAATTTACATAGAACCTTAAACAAATTTAAAGAAAAAAACAACCCCATCAAAAAGTGGGCAAATGTAGTGGCCAGGTGTGGTGGCTCACACCTGTAATCCCAGAACTTTGGGAGGCAGAGGCAGGCGGATCATGAGGTCAGGAGTTCGAGACCATCCTGGCCAACATAGTGAAACCCTGTCTCTACTAAAAATACAAAAATTAGCTGGGCATGGTGGCAGGCGCCTGTAATCCCAGCTACTCAGGAGGCTGAGGCAGGAGAATCGCTTGAACCAGGGAGGCAGAGGTTGCAATGAGCCAAGATTGTGCCATTGCACTCCAGTCTAGACAACAGTGCAAGACTCCATCTCATAAGAAAAAAAAGTGGGCAAAGGACATGAACAGACACTTCTCAAAAGAAGACATTTATGTGGCCAAGAAACACATGAAAAAAAGTTCAGCATCACTGATCATTAGAAAAATGCAAATCAAAACCACAACCAGATACCATTTCACACCAGTCAGAATGGTGATTATTAAAAAGTCAAGAATCAACAGATGCTGGCCAAGCTGTGGAGAAATAGAAATGCTTTTATACTGTTGGTGGGAATGTAAATTAGTTCAACCATTGTGGAAGACAGTGTGGTGATTCCTCAAGGACCTAGAACCAGAAATATCATTTGACAAAGCAATCTCATTACTGGGTATATACTCAAAGGAATATAAATCATTCTATTATAAAGATACATGCACATGTATGTTTACTGCAGCACTATTCACAATAGCAAAGACATGAAAACAACCCAAATGCCCATTGATGGTAGACTGGATAAAGAAAATGTGGTACATATAAGCCATGGAATACTATGCAGCCATTAAAAAGGAATGAGATCATGTCCTTTGCTGGGACATGGATGAAGCTGGAAGCCATTATCCTCAGCAAGCTAATGCAGGAACAGAAAACCAAACACCAAATGTTCTCACCCATAAGTGGAAGCCAAACAATGAAGACACATGGACACAGGGAGGGGAACAACACATACAGGGGGCCTGTTGTGGGGGTGAGGGGAGGGAGAGAGAGCATGAGGACAAATAGCTAATGCCTGCAGAGCTTAATACCTAGGTGACGGGTCAACAGGTGCGGCAAACCACCACGGCACATGTATACCTATGTAACAAACCTGCACGTTCTGCACGTGTATCTCAGAACTTAAAGTAAAATTAAATATGTATTTATATATGAAAATAAAAAGGGGTCCCTTTTTCCCTCTCATGATCAACCTAAGAAGTCTTTTCCTTCATCTAATAAATTTGGAGGACTGAATTTTAGAACTGATAATACTCGGTATAATTAATAAACTGATCCTGCTGGCATGCATTCATCTAGGCCTAAGATTCTTTGAAGTAGACTTTGACTGCAAAAAGAATTAGGCCAAGAAATAGTAATAGACCTGTTTAACAAAAGGCAGCAAAAATGAGACTAGTAACAGTGCCAATCTCATAGGTTTGGAGGATTAAGAGTTAGTGTCATGTAACTTCTGGTACACAGTTGTTTTTAACATTACCTAATAATATTGTAATGATTTTAATTATATCCCCTTAAAATATATGTCCATCTCCCAACTCCAGTACCTATAAATGTGACCTTATTTGGAAATAGGGTCTTCACAAATCCTTAATTAAGAATCTTGGTATGAGATCATGCTGGATTTACAGTGCGCCCTAAATCCACTGACTGGTATTCCTATAAGAGAAAGGAGGGAGATTTGAGATGCAGAGACATAGCAGGGAAGACCATATGAAGATGTAGGCAGAGACTAGAGTGATGTTTCTGCAAGCCAAGAAACAACGAAGATTGCCAGCAGCCATCAGAAGCAGCTGGGCGAAAGGCATGAAATGGTTTCTCCTTCAGGGCCTCCAGAAGGGACCAAACCAGTGTATGTTTCAGATTTCTGGCCACCAGATCTATGAAAATATATTGGTATTAAGGCACGGTGGCACATGCCTGTAATCCCAGCTACTCAGTAGGCTGAGGCAGTAGGCTTGAGCCCAGGAGTTCAAGGCCAGCCTGGGAAACATAGCGAGACTCCCAACTCAAAAAAAAAAAAAAAAAAGTGTTGTGAGCCCTAGAAAAGTAATATGAATAGTAATCAATTTAATGGCACCTAAATAAACCTATTTGGAAAGATTATGGAAAAGTCTGGAAATTATTTGTCTGTTTTGTTTTACTGATATAAAGAACCTCAAGACAGAACAGACCTGGGGTATATTTACATAGTATTTAAATCAACAATGTTACCAATCACTCTTTTTTTCCAAAGATATTTCAAATTATTAACAAATGAAAAAGGCCATCCAAGATAAAAAGGGAAAGGTTTGAATTTTCTTTTACAAAAGACTCAAAGGGAAAATCAAGTTATTCTTTCACTGTAAAGGTAACAAACTTATACCTGGTATACTAAAAACCTTTTTAGAGAAAGGGATACACACACAAAGACCCTTCCCCTGGTAGAAAGGTATTATCTAGACGTATAAAGCAATTAAGCCCACAATATGGTGGTTACTAACCAATCAAGCAATCTTCTGTTTAGCACTTCATTTTCTAAGGAAACTTTATTTTTTATAGTAAACTGATAAATTTTCATCTTAGTTTTATGCATTGATATCTGAGAATATGATTAATATGAGAATGGTCTCAGAAAAATGGATCCCTTCTCAATTTGTTGACAAATCAGGTTTGAGTTCTTAAAGCTTCTACAAGTCTTAATGATAACATTAGAAGCCCATATAAATAACTAAGAGGTAAAACAAAGAGAAGTGGACATCATTCACCTCCCACAGAGTAACTATCAAATACAAACAGACAGGCCAGGCATGGCGGCTCACACCTGTAATCTCAGCACTTTGAGGGGCCAAGGTGGGTGAACTGTTTGAGCTCAGGAGTTTGAGACCAGCCTGGCCAATGTGGCAAAATGCCATCTCTTCAAAAAATACAACAACAACAACAACAACAACAACAAAATCAGCCAGGTGTGGTAGCACATGCCTGTAGTCCCAGCTACTTGGGAGGCTGAGGTGGGAGGATTTCTTAAGCCCAGGAGGCAGAGGTTGCAGCTAGCCAAGATCCCACCACTGCACTCCAGCCTGGGTGACAGAGCAAGACCCTGTCTAAAAAACCACACACACACACAAAAACAGACAGCATCCAACTTTCATACCCTAGGAGACAATGATGTAAACTTGACCATAGTCTAAATAAGGATCTTCCAAATTATTCTGGACTTATTTCTGGCCTTTGTACCTGACACAGAATTGGCCCCTAAATGATGAGTTATTTTTATATAGCAAGTAAAAAGTCACACATGTAACTATCAACAGGTGAATGCTGAGTAAAAGCCACACGTGTTGATAGTCATGCATGCAACTATCAACAGGTGAATGCTGGAGAGTGTATATTGTATGGTTCTTAACAGAAAGCAAATCAGTGATTTCCTGGCTGGGAGGGAAGACAGCAGAGGAGTGGGGGAAAAACAGAGATTACAAAGGGGCACAAGAGCACAAGGAAACTTTTGGGGGGATGGATATGTTCATTTTCTTGATTTTGGTGACAATTTCACAGATGTATACATATGGCAAAACCCATCCAATTGCACAGTTTACACACATTTTATTATCAATTGTACTTCAGTAAAGCTGAAAAAAGAGAATAAATGTTTTTGTTTCAGGAAATAAATGTTCCCTAATAGTAAAACATTAATAAGCCACAAAAATCCTCTTCAATTGAATTTAAAGATCTTTTCAATTACTTTCCTGTATCTTTCCTGCCTTCTGGAATTAAGCTTCTTGATTACAATAAACAGAAACTGCCTTCATTTTGAAGTTACTCATTTCCCACAAACTCTTTTTTTCTTCCTCTTACTACCTTTTCCTGAGTATCCCTGAAGGCTTTTATCTGGATCTCTTGGAATTCTTCCTTCTTAAAATAAAATAGATAATATTTATTTTAGTGCTTTATAGTTTACAAAAGTATTTCCACCTTTTTTTCAAACCAATCCTGAAAAATAGGCTCTTGTGAAGTATGTATTTTCAGTATATTTATTCTACAGATTTAAAAAACTAAAGCTGAGATCAAATATACATAAATTCCTCAAGATTAATGATAAATAATCAAATTCTGAGTCAAATACAAGTCTACAGACCCCAAATACATGTTGTCTCCCCCAACCTGCCCAAATTGCCACTCTTTATTTCCATCATCATCGACCTGGAGATGATGTCCTAGTCTATACTTCAAGAGACAGGGTCTTGCCATGTTGCCCAGGCTGGTGTGCAATAGCTATGCAAGGGCATGGTCCCACTACAGATCAGCACTAGAGTTTTGACCAGCTCTGTCTCTGACCTGGGCCAGTTCATCGTTCCTTAAGCAACCTGGTGGTCCCCCATTCCCATATTGATGGGAGGTCAATATTACTGATGAACTTAGTGGAGACACTTGATCGGTGGAGCACACTACAATACAGCCCAGAACCCCTAAGCTCAAGTGATCCCCCTACCTCAGCCTCCTAAGTAGCTGGGACTACAGGCACACACCACCATGCCTGGCAGTCCATACTTTCAGCCCTGTCTGTTCACCATCTTTACATTTGTGTACAAATTTCTTTCTCTTGGAAATCTAGAAAGATATAAAAAAATCACCCAAAAATGTGACAAACAGAATTGAACATGCTTTCCACTTTAAGTGTCCCTTCTTTTTTTTTTTTGTTGAGATGGAGTCTCGCTCTGTTGCCCAGGCAAGAGTGCAGTGGTGCGATCTCGGCTCACTGCAAGCTCCGCCTCCCGGGTTAACGCCATTCTTCTGCCTCAGCTTCCCAATTAGCTGGGAATACAGGCACCCGCCACCACGCCCAGCTAATTTTGTGTATTTTTAGTAGACATGGGGTTTCACTGTGTTAGCCAGGATGGTCTCGATTTCGTGACCTCGTGACCCACCTGCCTCAGCCTCCCAAAAGTGCTGGGATTACAGGCGTGAGCCACCATGCCCGGCCTAAGTGTCCCTTCTTCTCAGTAGTTTCAGATTTCTAGACCAGAGTGTAGATTTACAAGCTCAATGTTATCTTTTGCTTCCCCCTCTCCTTAGTCTCCTTTGTACCTCCTGTATAGTAACAGATTTGGTCTTGCCATAAGAGACATCTGGCCTTTGCTTCTGAAAGGTAATGTATATCATACCTGATAGGAATGTTTTTATTTAGGGGAGGGGCTGGCCATACCCAATAGTGGTAGGCTGGGGGCTGGCCACACCAGAAACACCAATTACATGTTTAGGATCAGGACTTTGGGTCACAAGGTAATAGTCAACCTAGGACTGATTTCAAACACGTGGACAATCAATCAATCATACCTAAGAACTGAAGCCCCAGTAAAAACCCTGTATAATGAAGTCTAGGTGAGCTCACCCAGTTTGCAATAATTAGTGCATATTGCCATATATTGATGCAGGGAGCACAACATGTCCTGAGGCCAACAGAAGCTTAGTTTTGAAACCTGCACAGATGTTGCCCTGTGTCACCTTCCTTTGACCAATTTTAATCTGTATCCTGTCCCTGTAACAAACTGCAACTGAGTATGACAACTTTCGGTGAATTCTGTGAGTCAACTACTGAACCTGAGGGTGGTTTTGGGAAACCCCCAAACTTGCACTTGGTCTGAGAAGAAAGGGCAGTCTTGTGGACTCTGCCCTCTAATCTCAGTATGGCTAATTCCAGGGACATACCTAATTTGTCATAAAGTCCTCCCAATTATTCTTCTATAAAGACTCAACTCAACACCTCCCCCTGATATTCACAGACAGTAGATCAAGCAATATTTTCTAACTGTGGCTGCCAGGGCCAGGGATTTCTCAAGCTGCTCTGGGAATGCGAGTAGAGAGTAGTGGGGTCTTAGAAATGTCATGGTTCGATTTGAAAACCACTGGTCCAACAGAGTGGACACAACCTTTGGAATCTGCCACTCACTTATTAAGTGACCTCGGGCAAATAATTTAACCTTTCTAAGCCTTGCTGTTAAAACTGCAAACAGGGCCGGGCGCGGTGGCTCACTCCTGTAATCCTAGCACTTTGGGAGGCCGAAGTGGGCGGATCACCTGAGGTCAGGAATTCGAGGTCAGCCTGGCCAACATGGAGAAACCCTGTCTCTACTAAAAATACAAAAATTAGCAGGGCATGGTGGCTTGCAACTGTAATCCCAGCTACCCAGGAGGCTGAGGCAAGAGAATCACTGGAACCCGGGAGGCAGAGGCTGCAGTTAGCCGAGATTCCACCACTGCACTCCAGCCTGGGCGAGCAAGATTCTGTCTCAAAAAACAAACGACAACAACAACAACAACAAACCTGCAAACAGCAATATCTACCTTCCAAACTAATTGTAGAATGAAGATAGAAAAGATGGGGAAAGCCTAATCCAGTGCCTGCCATACAGAAGATCCACAATAAATCATAAATAATCTCTCCAGTTACTGGTGAATATAAAAGACCATACGGATCTTCCATAGTTTCTCCCATTCAAGTCCACACTGCCAGAATGGTCATTCCCACATACCTTTTCTCATGTTATAATTGCATTTAAAAATAATAGTTCTCAATCACATCTAGATCAAATCAGGTAGCTTGACTGGAGATTAAGAAGCATGGCTATATTTCCTGCTTCTTAAACAGTCCTGAGCAAAAAAGTTGGATCAACTGAGTCCCTTAAATTTTTCCTAACATTCTCTCGATTCTTACCAAGGTACCTCTGTTCTACCTAAAGTGCCTACCTCTTACTTCTTCTCAATTCTTTTTCCTCACTCTGCCCCCTTATCTGGATTGCCTGTCAGGGAATCCAGACCCATTAATTCCTTTGGGACAGGGTATCGTAATTCACAGCTTCCTAACCAGAATGCAACTGCTTTGAATGATTCACAGGTATGCCTGAGATATTGATCCCTCTGCCCTCCAAGCATTAGGAGCAGAGCTTGAGACATTGGGGAAAGTGCACACTGATGGCCTTTGGCAATGAGCGGTTTATGTTAATGAGACACACAATTAACATTTTTTATGTATGTCATGATGTGAAAAAGATGTTGACCACTACCCTAACCTCACCCTACACAAATCTGCTTCTTTACTCATCATCTTGATGGTATAATTTTTGCCTAGCTGCCCTTTTGGGTAGGTGACAGTAAGACAGAGGTAATGGGGAACACGGAACTTATGAGTTATGAGGCCTACTCTAACTCTGTAACGTTGGGCAAGTCACAACTGTTTTAAGACTCAGTGTCTTCAGAATGAAACGTATATATGCACACTTTTTAAGTTAGTGGCAGGGCTCACCTCTATAATGAGGATATGAAAACTCAAAATGCTAGGTACTGGTTATCACTATTAACAAATGTTCCTTGAGTTAACTGATTAACAATATGATCCTATATGCTAAAAAGAATTCAAACGGAGAAATTTCAGTTTTTTTCTAGTCAACAAAACTGTCTGATCTTTTATTTGTCCAACTCCGCTTTTAAGCTGTCTACAGGAATGTACTGTGAAGTACTTATGTTGGAATGTACTGTGAAGTACATTCCTGCAAAACCAATATGGGTAGTTTTGACATCAGCAGCTAACTTTTCCAACACTGTGCCTAAATATGAAGAAGTCTTCCAGGGCTTGGTGATTTAACTGTACATCACCTTTCCATGTATGAAAAAATTCCAAAGTTCCACCATACCTTTTAATTTACTCTCAAGATTTACTCGGGCTCTGTGAACATCTGATTACCTATTTACAATCCATAAATCCTCCTTGTAAGATTCTTCCTGTGAAAATTTCCCAGAGGGCATATTTACTAAAGTGGTAATACATTATTTTGACCTGAGGACCCTTAGAAATGGCATGAAGTCAAAAGGTAATGTGTCGGGCTTACTACATAACATTCTAGAACTGTCGATTATCAGACAGTAACTGGTTTTAAAAAAAAGACCCTTTAGAAGAATCAATAAATCAGCCAAGTTATAAATCAGTGTGATCACAGGGGGTTCAAAAGAGTCTACAAGGGGAATGAGATTCTTAGATACACTGTCACCATATTATGAAATTCCCTTCCCTCCCTGGGGTCATCTCCTGCCACCCACTGCCTCCCCTGATCCCATCCCTTTGTCCCAACCAGACTCAACTTTCTGCAGTACACCATGTTCTTCCACAATTCTTTGCCTTGGCTCACACGTCCTTCTACCTCCATATCCTTCCCTTCCTCTTCACCTGGCAAACAACTACGACTCTTTCAAGGACCAGTAGACTGCAAGTTCCCTGAGAGTAGAAACCATAGTTTTGTTCAGAGCTGTTGTATCTTCAGCGCCTAGCATAGTAGGCGCTCAATAATTAATAAATGGAAGAATGGAGGCTCAAAGAATCTTAAAGCATCTCTCAGCTAAGAGCATAGCAGCTCTGCTTCACTCCTTCTCAACATACACATTTGGCTGGCTACCCCCTTTTCTGTGCTATGATACTGTGACTATTTCTACCATACATTTTTCACTTGTACTGTAATTCTCTGTTAACTGTATGAGGGCGAGGATAGTAAGATGTCATCCTTTATCCCCAGAACTTTCCACAATGCTTGAGACACAGTGGGGAGATAATAAATGTTTGCTGAATAACTGAACGGGGATGTCAGAGCAGCCCGAGGATATACAAGCACGCGTCCCATCTTCGTAGCCTCTGCGATCCTCGCGTCCGCGCCCGCGCCCGCGCCCGGCCCGGGTTTCCTCCTCCGAAGAGGCGGCCGCGTAGCCCTCCCTCGCAACTCCCCCCAGACGCAGCCCCTGTCTCCTCTGGCCAATTAAAGTCCAACCGCTGCCGCCGCTCCTTCGGTGGATCCCAAGCCCCCGCTCCGGCTGGGGCTCAACTGTGTGGAGGGAGGCTGACGATAGAGCCGCGCCGGCGACGCGGCGGGAAGGCGGGAAGGCTGCTCCACCGCTCGGCAGCCGCGCGAGGCGCGCCAAAGCCGGCCCAGCTGGGACTCCCACCTGCCCTGGCAACACTAAAGCCGCGGTCAGCGAGCGTGCTGCCGGCGTCCGCACCTTCCCCGGGACGAGCCCTGGGCCTGTCCCCCGCCCCCTCCACCCGCCGCCTCCAACCCAGGCTCGGCCGCCCCTTTCTCGGGCTCCGGCCCGGGCCTGGGGTGTGCAGCCCAGACCAGTGTCCCGGTCCCCGGCTAGGGGCAGAGGCAGGGGCTGGGACTCCGGGGACACCGGCCCACGGCCCTGCGGCCTCCGCCGCTGTCCTCGGCCCTCGGTCTCCAGACGCGTCCCGCCGGGTTCCCAGCGTGGCGGAGCGCGGGCCCGCGGCGCAGAGCACACTGACCTGGAAGTGCAGCGCCATCTTCCCAGGAGGCGGCGCCGGCCAGCCGGCCGGTCGGCACCCAGCGCCCGAGGGGAGGGAGCAGAGGCGGGCGCCGCGGAAGCCCCAGACGCCCGCGGGGTCCCTGCGCCGCTCGTCCTTCGCAGCCTCAGCCAGGCTTCGCGTCCGCATTCGAAGCGCTGGAGGGGCGGGGCTGGGAGGGACGGGGCGGGGCTGGGAGGGACGGGGCGGGGCGACGGAGGCGGTGCACGGGGCGGGGCCGATAGGGGCGTGTCCTCCGGGAATCTCAACCGTCCCTTGCGCTCAAGTTTCAACCGGCGTGTGTTGGTGGGTCATGACCTCCAACCTCTGCCCTTTGACACAACTACCACGACCCACCCGTCAGCCGTGGACCCTGACTCATAAGTCTTCCAAAGGCTCTCTTGACCCCTGACCCTCAAAATACAACTATCGCCCATGGCTCCCGACACCTGCATCTCCACAGATTTTCTTGTCTCCTAACAGCCAGGAACCACAGACACACACAGCCATAACCTTTGACTCCCACATGCCAGCTGTTGCCCTTGACCCCTGACTCCCAGGGCCCAAATTCCATTGTTGCTTAACAATGTTTTTAACTTGATTTTGGTTAAAATTAAACCGCCCATGTCTACATGCTGTTAAGTTGTAAAATTCAAGCTTTACCTCATTCTTTGTCTGCATTTTGTTTAATATGAACTTATATTTTACAACAAATGATTCCACTGCAATGAGAATTTATTGGAGCAGAATTGGGTCAAAGTTGCTGCTTTCTGATGTTCTCCGTTTTTTCTTCAAGTTCAGCATTTCCATTTGGGAGCACTGTGCTGTAGTATTTAAGAGGGAAACTCCCTTAAGCACTTCTTGTATTCAGGTCTGCTAACAACAAAGTCTCTCAGCTTTTGTTAACATAAAATCATCTTAATTCACCTTCATTTTTTAAAGGATAGTTTTGCTGGGTATAGAATTTCACATTGGCTTTTTTTTTAATCTTTCAGCATTTTAAAAATGTCTTCTCATTGTCTTCTGCTTGTCATTGTTTCTATTGAGAAATCAGCCATCAGTCTAATTGTTGCTCCTGTCTTTTGGCCCCCTCCTCAGGTACTTGAACATTTTTCTCTTTTTTTATTTTTTCTTTTTGTCTTCAGCACTTTGTGCTTGATGTCGCTAAGTGTGTGTGTGTGTGTGTGTTGTATTTATCCTGCTTGGGATTCATAAAGCTCTTTAAGTGTGAATGTAATCTTTTTTATCAAGTTTTGAAAAATCTTGGTCACTAGTTCTTTAAATATTGCATCTGTCCCCTTCTCTCTCTCTACCTCTCCATTCTGGAACTCCAGTTACATGTATGTTATAAGTTTTTGCTATATTCCTTATTTCTATTCTGTATTTTTTATTTGCCTGCTGTCCATTCCATAGAAACTCTGTTCTGCTGTGTCTGAGCTGCTATACATCCCCTCTATTGAATTCTTAGTTTTAGTTATAATATTTTCAGTTCTAGAATTTTCATTTAGAAAGTTGAAATTTTCATGGTTCCTCCTCCTCTCCCATTTTAAAAATAGATTCCAAGGCTTTGATGAAATTCTTTGTCTTTATTTTCTTAAACATTTTAACTGTATTATTTAAAGCCCTTATCTGTTAACTCCAATTTCTGAATCATCTGAGTCTTCCTGGGTTTTTGGTGCTTGGCCCTTGGCCCTTTTTTTTCTTTCTTTTTTTTTTTTTTTTTTTTTTTTTTTTTTTTACATATCTCATGATTTCTTGTTGAATTCAAACCATGTAGAAGAAAATTTGTAGAGGCTCTGGATGATAACAGGTTTCTCCAAGGAGGGCTAAGTTTTCTTGTGGTAGGCAGACAAGAGTACTAGTGGATCATTGAGTCTTTTTAATTCTGGTTAACTTCAGTTATGACCTTACTCCTAGGCCATGGTCCTTACTAGGTCTTACAACTAAAAGCCTAGAATGTGGCTGGGCATGATGGCTCATGACTATAATCCCAGCACGTTGGAAAGCCAGAGAGGGTGGATCGCTTGAATCCAGGAGTTTGAGACCAGCCTGGGCAACATGGTGAAAGCCCATCTCTACAAGAAATACAAAAAATTAGCTTGGTGTAGTAGCATGTGCCTGTAGTTCCAGCTACTCGGGAGGCTGAGGTGGGAAGACCCCTTGGGCCCAGAAGCTATAGGCTGCAGTGGGCCGTGATTGCACCACTGCACTCCAGGCCAGGCAACAGAGCAAGAATCTGTCTCAAAAAAACAAAAGCCTGGAATGTTTACCAAGATCCTTCCACCTTGTGGGGCTTGAACTCTAGTCTCTGTCTCTTCAGCCCTGTGTAGCTGCTGAAATCTTTGTTGAGCTCTTTAGGTGCTGTTGTTCTGCTGGATTTCTTAGAGTCTCTTCATGTGCATGTATATCTTAGGAACGGACACAAATTTGGGGACTCACATCTCTATAGTTTCTTTCTTTCTAGAATTTTGTCCTTCAAATCTCAGTTGCTCTTGTTCCGAAACTCCAGCCTTTGCTCCTAGCCTATTGAGACTGCTGCTTTCTATTTAGCTGTTATTCCTTGCTGCCACTTGGAAAATGCCTTGGGGTGATGACAGGGAGGAGCAGATGGGGAATCTAAGGTAAATTGGAATCTTACCCCTTGTGCTTTCCTTCTTTCAAGATTTGTGGCCACTTAAGTTCTGCCTTTTCTATTGCCTTTAGTTGTTAAAGATACTTATCTGTCGTGTGTGTGTGGGTGTGTGCATGCATGATTGCTGATAATTCATATTTACTCATAGTTTTATATATATTTAATATATGTGATAGAATTGTCATACACACACGTGTCCTATCTTTATAATAGTTTTCAGTGGGAGGTCTAATCCAACATAAGATACTTTATTATTATAAGCCTGTTTGCATCTTCCATGCTTCACCCTTGGTTTTCATAGCTCATCCACTGTCCATAAATCTGCATTTCCACAACTGAACTCCTTTAAACCTTAAAATCGTTAATACCCTCCCCCTGTGTCCCATTTTCACTCCTGTGTCCCAAAGTTCCTGATTCCCATAGTCGTAACTTCCATTTCCATGTCTCAATACTTTTGATATCCAATCTCAACTGTGATTCCCACAACCCAACATATCTGATGCCCACATCCCAAACACGCATCCTGATTTCTGACCTCTGTAAGATGTCTGCTGCACAATACCCCGTTATTTTAACTGCCTGCTGCTTTTGCCTAACTTCTAAAACCCAACCACCTTTTAAAGCTATTGTTTTAAAATGGCATTTTTATCACCTCAAATTTTAGGTCCTTGAGGGAGAAACAATTATTTGAGTTTTGAATCATTTAATTTTTTTCCCACTCCAGAATATTGTCACCAGAAATGTAGGGCTGTGAAAACAACAGAGGATGCCAAGTACTCTGTGGATTCACCAGGCAATTCTGGAAACAAGAAGACAACTTTTTTTCCTTTTTTTTTTTTTTTTTTTTTTTTTGAGACGGAGTCTCGCTCTGTCGCCCAGGCTGGAGTGCAGTGGCGGGATCTCGGCCCACTGCAAGCTCCGCCTCCCGGGTTCACGCCATTCTCCTGCCTCAGCCTCCCAAGTAGCTGGGACTACAGGCGCCCGCCACTACGCCCGGCTAATTTTTTGTATTTTTAGTAGAGACGGGGTTTCACCGTTTTAGCCGGGATGGTCTCGATCTCCTGACCTCGTGATCCGCCCGCCTCGGCCTCCCAAAGTGCTGGGATTACAGGCGTGAGCCACCGCGCCCGGCCTTTTTTTCCTTTTAAAATTTGAGTGGCTGCTTAAGATTTCTGTTTTCAATCAACACTTTCTTACGTGAGTGTCTATCAACAAAATATGCATACAACTCCATCTCTTTTATGTCAGTTAATAAAATTTAAGATAGAATTATGTCCCTACAACTATTAAAATTAGCACAGAAGATGCTCCAGGACGTCAAATAATTCATTTCTATCACAAAACTCAATTAAAGGAAGGACATTTAGAACCCATAGGAATTATAAAATTATCTTCCTTTATGGAAACTAGCCTTCTAAAAAAGACAGATGGATCTTTGATCTTTGTACTTTTCAGGAGATTCAATTGACATTTGTAATTCTCATACCTTAGGAAATTCATCTAACATCTCTGAGTTTTGATTTGTTATTTCTAAGATCAGGATGACAGTAAGTCTGTAATTCAAATAATTTTCTGAACAATAACATGAGATGAGGCAGGAGAGCACAGTGGTTAGGAAAACAGAGTCTAGATTTTGATGTCAGCTGTATTCCTTACTAGCTGGCAAACTTGAAGGCACTTCATCTCTATGCTTTCATTTCCCCATCTGAGAAATGGACATGTAATAATACTTATCTCATAGGTTGCTGTGGTGATTAAATGAGTTGATACATGTAAAGTACTTAGAAGGTGCTTGGTAAATAATGAGTGCTATATAAATAGTAATTATCAAGTACATTTATATCATCTGAATATAATGTTTAAAATTATATTTTGATAGCATAGGATTATAATTTTAATCAAACAGAGTAAGTTACTCTTTTTTTAATTTGTAAATTGATCAAACTGGATATTTCCTCATTGCCCTGCTCCGACCTCACCCAGCTTTTCTAGCCTGAAAAATTTTGAATGGTTGTGACATTACCTACATTACCTTTCTGGATGAAATGGAAAGGCTGTTAATGTTAATATTTTTGTAAATTGTGAGACTGAAACTGAAACTCTATCAGTACTTAAAAAGTAAAATCTATGATCAATCATTTACTTTAGTAGCACTTTTAAACAAAGTACAGGAAACAGTGTACAATTCCCTTAGCTTATTCTACAATTGCAATTTTGTTAAGTACATTTAGAAAGATTGCTTAATAACTCAGTAAGCTTTGGGAATCCAGCAGAGGGCAGGCAGGTGAGAGAAACAGGAGAAGAATGCATCCTCAAAATTCAAATTTACGTTAAATCCTCCCAAAACGCAACAGTTATATATTAATAAAATATTCACCTGTGTGTTTTCTTTCATGCTGGTTAATTTTTGTTTTGTCAATTCATTGACCTTAAACATAATTTATTTAAATATCCAGTGCCTAACCAGAGTACAATAACAAAAAATTCTTCTCCACTGTTGATATGAATTCAAGTTATTTCATAATCTTGATTATTACATATATACTAAAAATTATACACACTTTTCTTTAGATAGTTTTACATTTTTAACATACTGGCAATAGAAAAAGTATACTGCTCTGTATTAATAATGCCAGTGTTGGCTGGGCGCAGTGGCTCATGCCTGTAATCCTGAAACTTTGGGAGGCCGAGGGGGGTGGATCACGAGGTCAGGCATTCGAGACCATCCTGGCAAACATAGTGAAACCCCGTCTCTACTAAAAATACAAACAGAAATTAGCCAGGCATGGTGGCAGCACCTGTCATCCCAGCTACTCGGGAGGCTGAGGCAGGAGAATCGCTTGAATGTAGGAGGCTGAGGTACCTTACAATGGAAGGCCTTTTACAGTTGTGAACAGCCAGAGAGAGGCCAGAAGTACTAGTCACTGTCTACATATTTGCAAAGTTGAATATAAGTACTGGCAGCCTGGCTGGAAAACTACAACCCTTCTGTGTTTCAGTCAACAAACTCTTTTAGGTTCATTTGAGGAAGGAACATTCGTATCGGTTATAGAAACCTTTTTTTGTGCCCTTCTGGTAAGATCAAGAAAGTGCCGTCCTAAGAACTTGCAGAATGAGAGTCAGTGGCTGTGGTGGAGCCTTCTTTTCAAAAAATGCTATGTCCCAAGAGGACATTACTAATTGAAAACACATGGACACCAACAAGTCTGAGTTGAAGTAATTTGGAAGATTCAAATTCTATGTGCGAAGAAGTTTTAGGGATATCTTAAGCAGTTAATTTCACTTCTGTTTTTTTGTTATGTACGTACAAGAATGAATAAAGGTGGCCAGGCGCGGTGGCTCACACCTGTAATCCCAGCACTTTGGGAAGCCTAAGCGAGTGGATCACCTGAGATCAGGAGTTTGAGACCAGCCTGACCAATAAGGTGAAACCAAGTCTCTCCTGAAAATACAAACATGAGCCAGCTACTTGGGAGGCTAAAACAGGAGAATCGCTTGAACCTGGGAGGCGGAGGTTGCAGTAAGCCAAGATTGCCCCACTGCATTCCAGCCTGGGAGACACAGCTGAGACTCCATCTCAAAAAAGAAAAAAAAAAAAAGTATAAAGGTAAAATCCAGGTCTAAATAAGTCTAAAAGATCTCTTTCAGTAAGTACTCAGTAAGAATTCTAAGTTATGTTGCTACAGTTCAACTGTCAAGAGTTTTTCTTTCTTCATGGTGTATAAAATAATTAGGCTTATTACAATTGATATGTGCCTTAGATTGGAAGAAAATCAGTCAGTGGTAATTTTTATTTTCCTTGAAATGGCATCACTTAAATAGTTGCCACACGTAGACAATAATCTGCAAAAACATGCCAAGGTCGGCCAGGCGCGGTGGCTCGGGCCTGTAATCCCAGCAATTTGGGAGGCCGAGGCAGGCAGATCATGAGGTAAGAAGTTCGAGACCAGCCTGACCAACATGGTGAAACCCCGTCTCTACTAAAAATGCAAAAATTAGCCGGGCATGGAGGCATGCACCTGTAATCCCAGCTACTCGGGAGGCTGGGGCAGGAGAATCGCTTGAACCCAGGAGGCGGAGGTTGCAGTGAGCCGAGATTGTGCCACTGCACTCCAGCCTGGGTGACAGGACAAGACTCCGTCTCAAAAACAAAACAAAAAAAAACATGCCAAGGTCCCTAGGATTGGTTCCTTATTATGGCAGAATTCGTTTGGATAAAATAGATAACCTCTGAGAGACTGTCTCTACCTGGGATAACTAAAGTGGTGCCCATCATGTCTGCATCATTAGGAATATACTAGAATTGCTGTTTAATATAGGAAAAAATGAGGATATACTCTAGGCACATATTAGTAACATTCATCATTAATTAGCTAATGGGGTCTCACTGGGTGGTTGTCTGAGAAGTCAAAATATTGGCCTCAGGGGGCCAGGAGAATCTGTGCAAATATGGATGTATTAATATAATCAAATTTTAGAGTGTTCAAGGAGACCATGGCTGGCTAATGCGTTGGCCATGTGATTAAGAAGGGAATTCGTGACATGATAAAAACAACACGGAACCACTCTGTGGACTGATGTATAGCTGGCCACTCTGTCTAGTAATATTGAAACCTCCTCTGGAGGGATCCACTGACAAAGTGATGATAGAATCCATCTGGACAGTGGTTTTTATTTCTGTATGGTTTAACACAACCAGCATATTTGAGACTGGGGAAGAATGTATGGCATTTCCAAAGTCCCCGTTTGAAACCGGATCATTTGAACTTAGGCTAAAGCAGAGGCACTTCGCCAAGGGGTTACCATTGGCCTGACACCTCCAGCAAGGACCCAGCATTGGTCATTTGACATTTGCCTAGCACTGGACATTTCCTGTGCAGGACCTCTTGGACTACCTTACCTGCAAACAATCTGATATTGACTGTTTTACGAAAGAGATACCAGAATTTTGAAAATGGGCCAGGCGAAGGCATATCTTAAATGAGCTATCCTAGCCAAGATTTTCACCCCGCTGTTTCCACTGATCCACACCCCTCCCCACACACAATTTGGACTATCTGTTTAAAAACTGGGTGACTTATGCGATTTTATATCTGTCTCTGCTGCCATGTTGACTGTAGATGAACCTTAGTCATTTCACAAACTGGTTAATCTTCTGGTCACTTGCTGAGGATGGTCTGTGGGCAACATTTTACAAATATCCAATTGCAAATCATTTTATTGATTCTTAGAGTATTTAAAGATTGCTATGCTAAGCTATTTGTGAAATAGAGGATTAAACTCATTTAAAATGTTAATCTTCTTCAGTGAATGAATCATGCATTCAACCTGTTTTAGTTCTTCCATAATGCTCAACAGAAAGTTTACCATAGAAAAGTACTTACAGTATCACTGAATTATTCTTGTCAACTAAAGTGGTATGTGGTCATCAGGTGAGTAAGACAGGCTTTTAAATTGGGTGAATACTATTAAAAAACTAGATCCTATTTTGTCTGGAAAGAATAATTATATTTAACACTTTGATAGGAAACCTCGACTTTCTAAAAAAACTATCTTAAGTATATAAGTAAATATACATGATAATTTTATGTGAAATGTCTATACTTGTATAAATTTGTTTCCTTTCTTATAGTCAGCAGGTTCATATTCTCCCTCTTGTTCAATATAGTCTTGAAATCTTTTTTTTCCTTTTTTGTTTTTTTGTTTTTTTTGCTTTTTGAGATGGAGTCTCACTTTGCTGCCCAGGCTGGAGTGCAGTGACACAATCTCAGCTCACTGCAACCTCCACCTCACCAGTTCAAGCGATTCTCCTGCCTCAGCCTCCTGAGTAGCTGGGATTATAGACACCTGCCACCATGGCCAGCTAATTTTCTGTATTTTTAGTAAAGATGGAGTTTCACCACGTTGGCCAAGCTGGTCTTGAACTCCTGACCTTGGCCTCCCAAAGTGCTGGGGTTACAGGCATGAGCTACCACACCCAGCCTGTTCAGTATAGTCTTCATAATCTTTACTGTTCATTGTGACTCAGTTCCATGCAGGAATTTGATATGTGAATGAAGAGCCTATGCATCCAATAGATTAGAGGTGGCATAAGTGAAAGATACAATATACTTCATAATGTGCTGCACTTAGAGGTTTACTGTCAGGCCAACAGTTATGAAATGGTGCTACTCCACTCTTTCCTTACCCCTTGTTGTGAATTGAATGTTTGTGTTCCTCCAAAATTCATATGTTGAAGCCCTAACCCTCAAGTGGCTGTGTTTGGAGATAGGACTTCTGAGGAGGTGATAAGGGTTAAATAAAATGGGTCCTAATCCAGTACAGCTGGTGCCCTTATAAAATGAGGAAGAGATAGTAGAGCTCTCTCTTCCCACCATGTGAGGACACAGTGAGATGGTAGCCATCTGCAAGCGAGGAAGAGCACCCTCACCAGTAATCGAACACTGCTGGACCTTGATCTTGAATGTTCCAGCATCCAGAACTGTGAGAAAATAAATTTGTGTGGTTTAAGCCACACAGTCTGTGGTATTTTGTTATGGCAGCCCGAGCAGACTAAGGCACTCCTATTTGGCCTTTCCTCCCCCAGTACACACATCCCTATAAATGTACTGGTATTTATCAAGCCCCCCAAATTAAACTAGATCTGTGCCATGCTTGGATTACTTTATATTATTACTGGGTGTCTTAAAGCATTTGAGTTCAATATTCCCCAGACAAATCACATTGTTTACCTTTATTTAATATACAAAGAACCTAAGAGCAAAGAAATTTGTGTTCTTAAGTGGCCAAGTTTTACTCTGACTTTTCAGTTCTAGAATCTATGAAGACCATTTCAAATTATTCACAAACTATCTTGGTTAATTCTAAGTTGCCATTCAGTCTTGTATTAGAGTGGCAATATCAATTAGCTAATATTTGAATCTCTATTCTCTGTAAGTCATTCCACTATATATTTGGGCAACATAAAGTTTAAGACCATCTTTGCTTTTAAGAGGCTTCTAATGCAATGAAGAAAAAAAGCATAAACTGTTAGAGGCTCAATTTTGCATTCAGATATGAGGAAAATAATAACAAAAAAAGACATCACAAATTAAGTCACAATTATGTTGAATGAAAGGTCACAAATGAGGAGTATTAGTATTCCTGAATGGAAGCGTGAATATATGCTAAGGTAAATATTTCACAGTATTCTTAAAGAAGGGAGAAGACATGGATCACATCATTCAAAGGACGGGGGTGAATCAGTTTGGTTTGCAGAGAGGACTTGGGAAGGTAAATAGTTGATAGAAGCTTGAAAGGGTTTGGCTGGAGCAAGATAATGGAGGAACATCAAAACCAGCCTGGGGTCTTTTGACTGTTCTTCTGCAGGTAATGGGAGAGAACAGGATGGAAATGAAGTCAAAAGATGACTGTGGTTATAACATTCAGGACAAAGTGAAGGGGAAGTCCCAGAAGGTAGGTACCCCAGCTAAGGTGCTTTTGTAAGAACTGAAAGAAAGGATCAGGTGCAAAAGACAGCAGATTGGAAGTTGAAGAAAGATCATACAGAAAGGTGGATGCCATTTGCTCTTTAAATATTAACTTTTAAAAGACAAAAGTAGCATTCCATGGTATATATATACCACAGTTTCTTTATCCACTCGTTGATTGATGGGTATTTGTGTTGGTTCCATGTTTTTGCAATTGCAAATTGTGCTGCTATAAACATGCATGTGTATCTTTTTCATATAATGACTTCTTTTCCTCTAGGTAGATACTCAGTAGTGGGATTGCTGGATCACATGGTAGTTGAATGAATTAATGGCATTCGCAGCAAACTGGATGACATTGGAGGCTATTATTCTAAGTGAAGTAATTCAGGAATGGAAAACCAAACATTGTATGTTCTCACTCATATGTGGGAGCTAAGCTATGAGGATGCAAAGGCATAAGAAAAACGCATTGGACTTTGGGGACTCATGGGGAAAAGGGTGGGGAGGGAGTGAGAGATAAAAGACCACAAATTGGGTACAGTGTATGCTGCTCGGGTGATGGGTGCACCAAAATCTCACAAATCACCACCAAAGGACTCACTCATGTAACCAAACACCACCCGTTCCCCAATAACCTGTGGAAATATAAAAATTTAATAAAATAAAAAAATAAAACTAAAAGACAAAGTAATAAACATTCATTATGCAAGTTTAGAGTATTTATTTATTAAAAATTAGCATTGAATTAAAAGTGTAAATAACTCTTATTGTCCCTTCTCATGCTGTGTAGGGGTAACTACATTTAAAAGTATAGCGTGATCTATCCACCATTTTTCCTGTTTTAGCCTTAATTTGGAGTAAAAAGCTACTTAGCAGTCTCATGTATACATAGGCTCTCCCATATTCATCTTTGGTGTGGCAAGCATCAACACATTCATCTGTTTTCCTGATTCCTTAAATTTGCAGTCATCACATCAGATCGTATTTCAGAGGTCCACCTCTAATCTGTTGTTAGAAAAATTTTCTTTCAGCATTTATTTATTTGTGCATAACTTCCTACAATGGACATTTTGAACATATATAAAAAAAGAGAGGGCCCGGCGTGGTGGCTCATGCCTGTAATCCCAGCACTTTGGGAGGCTGAGGTGGGCAGATCACCTGAGGTCAGGAGTTCAAGACCAGCCTGACCAACAAGGAGAAACCCCGTCTCTACTAAAAATACAAAATTAGCCAGGTGTAGTGGTGCATGCCTGTAATCCCAGCTACTCAGGAGGCTGAGGCAGGAGAATCACTTGAACCTGGGAGGCAGAGATTGCGGTGAGCTGAGATCATGCCATGCACTCCAGCCTGGGCAGCAAGAGTGAAACTCTGTCTCAAAAAAAAAAAAAAAAAAAGAAGAGAGCTTAGCATAATAAACTCTTATATACCATCACCCACAATATACATAGGCCAGAGTTTTTTCATCTCTTATTCTCTCCTTAGGATCTATCCATCTACCCCCTACTAGCTTATTGTAAAGCAGTTCCTAGACATTATACTTTAGGATGGGTCTCTATGAGATAAAGGTTCTTTTTTTAAAAAAAAAAAAAATAAACACAGTTCTAGTATAGCTCTTAACATTTTTTAACAGTTCCTTAATATCACCAGTGGCCAGTCAGTATTCACAATGATTTAATTAGTTCACATATATTTTTATATATAATTTGTTTGAATCCAGATCCAAAGAAGGGCCACACACTGCATTTGGTTGGCATGATTTTCTTTTCTTTTTCTTTTTTCTATTTTGAGACAGGGTCTGGCTCTGTTGCCGAGGCTGAACTGCAGCAGCACAATCACGGCTCGGCTCACTGCAACCTCTGCCTCCTGGGCTCAAGTGCTCCTCCCAACTCAGCCTCCTGAGTAGCTGGAACTACAGACGTGTGCCACCATGCTAGCTAATTTTTGTAGTTTTTGTAGAGACAAGGTCTCACCATGTTGCCCAGGCTGGTCTCGAACACCTGAGCTCAAATGATCCTCCTGCCTCAGTCTCCCAGAGTGCTAGGATTATAGGCAAGAGCCACCACACCAGGCTGATATAATTTTCAAGTCTCTTTTAATCTATACTAGTTTGCTTCCTGCTTTTACTTTTCTTACCATTAGTTTATTGAAGAAAGCAACTTATTTGTCCTGTCAAATATCCTGCATTTTGGATTTGGCTGATTACGTCCCTGTGGTATCATTTCACATGTTTCTCTAGCCCTGTGTTAGTATTTTTAGGAATACTTAAGTTTTAAATGTATTTGAGGTATTGCAATCCATGCTAGCCATTATGTTTTCTGATGTTTGCATTGTGTTTCTTTGGCCAGTGGGAGTCCCATCGAGTTGGTTCCTGTGTCCTGTTGAGGAGGTGCCAGTGGAATGGTAATGCCCTTATTTTTTGGTATGACAAGATGTTCAGACTCAATCTGTGTATTTGCTGCCTCAGACCTGGAATCTGCCATTTCTCTAAGGAGCCTCCTTTCCTCTTAGTGGAAAATTATATTGCAAAACCATAATCTGGGTGCTACAGGTGCTCTTGACTACAGGGTTGGCCATAACTTCTAGGCCTTTTCATTGCTCAGAGCTGGGAAATGGTTTGGTTTTGTTTTTTCAAAAATAAAATTACATCTCGGATTTAAACTGATGTTTTCAATTCAAATTTAAGGTTACAAATTTTTCGCTTATCTTCTTTCTCTTGTATTTGTACTTGTTTTCTTTGATGCTAAAAATCTTGGTTTCTAATGACACTAACATAATTACTATTTGACTTACCATAGAATATATATTTATTCATTTCAAAACTGTAATTCTGGTAATTTCACTAACAGATAAATGATCATGCCGTCCCTAAGGTAGACCATAGGCAAATCAGGAGTATGGAGTATTCTGTATGAACAAAGCACCTGGTTTCTGCCATAAGCCAATGATATAAAAAACAAGGATGAGGGAGAGTACTTTTCTAGATTAAAGGGACTTGAGAAACCTAGTGACTAACTGTGATGTGTGAACTGTTTGAAGTCTAATTCAGAAAGCCAACTGTAAAAAGATTTTTCAAAGAAAGTTGGGGTGTGATTATGGACGGGCTGATAGATGATGCCAAGAAAATATCGCTATTTTTTCTGGTATGATAAAGGCATTTTGTCTATGTAAGAAAGTGCAATATATTCCATAGAGGCATACTGAGCCATGCAGGGTGACATAACAGGAAAGCTGGAGATTGCTTTAAGATATTTTGGCAAAGAAAAAAGTAAAACAAAAAAGGATGGATGAATAAATGTGACAAACCATTGATAATTATTGAATCTGGGTGGTGGGTGTAGAGGGCTTCATTATACTCTTCTTTCTACTTTTGAGGATGTTTGAAACTTCTTATAATAAAGATATACAGTCTTTCTATGACTTCATGGCTCACTGTGAAAAATCCAACCTCTGCACCCTATTGGATCTTCTTATCCAATTCAATCCTACTTTTCCTACCTGTGAATGCTGTCACTCATGCACACTGCACAGCTGTAGTGAATGACTTGTGTAACATGACTGTCCTTGCTGCTTTGCTTACACTGTTTCCTCTACTTACAGGTCCTCTCCACCCATTATTCCGAGAAGAATGCCCCCAGAGAGATGGTTAAAAATACTGATTATAGTAACTACCATTTATTGAGTGTTTACACTTGGCAATGGAATGCACTGGGTAATGATTCATATTCTTTTTTTTTTTTTCTTTTGAGACAGAGTCTTGCTCTGTCACCCAAGCTGGAGTGCAGTGGTGCAATCTCAGCTCACTGCAACCTCCGCCTCCCGGGCTCAAGCAATTCTTGTGCCTCAGCCTCCGGAGTTGCTGGAACTACAGGCATGTGCCACCACGCCCAGTTAATTTTTTTGTATTTTTTATTAGAGATGGGGTTTCGCCATGTTGGCCAGGCTGGTGTTGAACTCCTGGCCTCAAGTGATCTGCCCACCTTGGCCTCCCACAGTGCTGGGATTACAAGAGTAAGCCCCCACACCTGGCCAATATTCATTTTTAAACAATCCTGAGGTATACCTGAGAAAAAGAGGAAACCAGATAAAAGAGGTGAATTTGCTCATAGTGCAATTCATTCTGAAGCATATTATGCCGTTTGTTTGTTTGCTTGTTTGTTTGTTTAACTATATCAGTGTTTGTCAAATTTTAGAGTGGCATGAGTTCATCTGGAACAGTTATTTTCACATGCAGATTCATGAGGCACACCTCCTGAATCTTGACTTTTTTCAGCTGCACTTGAGCCCTGCAGCTGATCGTTTCACCAGGGTGTCAAGAAGGTGCTGTGGCTCGTGGTCTTTAAGCCGCTCTTTGAGAATCACTGCACTACAGCATGCTGTAACCTCCTTTCATCCTTTCTGTCACCACCTGCAGACCCCTAGGTCCTATTAATGAGATCATATATATGAAACGATTTTGTATATCTTCTATCACCTTGAATATGGAAGGCATTATATTGCCTGACATGGTTACAATGGAAACATTTTAATATTTCAAACTTGGATTATAAAATGCGGTCTCGGAAAGAGAATTCATTAATGTCATCAACAAATATATTGAGTGCCTGTGTGTGTTGTGCCAAAGATTCATGTACCTGAATTGAAATGCACCTATAATCATTGGGAAGAAATGTTTTATCTGCCTTTGCCTTCCACTTCAGATGTTTTATGGGGTAGGCTGAATTTTCACAAACAAAAATGACATTATGTATTTTCAGGAGGCAAAGAAATAACAAAAATGAAAGTATTTCCAGTGAAATTCTCTGGATTTTCAGGAGGCAAAGAAATAACAGAAGCTACAAAAAAAGTGAGAAATTTGTGTCAAAAATGGCTCCCATACAGTTTGGAGGCTCCTCAAAAAACTAAAAATAGAGCTCCCATATGGTCCAGCAATCCCACTGCTGGGTATATACCCAAAAGAAAGGAAATCAGTATACCTAAGAGATATCTGCACTCCCATGTTTATTGCAGAGCTGTTCACAATAGCCAACATTTGGAAGCAACCTAAGTGTCCATCAACAGATGAATGGATAAAGAAAATATAAGACATACACACAATGGAGTACTATTCAGACATAAAAAGAACAAGATCTTGTCATTTCCAATAACATGGATGGAACTGGAGATCATTGTGTAAAGTGAAATAAGCCAGGCACAGAAAGACAAACATCACATGTTCTCACTTATCTGTGAGATCTAAAAATCAAAACAATTGAACTCATGAACATAGAGAGTAGCAGGGTGGTTACCAGAGTCTGGGAAAGGAAGTTGGGGGGTGGAGGGGGGATGTGAGGATGGTTGATGGGTAGACAAAAATATAAAGTTAGAATGAATAAGGCATACTATTTGATTGCACAACAGGGTGACTATAGTCAACAATAACTTAATTGTACATTTAAAAGTAACTAAAAGAGTGAAATTGGATTATTTGTAACACAAAGGACAAATGCTTGAGGGGATGGATACCCCATTCTCCATGATGTGGTCATTTCATATTGCATGCCTGTATCAAAACGTCTCATGTGCCCCACAAATATGTACACCTATTATATACCCACAAAAATTAAAAATAAAAAAATCTTAAAAAGTGGCTCCAGTGTCTAAGGAAATATTTCTGAAAATAATTTGTGCATATATAAATGCAATTGGGGCCAGGAGTTCAGGACCAGCCTGGCCAGCATGGTGAAACCCTGTCTTTACTAAAAATATAAAAATTAGCCAGGCATGGTGACATGTGCCTGTAATCCCAGCTACTTGGGAGGCTGAGGCAGGAGAATAGTTTGAACCTGGGAGTTGGAGGCTGCAGTGAGCCAAGACTCCAGCCTGGGCAGCAAAGTGAGACTACATCTCAAAAAAATTAAAAATAAAAATAAATAATGCAATTGGAATAAATAATTGGGGTCTTTTTTCAGTACTCACATAGTCAGTAGACTTTTAGCCAAAATTTTTACAAAAATCTGTATAGTATTTATGCAGTATGAAAAAGGAAATCCAACAGCAAAGAAACTTTGCTTAGAAACTCAGAGATGCCTCTCATTTAGTTGAATTTGGACTTTTTTTTTTTTTTCAGATGGAGTATCTCTTTGTCACTCAGGCTGGAGTGCAGTGGCGTGATCTCGATTCACTGCAACTTCCACCTCCTGGGTTCAAGCAATTGAACCCAGGCTGCCTCAGCCACCTGAGTAGCCAGGACTACAGGCACAAGCCACCATCCCTAGCTAATTTTTGTATTTTTGGTAGAGACAGGGTTTCACCATGTTGGCCAGGCTGGTCTCGAACTCCTGACCTCAAGTAATCTGCTTGCCTCAGCCTCCCAAAGTGCTGGGATTACAGATGTGAGCCACTGTGTCCAGCCAAATATGGACTATTTACAATGGGAAAAACTTTTATCCAAATTTCCAAAAGTCCTGGTGAAAATGGAAGCTATGAAGAGTGTTGTGTTAAGTTGGATGGGGATGTTGAAGAGGAAGAAAAAGTAGGAAAATGGTGTGGAAAAGGGGAACGATGTATCTGTTAAGGAACTTGTATAAATAACTATTATAATTCAATAAAAACACGGCCAGGCGCGGTGGCTCACGCCTGTAATCCCAGCACTTTGGGAGGCCGAGGTGGACGGATCACAAGGTCAAGAGATCGAGACCATCCTGGCCAACATGGTGAAACCCCGTCTCTACTAAAAATACAAAAATTAGCTGGGCGTGGTGGCGCCCACCTGCAGTCCCAGCAACTTTGGAGGCTGAGGCAGGAGAATCACTTGAAACCGAGAGGCGGAGGTTGCAGTAAGCCGAGATCTCGCCACTGCACTCCAGCCTGGCGACAGAGTAAGACTCCATCTCAAAACAACAGCAACAACAACAACAACAACAACAAAAACCCTAAGAACCCAATGAAAAATTGACAAAGGATCTGAGTAGACATTCCCCCAGAGATGATATACAAAAGGCCAATAGACACATGAAAAGATGCTCAGCTTCGTGAGCCATCTCGGAAAGGCAAATCAAAACCACAATGAGACAGCCCTTCACACATACACTACCAGGGGTCTAGTCAAAAACACAGATGGTAACAAGAGGTGATGAGCACCTGGAGAAACCAAAACCCTCACATGTTGCTGGTAGGAATGTAAATATTGTGGAAGGAAAATAGTCCAGAAGTAACAAAGAGTTATCATGTGAGGCAGCAATTCTACCTGTAGGTATATACCTAAAAGAAATGAAAACATGTCCACAGAAAAAGCTTCTCCATGGATTTTCACAACAGCATTATTCCTAGTAGCCAAGAAGTGGAAACAACCCACATGTCATCAAGTGATGGATGGGTAAATAAAATGTGGTGTGTCCATGCAATGCAGCATTCTTCAGCAACAAAAAGGAATGAAGCACTGACCCATGCTACCATGCGGATGAACCTGGAAACCCTTGTGTTAAGTGTAAGAAGTGAGTTACAAAGGACCACGTATTATATGTCCAGAATAGGAAACCTCTAGAGACGAAAATAGGTTAGTGATTGTCCATGACTTGGCAGGATAGAGTACTGGAGGGTGAGGGCTTATAGGAGTGAGGTTTCTTTGGGGTAATGAAAATATCCTAAAATTGATTGTAGTGATGGATGCAGAAGCCTGTGAATCTACTAGGGTCATTGCATTATACCCTTTAAGTGGGTGAATTGTATGGCATGTGAATTATGTCTCAATAAAGCTGTTAACAAAAAAGGACCATATCAAAAAATACAAAAGATGTTCTTGATACTACAATACATGGGACAAAAATAGCCATTACTCTAAGATCTCATTTTCACTATGAGGAGTGAAACTGAGAGAGAGAAAAAAATATGTTTAATACCTATGCACCAAGCTTTATGTTATTCTTATTTAACACTGCCAGCTGGCAAGGTAGGTATTTTCTGATTTTTACAGATGACTTCAAAGAAGCAGGTCAGTTGTATCCTTAAGTGGCAGAGCACAGATTTAAACAACGTTTGTCTGTCTACAAAGTAAATATTTTTTCGATTACACCATTTGGTCTCTGTATTACAGCTAGTTTTATAATTTTATTTCAATAATGGGGCTACATCTAAAACAGAGCCTTTATTCTATTTGTGTTATTTTTACTTTAAAAAATTATATAAAAATGGGCCAGGCTCGGTAGCTCACGCCTGTAATCCCAGCATTTTGGGAGGCCAAGGCAGGCAGATCATTTGAGGTCAGGAGTTCAAGACCAGCCTGGTCAACATGGTGAAATCCCGCCTCTACTAAAATTACAAAAATTAGCTGGGCGTGATGACGTGTGCCTGTAATCCCAGCTACTCAGGAGGCTGAGACAGGAGAATCACTTGAACCCGGGAGGTGGAGGTCACAGTGAGCTGAGATTGCGTCATTGCACTCCACCCTGCCTAGCTGACACAGCAAGACTCAATCTCAAAAATATATATATATATGTATATATATATATAGAGAGAGAGAGAGAGAGAGAGCGAGAGAGTCAATATTAGGGAGTACATATATATATATATGTCCTAAACTTCTACCAGTTGACCCAGAGCACATTTTTTTATCCATTTAGAAGATAAAACTAAAAGTATAGGCATATGTGGTCGGGCGCAGTGGCTCATGCCTGTAATCCCAGCACTTTGGGAGGCTGAGGCAGGTGGATCACTTGAAGTCAGGAGTTCGAGACCAGCTGAGCCAACATCGTGAAAACCTGTCTCTACTAAAAATACAAAAATTCTGGGCAGTGTGACTCATGCCTGTAATCCCAGCTACTTGGGAGGCCGAGGCAGGAGAATCACTTGAATCTGGGAGGTGGAGGTTGCAGTAAGCCGAGATCGCACCACTGCACTCCAGCCTGGGTGACAAGAGGGAGATTCCGTCTCAAAAAAAAAAAAGCATATGAATATGCATATATCTTATTATATATATAAAATCTTTCTGAAAAATAATGTAATGTCATTGTTACATAGCTCAGTTTTATCTTAAGTGATACAGCATCCTGGAAAATTGACTTTGTTATGACCCAGGGTAAAATAATCAAGACATCTTTAATCTAGCTATGTGAATTATCTTGCCCACTTTTTAAATTATTTACTTGTTGTAGTCAACATAGCAATTGATACTAACACTGTATAATTAATTCATGGCTGATGGGGTCCTATAAAGGTTGATAGATTTTATAAATTTTATATTCCATGGTTTCTATTTCTTAATATTAAGTATTTTTTTCGTTTGTAGTAATCGCTGGACATAAGAATGTGTTCAGTCAATTTAACATTAAAGTAATTTTTATTTTTGTCCTGAGAAAGCAGAAATGTCAGTGCCAAAGGCACACAATAAAAAAACAGAAATCACATAAATTCCCCCTTTCAAGGGCAAAACTACTGCCTATGGCCCTTGGACATATTAACTTGTCCACATCAAATCAAAAACAAATGGGATAAGAAATAAAAAGTGCGCTAGTGTGAAATTGTTGCTTGTCAACATTAGGGAGTACATTTTATATCAAGAAACTCATAAAGAATAGACAATAGCTTAGCTCTCCTAACCACCAAAAGTTTTGTTCTAGCTGCTGCTAAAAGCTCCCAATATTTGGAAATAGTTTTTCCCCTTCTCTTTCAGGGGTATTTTTGATTGCCAACAATAGTAGCTTTTTCTTGGGCTTAAATGAATCAAACCTATTTGTTTTTATCCTGAATTGCCCACAAATAAATTACATATTATTGACTAAGGGGAACTCTGATACTGACTCCATTGTTCCAGCTGATGTCACATATTAATCAGGAAGTCTGGCCCTTTAATTTCCCTGTGTATTACAAACATAATATACTTACAATAGCCTGTGTCAAAATCACTCGTGATAAATCTACCTGTCTTGTCTACAAAAGGTCTCACAGACTTTCCATATCCCCAGCATGACCAAAGTTCAAATTCAATCCATCATATTATATGCCAAAACCCCAAAGAAAATCGCACCCAATGGACTGTTAAACCATATTAGGTTTGTATTATTTAGCTCAAGAACATTGAATCAGATTTAAGTAAAGTGCAGCCTTGAAAGTATTTTAATGGATTTTGGCTCGTTGCTGCTGATAAGTGTGTGTGTGTATACACCTATATATACACATATATATGTATACGAATATATATGTATATATATACGTATATATGTATACACACATACACACACATATATAAAACAGTGTGTTAAAATAAGTGTAAATTATTTCATATGATTGCAGGAAAATCATAATTGTGTTAATAAATTGGTCATTTTGCAAAGCATGTGAATTCAGACCATTGCAGGAAAGTATTAACATATTATAAATTAACAGTAATGGTTAACTGTGTTTTTGTAAATGTGATTTTTTAAAGGCTTGTCAGAAAATTCTGAAGGAATCCTACTCACTGAATTCATTTTCCTCTACGTTAACTTCAAATAATGCTGTAATATCCATGTAGAAATTAGAGTGTAGAGCGGGTAACCAAATCGAGAATGGTAAGATTCCGCACTCCAGAATAATTGATACCATCAGTCCTTTACACCCATATTCTCAGCCCAAGAAACTCACAAATGACACTGAGGAGTTGTGAATAATTAGAAGTGATGTAGAAGATTTGAAAACTAGCTTTGATGACTTCAAATATGATACTAGAAGAGGTACCCTATTAAATTAGTTTTCTTTAAAAACTAAAAAAAAAGTGGACACTGGAAGGAAAACTTAGTTTTATAATCATTAATAATAATTATAATGATAGGCCAGGCACAGTGGCTCATGCCTGTAATCCCAGCACTTTGGGATCACTTGAGCCAGGAGTTCAGGACAACATGATGAAACCCCGTCTCTACCAAAAACACCAAAAAATTAGCTGGGCATGGTGGTGCATGCCTGTAGTCCCAGCTACTTGGGAGGCTGAGGCAGGAGGATCGCTTGAGCTCAGGAGGTCGAGGCTGCAGTGAGCACTGATTGTGCCACTGCACTCCAGCCTGGACAACAGATACAGACCTCGTCTCAAAATAATAATAATAATAATAATAATTATTATTATTATTATTATCATATCAGGACCACTGGACTTACTTCAAGTGTCACTATGGTTCTATTATTCTGGAGAAAATGACTCTTGTTTCTCATTTAAAACAGAATACATACATAATAACAGGCTGAAGTGGATTGGAGAAATTCTTTTGAACACCTAGATCTTAGGCAAATCATTCTCTTTGCTAAACGTGTGTAATCCTCAGGAGTCTTGGATTTCAGCACACCCAGTACTGCAATGCTCTGCACACCTTGTGCATTTGTATTTGTAATTCTAGCACTGTGTTAGAATGGGTTGACATTGTCTCAGTGGGGGACATCGCTGGCAAAGCCTTATTTCATTCTGAGAATCTGCCTCTTGAGATCTCACATTTTTACTTGTCAGAAACAAATGTAATAGGGAAAATTATACCAATGGACTTTTGAAAACTAAATGCAATAGTCATACATGAAATACATGTGTCTGGAGTGTGCCCATGTGATACAGTGGATTCTGGGCACAGAGGAAACTGTTTCACTAATGGCGATTTCCAGACGTATGTTTTGAAGTGTTTAATAAGCAATTTAGAACTCCAGAGAGCATGCATCAGGACACTGGAAAATCTATAAGAAATTGGAGCAGCTTGTTTTTGAAGAACGACTTATATTAATATAGAGCCATAAAACTATCTTTGTGAAAGTTGCTGTTGTGATTGCTTTATTTTTCTTCACCTTTCCCAATGAGTATAGTATTTTTATGTCTACAATGGCTTCTTTCTCCTATCAAGAACATTGTAGCCTTGTGAGAACTATGTTTTGTCTTCTTACGGTTCTTTAGTGCACCAAAATAAATGCAAATGAATGCAAATAAATTTTCCATTGACATAGGAAGTCTTTCTAATTACTTATCAAGTATTGTAGATCTACAATTTATTTTCATGTGATTCTTTCATAGGATATGTTTAGACTCTTACACCAAAACAAAATTTCATCCAATTAATTCATCAAATCATATTTTTAAATATGCTTTCAGCAAAGATATAATTCATAGTTATTAAGGCATTTACCCTTCATTGCTTCTTATTACTTTTAATTCCATCTAGATATCACTAAATAAAAATTCTGTTATTGTTATGAAATAAACACAGAAACATTTGCTATTACTCTTGAAGTCTCATAGTTAAACTCTATGCTTGCTAATTTTTTGATCCTTGAGTAGTTTGAATATGGAGCACCAAATCAATCCCTGGACAACTAACTCTGTACACTTGAGGTTTTTAGATCTGCTGGAGGTCAAATAATCTAGACATTAAATCAGACTGTGACTGTAAAACACATACTAGGCTCTTACGTCATTTCAATACATAGAGTCAAGGTCAGAAATAGAAAAGCATGTACAGAGATCTATATCTTTTATTCTTTAATAAGAATTGAATGGTGTGCAGATTCTGTATTATCTGAATCACAAGGTCCTTTATGTTTCATGTCACTGTTGGTGTTCTTCTGAGAGTTTAGCTTCTTGAACTGGCAGGCATCCTCATAGTTTTTTTCCTGTTTCACACAGATGCATTGTGGCTCAGTGATTCTCCATCTGTCAGCACCTCTGCATCCAGGACCATGCCAGGTTGTTCACACACTGATCATAGAAATGGCTGTTTTGGCCAGGCACAGTGGCTCACACCTGTAATCTCAGCATTTTGGGAGCCTGAAGTGGGTGGATCACTTGAGGTCAGGAGTTCAAAACCAGCATGGCCAAAATGGTGAAACTCTGTCTCTACTAAAAATTTAAAAATTAGCTGGGCCTGGTGGTGGGCACCTGCAACCCCAGCTACTCAAGAGGCTGAGGCAGGAGAATCAGTTGAATCCCAGAGGCAGAGGTTGCAGTGAGCTGAGATTGTACCACTGCACTCCATCCTGGGTGGCAGAGCAAGACTCCGTCTCAAAAAAAAAAAAAAAAAAAAAAAAAGAAAGCTGTTTCTCCCCATATTCCATCATTCCAAGTAGAGCTGCATTGATCCAGCATAGTCCTGGACAAGGAGTGTGCAGGGTGGGAGCAGAGTTCTAAATCACATTTTCCACAGCTATCATCTCCCCAGAATAACCTCAGCCAGCACTTATGATGCAAAGTGGGGAGACTGCAAACCATGTAAAGGTTGTAGCAGGGCTGCAAACACCACTATGTTCACCAGAAGCTTCATTCCAAGCCATTCATTCATACCAGCTTTGAATCTTTGGTTTTAAGCCAAAAGAAAAAACATCCCCATTTTTTCATCTTGTTTTTCCCTCTTTCCCTTCCAGAAAAATTATAAATCTGCCACAGATGATTTCAAGCCAATGTTGACATCAGATTCCAAGTTTAGAGAGGATAAATAGGATATTTAAAAATCCAAAAATGCTCTTCTGGGATGCAATTTTTTAAAAGACAGCTTTTGGGTTTAAAGCAAACTATAATCTTGACAGTAGAATTGTAGTTTTTGCCTTCTGATTCGTTCTGGAAGCCAAACCCTGAGAGAGTTATTGTATGAGAATAAAATTGTTTTATAGTGAAGTCCAAGAAGTATTAATAAAGAAAAATTATGTAAAATATAAAGTTTATTATCATGTATGATTTAAAAATTGTTAGGGAGCTATTTTCCATTCCTTTTTTTTTTAAACCTCCTTCCCTCTCTCTTTCTTCCTGCTTTCTTCCTTCCTTTTTTTCTTCTTAGTCATAAGACTAACATGTCCAATACATTTAGGCTACTATTTTATGAAATACTAGAAAGTATCTATGGCCCAACTTAACTGGCTTCTGTTTATTTGGGTTTGGGGGTCAAGTGAGGTTCTGGGCATTATTTAACACACCATGACTCTAAAATAACTACTAAGCGACTGGGCATGGTGGCTCATGTCCGTAATCCCAGCACTTCGGGAGGCTGAGGCAGTGGATCACCTGAGGTCAGGAGTTTGAGACCAGCCTGCCCAACATTGTGAAATCCCATCGCTACTAAAAATACAGAAAAATTAGCCTGGCATGGTGGCATGTGCCTGTAATCCCAGCTACTCAGGAGGCTGAGGCAGGAGAATCGCTTGAACCCGGGAAGTGGAAGTTGCAGTGAGCCGAGATCACACCACTGCACTCCAGCCTGGGCGACAGAGCAAGACTCTGTCTCAAAAAGAAAAAAAATGTAAATAAAAAAAATTTTAATAAAATAAAATAAAATAACTATTACCAATAATAGAGGATAGGACTTCTTTTTAAACATGGTAAAAGAGTTCTCACATGTATTGCGGTTTTCTCCTCAAACTCCACTAAAATGATACCGAAGGAATTTGAAAAATACAAACTAATAAAGGCAAAGAGAACAGGAGAGGGCTCCACGGCAAATGGGGGAACTCAACACAATGTTTGGAAGCTGGAAAGCAAATGAATAGGTGGTAACTGATTTAGTACAGCAGGGACAGGGCAGACCTAGAGATCCATCACGGGAGAAGATGACAAGAGGCCAGCCATGTTGCACTGCAGAACTTCCGAATGTCAAGACGTGAAAGCGATATGAGCCCCTGGAGGCAGGGTTGTGGACTGGGCCTGAAAACGGGATGTTTTGAAAATTGCTATATAGAAAAGTAAGATTCCTTTGCAGGTATCTCGTTCAAAAGAATGAGAAAAAGAAAAAAAAAAGACAAGGAGTTTAATTTCTTGTAAGATTTGCTCAGTTTGGGCCAGTGATAAGATGCTGGACCAGGAGATTAAGGGGAAGTCAGTGGACTGAACAGGGAGACCTCAGGCCATTTCCCTGGGGGCTCCCAGAATGCTGGCAGCCAGGTCTACATCTTCCAAGTGAGAAACTGGGAGAATCCTTCTGTGGGGAAACTGACCTATTTGGGAGATGTTACCTTCAGATAGTGCACATGTTACTTGGCTAAACCTAATTTTTAAATTAAAAGCAACAGTAACAAAACACAATCAGACAATCGCCTATGGCTTTGTTTGAATCTTGACTTGCCTGTCACTAACTTGTGACCTTAAGTAATTTCACCGACTTGATCTTAAAACTTCCTTAAAATTGAAAAATCTTTCACTGAATTGTAATGAGGATGAAATGAGATACATATGTAAAAGCTTCTAGGGGATACAGAGGCACTTAATAAACAGCAGGGTTTTTTTTTAATTAGTTCATAGTGACCAATAATTATAGTAAAAGTAAGTCCTCTTAGAATAATTAACCTACTCTGGCACAGTAACCTTTGGCCGAATATTACTCTGGGCAGAATATTATATTGGCTTGCTTTAGACTCTTGCTAAGTGGCTTGGCTGTTGCCTGAGAAACGGTGATTGAAACTAGACATACAGATTTCTGTCTAAGTATGATAGATGAGGTAAGATAACAGTGGAAAAAGAGGGGAGCTCGAAGAAGAGGGGGAAAGAGAATTGATTTTGGTTTCCTTCAAAGGGTTGGTGTCATTTTTCTTAGATTTGTCATCATGTCTTGTTTGATCACTTGAAACCTAGGTGTCAAATACCACTGCATGTTTCACAAAAGCGGCAGGTTTTATAGAGGAATTGGAAAGGTCTGCAGATAAAGAGGAAAGGAAGCGATGGTGTTAGACTCTAGGTGCTATCCTGGAGAAGGACAGGTACCCCAGAACAGAGTGCATTGAAAAACCCCTGCACAGGAAGTAGAATTAGAGGAACAGGCTGATGTGGGTATCGAGGGGACACATACCAAAGGCCCTCTAGGTTCCAAGTATTGGCCATTCGGTTTTCTCTGAAATCTTCCAACTATAACCTTTGTCCAAATAGCTAGCTCATGATGCCACTATTACATACCCTGTTTGACAGATGAGAAAATATAAGCAAAGAGGTTAAGTAATTTGCCCAAGATTGACTTCTTAGCAGAGACAGGATTTGTGAATCTCACTCCAAAGTACATCTACCTTTTTTTAAAACTCCATTATTCCATCTCTTCCCAGACATGAACTTATTTTTATGAAATAAGTGTATGCAAGCCCTTTGTAAGGCATAAAGTTTTACATAAGCTCAAGACATTTTAGATATTATTTAATATTTGAAAGGCAAACGACACCTGAAAATCTGGGGTGCAGTTGTGCTTGTGTAACACTCAATGTATTTAGTTTGCCTTCTGCTTGTGGAGCAGGTTGAAATAGGAGAAGGGAATATGAGGCTGAAATGGAGATAAAGTGGAGATAGAAATGAAAGATGATGGGTTTTGGTATTTCAAGAGAAAAAGAATAATAGAATTATTTTTGTGGTGTAGAAATTGCTCAGCTTAAACATTTGTTTCTCTTGCATTACAAAATTATGTAAGTATAATGTGGATTTTCTTGGTGTAAAATTAAACAGGAATTATTTTGAGGCTGATCCACAAAAAGTTTAGGTTCTTGCTACTGAAAGTGTGGACTGGGACCAAGTTTTGGCTCCTCTTGGGAGCTTGCTGGAAATGCAGAATCTGGGCCCCACCTGAGTCAGACCGTGCACAGATCCCCAGGTGACGTGTATGCACATGGTGGTCCCTGAAGCACTGTTTTAGACCAAAAGCTAAAGGTTGTGAGTGAAGAGAAAAGGGCACGAATTTGGACAAGGGCTTTTCAGGGTTACATATTTTCGATGAGAATAAGGATTTTCAGGAAGTATTCTGAGTATTTTTTAAATGAATAAACAGACTAGGAACAAATCATCCCAATTGCCATGGAAGTGACTGGACTGTGGCCTGAGAGGGGGGCTGTAGTGGGCATGTGTGTTATAAATGAAGCTCATTAAACAACAGCAAAAGTTTAGGTATTAACAGAGATCAGGACATTCAGTGCAGCCTCCTGTTTACCAGTGACATTTAATTACCCAAAGAAGGTCTGAGTGAAATCTTGAAATTTTAGCTTAAACATTTCCCTTTAATATGTTAAGTAAGTTCTAATAAAACAAATGTGGATTTCTGTCTTGTCAAAGCAATTTAGTATTTTATAATGCTAAGGAGGAAAAGAGATATCCAATATCGAACACCTTGAAGAAACCAGAAGAGGGGAAGTCTATGGTGCCCTTAGGTGTCTTGAGTCCCCACGGGGGGCCAGATCCCATTTCCTGGCAGTCCGTTCTCACTATTTGTGACCTTGCACTCTGCAAAGCATGATGCTGGGAGCCATTGGTGGGGGATGTGAGGCAGAAAGACAGTGATTCAAGGCTTCCCAGCAAGAGCTACAGGTCTCTGACCTAAAGAAAATTACAATTCCTCAGGTCCTCAGAGAGTGAATTAAGAATTTACATGCATTCAGTCAATTTATCAGCATATACTTAGTAAACATATACTTCTTGAACAGCTCTGTACAAGAAGGCTTATACCAGAGCACAAGCCTTAATTCTTTTCTTCCAGGATTTTTAAATCTCCATGCCCAAAATGGCAGAGTGTTTTACAAAGGGGTGGGTGACGTCTGTTTGGATAGGAGAGAGCACTGTAATAATTCACTGCCTGTATTTAGGACTGAACAGTGGACAAAGCACATTCAGAGTCAGAGGGAAGTAATCGGTTTTCCCATTTTAGAGCCATGGAGCAGGTTGGGAGAGGTTTAATAACCCAAGGTCAAGCCTTGCTATAAACCGACAGAACTGGAAATAAAATCTAGGTCTTCCATCATTTAATTCCATGAGGAAAGAATAACCCAGATGATGATCATGATGATGGTGGTGGTGGTGGTGATGGTAATGGTGATGATGGTGGTGGTGATGGTGGTGATGGTGATGATGATGATGGTAGTGGTGGTAGTGGTGGTGGTGGTGGTGATGATGGTGATGGTGGTGGTGATGGTGGTGGTGGTGATGGTGATGGTGGTGGTGGTGGTGATGATGATAGTGGTGGTGATGGTGGTAAGGAAGGGTAAAAGACAGGAAAGGCAGTGCTAGGGACTCTCCTCCTTAAATAAAGAACAGTATTGCTAGGCCTTCCACTAGTGTTTGTTCTGGCTGAAGGAGAAAAGTGAGTGGCTTCAACGGACTGAAACTAGGACAAGCAGAGGGACTGGGGCATCCCAACGTGATCTTAGCACATATGGGGATTCCCAGAGCTTCATCAAGTGGATGTAACTGAAGAATCCTCATTGTAACCCACAACCGAGGTTAAAAAAGTCAGGAGCTTCACTAAATGTATCTGGCAAGCATTTCGTTTTCCCTTAAATAAAATAAATTCCCTTAATAAAGCCAATGGAGGCAGGGTTGGTGGCAGGGGTGGGAGGTGGAGAGGGTATGTGTGATTTATTACAGAGCAAGAGGAGGGCCTTGATGACTCTGAACTATCTATTTACAACTGCTGGCTCGAAAACCAAGTTGTACACTGGTTTCTCTTTTTGTGCCAATCTTACATTTTTTAAAGAATATAACTTTTATGAATATCATCATTAGTGCTATAAGCACAGGGAAGTATAAGTTAATTCTACAGTAAAGTGATTATTAAATCCATTAGTCATATACAAGGAATCCATAATTAACTTATTCTCCAGCATCAAGTAAATGATTCTACAGTGTGCTTTAAGAAAGCAATTGTTCACTAATATGCAAAATACAGCAGAACTATTAGATCATAAAGCCATGCAATCTTATAATTAAATTATAAATTTTACATATTTTAATAATGTGCTTTATATACTTTAATTGTTTTCTATGCAAGATTAAAAGGAGGTGCCATGGTTTTTCTCAGACATATTATATCTTGACCTGAACTATGCAATACTTAATAATAATTGATGAGTATCTACCAGGGATGACAGTAGTCTTTCAGTAGCATCAGATATTTCTTTGGATTATTGCTGAGGACTAAAATGAAGATATGCATTAGTCTTAAGTGGAGTTGCAGCTATACCCTTGGGCTTTCTTTGTTTCCCCCCTTTTTGCTTTTATAACAACCATGGGCATCCACGTTCTCTCTTCCCAGGCCACGAGAAGGGACTGGCCCCATTCACACTGCCTTGGTTGTATATGTGTGGGTAAAGGCAGCACGCACATTAAATTCTCTGCAGGGGACTTATGTGCCCACATGGGCAATCTATTGTGGTTATTGTATTTTGGATTAAATAATGATGCCATTTTTTTTTTCCCTGTGCAGAATTAAATGTGTTTGAAAGACCTGGGAAATACTACAGATCTGGGCTGCGGGGATTGCCTCTGTAACCTTCTGTTTCTCCAAATCCTGATTGCTGCAGGGGGAACTGTAGAGCTGGTTTCCTTTTCTTTCCCTCAGAGGGAGCTAACCTTTCTCTTTGATGGTTACGCTATTTCAGCCTGCTTTCCAGTGGTCACCATATGGGGCGAGGATCCTCTCACAAAGTAGCAAAGACAGCTGCCGCAACTCCTGGCTGACATCGTCCTCTTAAGGATGCTGTAACTAGCTCTTATTTGATCATCTTGGCCGCATGCTTTTCTGTGAAGCTATCATGGTAGCCAATAGATGGAGCAAGCTGACCGTCCAGACCTGGATCAGCTGCCCTCCTCTGGAGCCCAGTGGGAGCAGGGGCAGGATCAGCCCCATCAAACCACATGGACAGAAGGGGAAGAGTGAGAAACCACCAAGGAAAAGTGGAGGAGCGTGATGGTTAATTTTGTGTGTCAGTTTGACTGCACCACAGGATGCCCAGTTGGATTGCTAAACACTATTGCTGAGTGTGCCTGCGATGATGTTTCGGGGAGAGGTTAGCATTTGAATTGGTGGACTGAGTAAAGCAGATGGCCCTCACCAATGTGGGTGGGCATCATCCATTCTGTTGACGGCCTGAGTAGAAGAAGAAGAAGGTGAATTATCTCTGCCGGATTGCTTGAGCTGGGATATCGATCTTCTCCTGCTCTCAGCACTCCTGGCTCTGAGACCTTCAGATTCAGACTGGAACCTGAACCATAGGGTCTCTGGCTCTCAGACCATTGAACTATACCACGAGCTTTTCTAGGTCTCCAGCTTGCAAATGGCAGCCCCCATAATCATATGAGCCAATACCTTATAATACACCTCTTTCTAGAGAGATACGTATACTTCCTATTGGCCTGTTTCTCTGGATGACACTAATTCAGGTAATATCTGCCCCAAGAGATAGAAACAGAAGCCTGAAGGTTGTAGTAGGCAGCCTTTAAGGTGCCCTCCCCTGACCCCTGCCTCCTGCTAGTCAGACCATTGTGTATTCCTCTTCTATGCTAAGCCAAGGTTGATCTCTGTGACTACAGAATATAGCAGAAGTGATCATGTGTCACCTCCAAAATTAGATTATTAAAAAAACACGGTGGCTCCCCCCACAAAAAAAAAAAAAAGAGGCCAGTTGCAGTGGCTCACGCCTGTAATCCCAGCACTTCGGGAGGCTGAGGTAGGTGGATATCCTGAGGTCAGGAGTTCGAGACCAGCCTGGCCAACATGGTGAAACCCCGTCTCTACTAAAAATACAAAAATTAGCTGGGCATGGTGGCGTGTGCCTATAATCCCAGCTACTTGGGAGGTTGAAGCAGGAGAATCCCTTGAGCCTGGGAGGTGGAGGTTGCAGTGAGCCAAGATTGCACCATTGCACTCCAGCTTGGGGGACAAGAGCAAAACTCCATCTCAAAAAAGAAAAAAGAAAAACTCTTACAATAGGGTTCGGTACATCATTACAGTTATGGCAATCTCAACCAATTAGAAACCCATTCCTATACCTGGAATTATTATTCTAATGTGTTCTTCCACTTTAATTAAAGGAGGCAAAATTGGTCCCCTTGACTATGGTCTCTACTCTTTTTTCTCCATTTTCTAACTAAAGCTGTAGAAAGACATAGCAAATTAACATTGTATTTTAATCTGTTTTAGAGAAGTAATGAAGTATGAGTGAAAGTTTTTCTATTTTTAAACATCCTGGCTATTATTTGCTGTCTAAAACCAAAACAATCATGTTACTTCTGTTACCAGAAAGGGGTCCTGATCCAGACCCCAAGAGAGGGTTCTTGGACCTTGTGCAAGAAAGAATTTGGGGCAAGTCCACAGAATAAAGTGAAACCAAGTTTATTAAGAAAGTAATCGGCTGGGTGTGGTGGCTCACATCTGTAATCCCAGCACTTTGGGAGGCCAAGGTGGGTGGATCACTTGAGGTCAGGGGTTTGAGACCAGCCTGAACAACATGGTGAAACCCTGTCTCTACTAAAAATAAAAAAATTGGCAGGGTGTGGTGGCATGCACCTGTAATTCCAGCTACTCAGGAGGCTGAGGCACCAGAATAGCTTGAACCCTGGAGGCAGGGGTTGCAGTGAGCCGAGATTGTGCCACTGCACTCCAGCCTGGGCGACAGAGCAAAACTTCATCTCAAAAAAAAAAAAAAAGGAAAGTAAAGGCATAAAAGAATGGCTACTCCATAGGCAGAGCAGTGGCATGGACTGCTCAACTGAATACACTTATAGTGACTTCTTGATTACATCCTAAACAAGAGGTGGATTATTCATGAGTTATCTGGGAAAGGGGTAGGCAGTTTCTGGAACCGAAATTTCCTCCCCTTTTTAGACTGTATAGGGTAATTTCTGAACGTTGCCATGGCATTTATAAACTGTCATGGTGCTGGTGGGAGTGTCTTTTAGCATGCTGATGTATTATAATTCATATATAATGAACAATGAGGACAACCAGAGGTCACTTTCATTGCCATTTTGTTTTTTGGTGGGTTTTGGATTTTTTTTTCCACTACATCCTGTTTTATTAGCAAGGTCTTTGTGACCTATATCTTGTTCTGACCTCCTATCTCATCCTGTGACTAAGAATGCCTAACCTCCTGGGAATGAAGCCCAGTAGGTCTCAGCCTTATTTTACCCAATCCCTTTTCAGGATGGAATTGCTCTTGTTTGAATGCCTCTGACACGTTTTTTGTTTTTTGTTTGTTTGTTTGTTTTTGTTTTTGTTTTTTTTTGAGATGGAGTCTCACTCTGTCGCCCAGGCTGGAGTGTAGTGGCGCAATCTCAGCTCACTGTAACCTCCACCTCCTATGTTCAAGCGATTCTCCTGCCTCAGCCTCCTGAGTAGTTGGGATTACAGGTGCCCACCACCATGCCTGGCTAGTTTTTGTATTTTCAGTAGAGCCAGGGTTTTACTGTGTTGGCTAGGCTGGTCTCAAATGCCTGACCTCAAGTGATCCACCCACCTTGGCCTCCCAAAGTGCTGGGATTACTGGTGTGAGCCACTGTGCCCGGTCGCCTCTGATACTTCTCTACTTAAAAATCTTAGGCTTGAAAACGATAATCTTGGCTTGAGCTCAGATCATCACACATATATTAGGTGACTGTCATGTTCCAGGCCCTCAAATAAGATGTATGAAAAGGTTAATAATAGGTAATCCCTGCCCTTAAAAGTAAATTCTACTGATGATTTCACACTGTTTACAGCAGTTTCTCAAGATGTGATCCACTGACGTCCCATCCACATTTCTGGTATGGACTAGAACTACAGTGGACAGGCTGGGCATAGTGACTCACACCTGTAATCCAAGAACTTTGGATTCTAAGGATTGACTCGCTGAGGCTGGGGGGGTCACTTGAGCTCAGGGTTTGAGGCCAGCCTGGGCAACATGACAAAACCCCGTCTCTACTAAAAATACAAAAATTAGCCGGGTGTGGTGGTGCATGCCTGTAATTCTAGCTACTTGGGAGGCTGAGGTGGGAGGATCATCTGAGCCCGGAGATCAAGGCTGTGAGTAGAGATTGCACCACTGCACTCCAGCCTGGGCAACAGAATGAGCCCTATCTCAAAGACATCAGCAATTGGGCTGGGCATGGTGGCTCATGCCTATAATCCCAGCTCTTTGGGAAGCTGCAGTGGGCGGATCACCTGAGGTCTGGAATTTGAGACCAGCCCGGCCACATGGCAAAACCCTACTTCTACTAAAAATACAAAAATTATCCAGGTGTGGTGAGGTGTGCCCATAATCCCACCTACTTGGGAGGTTTAGGCACGAGAATTGCTTGAACCCGGGAGGCAGAGGTTGTAGTGAGCCAAGATTGCACCACTGCACTCCAGCCTGGGTGACAGAGTGAGAATCCACCTCAAAAACAAAACAAAACAAAGCAACAACAACAACAAACAAAACAAAAAAGAACTATAGTGAACCAGGTAGGTGTGAGCTCACTTAGAGTAGAGTGAGAGCAACACAGGGAAGCTGCTCAGGGGATACCAGTTTCCTGTTTGGTGCTGGAAATTGTTGATGAAAAGAGTCAATTCTGTAAAATATTTGGAGATTTACCCTTAGCCAAATGTGAGGACCATGACCCGTGACACAGCCCCAGGAAGTCCTGAGAACCTGTGACCAAGGTGTTCAGGCTACAGTTTTGTTTTACATGTTTTAGGGAGACATAAGACAACAATCAATATATGTAAAATGTACATTGGTTCAGTCCAGAAAGGTGGGACATCTTGAAGCAGGTTGTGGGGGCGTTTCCAGGTCATAGATGAATTCCAAGACTCCCCGATTGGCAATTAGTTGAAAGAGTTAAATCTTTAAAGACCTGAAATCAATAGAACAGAGGGTCTGGGTTCAGGGGCTGTGGAAACCAAGGTTCTTATTATGTAGATGAAGCCTCCAGGTAATAGGCTTCAGAGAAAATGCATTGCAAATGTTTCTTATCAGATTTAAAAAGATGCCAGACTCACCGGGTGCTGTGGCTCATGCCTGTAATCCCAGCATGCTGGGAGGCTGAGCCAGGTGGATCACCTGAGGTCAGGAGTTCAAGACCAGCCCGGGCAACATGGTGAAACCTTGTCTCTACTAAAAATACAAAAATTAGCCAGGTATGATGGCAGCTGCCTATAATCCCAGCTACTCGGGAGGCTGGGACATGAGAATTGCTTGAACCCAGGAGGCAGAAGTTGCAGTGAGCCGAGATTGCGCCACTGCACTCCAGACTGGGCGATAGAGCAAGACTCTGTCTCCAAAAAAAAAAAAAAAAAAAAAATAGATGCCAGACTCTTAGTTAATTCTCTCCTGGATCAGGAAGAAGACCTGGAAGATGAAGGGGATTCTCTACAGAATGTAGATTTTCCCCACAAGAGACAGCTTTGCAGGGCCATTTCAAAATGTGTCAAATAAATAAATTTGGGGTTAAAATATTTTGATTTCTTTCAGGTCCTGCTAGCTGTCGTGCTGGTATCTTACTGCTACAGAGTCTGATGTGTCAGTCTTAAGATCTCTGTTTTAATGTTAATGCTGGTCAGCTGAGCCTGAATCCCCAAGGGAGGAGGGTATAATGAGGCATGCCTGACTCCCGCTTCCCATCGCGGCCTGAATTAGGTTTTCAGGTTTCTTTGGCGTGCCCTTGGCTGAGAGGGTGTCCATTAGTCAGTTGGAGGTCTTAGAATTTTATTTTTGGTTTTCAAAGTCCAGGGCTTGACTCTGACACAAAGGTGTGGAGAAAGCTGTGGAAAAGGGGGTAGGAGGTGGACGCTGGTTGCTCCAGTGTTCTTTCTAAAGAATTGATCACATCTTATACCAGTGAAGAGAACTACTGGGGCTAAGGGAGGTCTAAGCTTTTGGCAAAAGGGAAATGCATGAGGAATTCAGGCCCTACCAGGTCTCCTTACTTGGACCCTCCTACACTGTGGCTGCCCAAATGAAACTTGGCTTCCCAGAGTTGGCTGACAGAGCAAGAGCTTGTTTAATTTGTGAGTACTGGACACCAAATCATTATTTGTGGCAGCTCTGATATTGGCAGATGGGAGATTTAGCTCTGTCCTGTTTATATAACAGCAGTTGATAGATAGTGACTTCATAGTTGGATATTTATGAGAGGTTTCATTTCAAATAATATAGTTTTGGCCCATGGCAATGCTAAGGCTCTTACCCATTATTACTGAGAAGCTAAATCTTTAGGATATTGTAACTATAACTGCAGGGTCCTTTTGATGTACCCGGAAGAGCTACAAAAGTTAATATTTTTCGAAGCGATGAAAGCTTTATTATAAAAAGTCTCATTAGGAAGTTATCTGTCCCTAAAACATATAGCCTATCAGAAGGTCGGGTATATAGAAAGGCAACATTTCATACTTTTCTTTCACTCTGTGACTTCTATCACATAACAACGTAATTAAAAAGAAAAAAAAGTCTCCTGCTTTCCATTACAGAAACCAAATGCCTTGCCATTGACTGAGTAGCAGCATAACCATCGTTGACAAGCACCTCATTTTAAAATTCACCTTAATAAAAAACCGCTTAAATCCAAAGGGCATCAGCCTAATGGCTAAGGTCAGCATGAACATAAACCACAAATAACTTCTCCAATCAGAAACATTCCAAACTCCTCCCTGACCAGAGACATGCTAGCCCCAAGATAACCCCCCACCAGCTGGGAGGATGCCAGCCTTGAGATAACCCCACTCCGGCTGGAAAGATGTCAGCCCCAAGATAACTTCCCCTCCACCCAGAGACATTCCAACCCCACCATAAACTTCTCCTTCACACAGAAACACTCCAAGCTTGTGATAAGCCCCCTCACCCTAAAACCAATATATACTGTTAGTCTGCAAGAGAAAGTGCTCCTGACTGAAATTGGCCAGAAGCCCCTCTCAGGGTTATCTCTCTAAAATAAACCTGTCTTTGACTGTTAAGCTGCGTTTTGTGTTTCCTCTCTCTTTCTTTAACTCTTACAGCCATGCCCTCTAGCCAGTTCCTGGTTTTGAGGGAAGCTGGTGAAGTCCATCCTCACTGTTTTAGGACAATAACCATGGCTGTGTTAGGCGCTGAGGCTGTTCACAGTCCTGTAAGCTGTCATCAGATAGTGAGTGTCCTGTGTTTCCCCAGTTGTGAAAGAAGATTATCCCTATTTTAACACTACTGGAGGAGATCTTTGGGATTCTGTGGGTTTTAAATCCTTATTCTGTGATAGCAGACCCTTGGCAGCAGTGGAAGTGGCAGGATCTGAAAAGGATGATTGGGTTAAGTGGTGCAAAGACTCTTTAAGGATAGGCACTGGGAATCTGTGGAGAAGCCCGATGCTGCTCAGCTGTTCCCAAAAGGAAGGTAGAGGCACTGGAGGACCTGAGTCATGGTGGCTCTCTTGGTTTGTGGGAGACAGAGCAAGAGTTAAAATGGTTGGAGGAAAATTGGGCAAGAAATGATGGTGATGGGTAACTTAGCAGAGGGCTTAAATTTTTCCTTTTCATGGGCCAGGCAAGGTGGCTCATGCCTGTAATCCCAGCACTTTGGGAGGCTGAAGCAAGTGGATCACAAGGTCAAGAGATTGAGACCATCCTGGCCAACATGGTGAAACCCCATCTCTACTAAAAATACAAAAATTACCTGGGCATGGTGGCACGTGCCTGCAGTCCCAGCTACTTGGGAGGCTGAGGCAGGAGAATCGCTTGAACCCGGGAGGTGGAGGTTGCAGTGAGCTGAGATTGCACCACTGCACTCTGGTCTGGCAACAGAGTGAGACTCCATCTGAAAAAAAAAAATCCTTTTTGTTTTGTAATGCAGGAAATTGAAAAGGACACACAGTAACCCCTCACTCTTTGAGGTGGCCAGTGAGAGGAGTCAGAGCTGGTGTTAAGGGCTGAATTCTGTCATTTCCAACCCTCTTCATCCCTTGCCCAGAAATTCATATGCTGAAGTCCTAACCCCCAGGACCTCAGAATGTAACTGTATTTGGAGATCAGGTCTTTAAAGAGGTAATTAAATTAAAATGAGGTCATTCAGGAAAACCCTAATCCTATATGACTTGTGTTCTTATAAGAAGAGGAAATTTGGACAGGCACAGAGCAAAAGACCATATGAAGACATCAAGAGAATGGCCAATTATAAGCCAAGGAGAGAAGACTCAGAAGAAACTGGCCCTGCTGACACCTCAGACTTCTGGCCTCCAGAACTGTAAGAAACTTATTATCTGTTGTTTAAGCCACCTAGTCTGTGGTACTTTGTTATGGCAGTCCTAGCAAACAAATATACCTGGTTGGATTATTTGTGGGGAGAAGGAGAGAGGCAAACTCTAATTTGTAACTAAGCATATCACCAGGCGCACCTGTGAGTTTGGAGCTCAGCCTTGTCTTGTGCCTGGACCCTTCTGCAAGTTCCCAAGCTTAAGCTGGGACTTTGCTCTCAGGTGCTATAAGGGGTCTGGTACCTCAGCCCAAATAAGACATTGGGCTTTAAAAACTTAATGCTAGGCTGAGCGTGGTGGCTCATGCCTGTAATCCCAGCACTTTGGGAGGCTGAGGTGGGTGATCACTTGAGGCCAGGAGTTCAAGAGCAGCCTGGCCAAAACAATGAAACCCATCTCTACTAAAAATACAAAAATTAGCCAGGCATGGTGGTGCACGCCAGTAGTCCCAGGTACTTGGGAAGCTGAAGCATAAGAATCTCTTGAACCTGGGAGGCAAAGGTTGCAGTGAGCCAAGATTGCGCCACTGCACTCCAGCCTAGGTGATAGAGTGAAGGAATGTGTCTCCAAAAATAAATAAATAAAAACTTGACCAGGCACAGTAGCTCATGCCTGTAATCCCAGCACTTTGGGAGGCCAAAGCGGGCAGATTGACTGAGGTCAGGAGTTCAAGACTAGTCTGGCCAACATGGTGAAACCCTGTTTCTAGTAAAAATACAAAAAAAATTAGCCAGACGTGGTGGCAGGCGCCTGTAATCCTAGCTACTCAGGAGGCTGAGGCAGGGGAATTGTTTGAACTAAGGGAGGTGGAGGTTGCAGTGAGCTGAGATCGTGCCACTGCACTCAAGCCTGGGCGACAGAGCGATACTCTTTCTCAAACAAAACAAAACAAAACAAAACAAAACAAAACAAAACAAAACACTTAAGACTAGATTTTCCTTTCATATATTTTATGTCTCATTAATTATATTTTAAGAAAGAGTTACTTTCTTAAATAATATTTCTTCAATCTATAATTTTGAAAAATATTTCCTCCCAAATTTTGTTTCTTGTTATTTTTCTTTTTCTTTTTTATTTTGAGACAGGCCTTTCACCGAGGCTGGAGTGTACTGGCATGATCATGGTTCACTGCAACCTCTGCCTCCAGGCTCAAGCAATCCCTCCACCTCAGCCTCCTGAGTAGCTAGAATTACAGGCATGCGCCACCACACTAATTTTTATACTTTTTATAGAGACGGGGTTTTGCTATGTTGCCCAGGCTGGTCTGGAACTCCTGAACTCACGTGATCTGCCCACCTTGGCCTCCCAAAGTGCTAAAATTGCAGGCATGAGCCACTGTACCCGGCATCTTGTTATTTTTCTACTAAAGAATCAAATCCAGCATTTCACAAAATGTGTTCCATAAACTATCCATGAGCTATGCTAGTATAATTTACTCACAAGTAGGATTCTGTCATCAAATACATTTTGGAAACACTGTACCTGATATCCCCCTTAGACATTCATAATGTACATTAGTATTTTGAAAGTTCTGACAAGTCTTGAAACAGGCAGCCCTTTAACTTTATTTAATTCAGTATTTTCCAAAATTATTGGACTAAATATGCCTTTTTATCCCCAGATCATCTAGCCGAAGTGGTGTTTGTAAGAATCATAATAACAGCAGGTTGTATGTATGTATATATCCCTGTACATAACAGGGATTGTTATGTACAGGGCATTGCTTTAAGCAATGTACATGTTTTTTTTTTGTTTTGTTTTGTTTTGTTTCGAGACAGAGTCTCACTCTGTTGCCCAGGCTGGAGTGCAGTGGCTCGATCTCGGCTCACTGCAACCTCTGCCTCCCGGGTTCAAGCTGTTCTCCTGCCTCAGACTCCTGAGTAGCTGGGACTACAGGCGTGTGCCACCACACCTGGCTAATTTTTTGCATTTTTAGTAGAGACAGGGTTTCACCGTGTTTGCCAGGATGGTCTTGATCTCCTGACCTCGTGATCCACCCGCCTCAGCCTCCCAAAGTGCTGGGATTACAGACGTGAGCCACCACGCCTGGCCTAAGCAATGTATATGTTTTAATTTATTTTATCTATGTAATAACCCAGTGAAGTAAGAACTATTATTATTGCCAGTTGACAGACGAGGCACAGAGAGAGAAATTAATTTGACTAAGACCACACGGCTAGTAAGTATCATAGCCAAGACTCAAACCCAGGCTTTCTCACTCCAAGGACTCTTGGGGAAATACTGCTCTAGTCTCCAGGACAGAATTTGGTTCAATATTTCTGTACTCAATGAATATATTTATTAACTCTACAAATGTTTATTAGATTCTTTTTATGTGGAGTCACTATGTTAGGCACTGTGGGGACTCAGGGAATAAAGGCAGACAGAGTCCTTCCCTGTATGAAGTCCACATCTCAGCGAAAGACAAATAGTTAACAATGAATGATTTGGATACATGTACAATTACAGCTGTGATCACATTGATGGGGCTTTTAATGAAAGGCATGTACTGCTATAGTCTATGAAACACAGGACTTGAGCTTTTTGGAGAGGAAAGAAAGGCTTCTTCGGGAAGTAAATATTAAGCCTAAAAATAATTCTATAAGGACCCAGACCTATGGGTGATAGTTGGTGAAAACTCCCGTAAAGACTTTACTTATTGGAAACTCTGTGTTTTAACCTTTAATGCAAAACTTTATGTTGAGTGCCTGACTTCTAAGTTACTTACGGTGTTAGGCACCCGATGGCTTCATTCTCCTTTCCCACTTCCCTGCCCAAATGTCTTCCATTCTTCATTAATCCCAAGGCAAATGTTTTAATATGCTTTCTTTCTAAGAGGACATGCTCATTTGCTCTTGGATTAAGCCATACACGGAAAGACTGAAGATCCAGTATAGAGTTTCCTTAAAGGAAACCTACCCAGATGTGGTCCCTATGTCAGCTCTATATGTTGACAGGCTGCTATTTTATTTTCCATAATATTATTTAGAACAATTTTTTTAAAGAAGAGTTTGGGAATGGTGGAAATGACGGCTAAAATTTTATATGTAAAAATAGGAAAGGGAGGAGTGTGTAGTTCAGGGACTGACCTATTCATTATAAATTCTAGAGATTTCACTTCACACTCTTAGCAGCACTGATTTCCTACTTAAACTTGCAGGAGAAATAAAATGGGTTTTGATTTGGGCTGTCTGACTAGACTTTAGTTTTAGCTGAGCCCAAAAAAGAGCATCTGTCCTTGCAAATGGAAACCCAGTGTTTGATATCCACTCTTTGTTTTTAAGGCTCTCTTAAATCAAGAGGCGTACGGCCATTAGGTGCCAACAAAAACCAGTTAAGCCAGAAACTGTGAATTTTGTTTTGTTTCACCAATAATGTGCCTTTTATTTTTATATAGTGACCTCACAGCCAAAGTTCCAATAAAAAAGAGATAACATTTATGGAGCATGCAACAATCGGCCAGGAACTGTAAGTGTTCTGCACACTTGGTATCGTTGTGTGCACTGCACACATTGCATCATTGGAGGCTATAAGGACATTTTTCCTATTTTACAGAGAAGGAAATAAGGTACAAAGAGGTTAAGTCAGGTCACACAGCTAACTGGTGACAGGCAGAGCCAGGGCAGAAACCTAAGCTGACTCAGGTCAAAGCCAGCCTCCTAACCTCTCCAGTATCCTCCCTGGATTCTTCACAGGGTCAGTTTGTTTCTTCCCATCACCCTTATGAGTTACTGGCTTTGGAGATGGAAAGTTCAGTGGACATTTCTAAGGTGGGAAAGTGAAAGGGGCATGATCTTATTATTGTTTGCATTTCTTTCATTTCTGTTATTGTCTAGCTTGGATCCAGATTCTGGAGACTTCTAACAACTTGTAAGAATGAGGCTGTATGGTGTAGTGGATGAAGCACAGGTTTTGTTTTGTTTTGTTTTCTTTTTGAGACAGAGTTTCACTCTCATTGCCCAGGCTGGAGTGCACTGGCATGATCTCAACTCACTGCAACCTCTGGCTCCCGGGTTCAAGTGATTCTCCTGCCTCAGCCTCCCGAGTAGCTGAGACTACAGGCGTGTGCCACCATGCCCAGCCAATTTTTGTGTTTTTAGTAGCGACGGGATTTTACCATGTTGGCCAGGCTGGTCACGAACTACTGACCTCAGGTGATCCCCCCACCTCAGCCTCCCAAAGTGCTGGGATTACAGGCGTGAGCCACCGCACCCAGCCCAGGCAGAAGTCTTGAGGCCAAATAGACCTGGGTTCAAATCGAAGCTCTGCCACTTCCCAACTATGTAACCTTGAGCCGGCCATTGAATCTCCTTGAATCACTGTTTTCCCCTCTGCAAAATGGATTAATATCATCTACCTTATAGGACTATTGTCAGGATGAGAGATAGGGTAGGTGAGGTGCTTAGTACATAGTTGTCACATAAAAAATTGTAGCTATTAACTAGCATTTATACACCATGGACTTCCGTCCTTTCATGCAACTTGTAACATCAAGTCTCTCTATCTGAGAAAAAGCAAAATAAAAAAATAAAAACACCTCTGATGGACTGCACTATGGTGATTATTCTTAATATTTTCCCCCAGCAAACTGCATAAAAGTTACTTTACTCCTGTGTTCTATTTGGAAAACATTACAAAACTTTGAGCAGACAGTGGTGCTGTGACAACACAGTGCTTACCAAAGCACAGTATGCTTTTCTGATAAAGATGTAACTTTATTGCCCTTTATGTACTCTCTTGGTTAATATAGTAAGCAAATGGGAGATAATTTGAAATACCTTTACTACCATTTATAGTGTCAGAACATACAACTTGCCTTTAAAAATGTGAAAGATTCATTGCAATAGAAGGCATTGTGTATACATACAAATGCATTTTTAAAACAATCACCAGTGGAGTGCTGAGAGGAATCATGAGCTGAGATCTTTCACCTTTGTAGAGATGAAATAGGATGTTCTTGTTAACTGTGTTCTTGGAGCAGTGAGCCAGGCTGCTCCAATATGCACTGTGGGCAAGATGCCAGCTTTTGTGATCTCCTTTGCAGGAACTTTTAGATGGAAGAGGTGAAAAGCAGGGTCCTCTAGGCTAACAAATGACTTTAAGTCTTTTCTGGGGAAGAATGATCTGATTTGCTAGTAAAGATTCCAGAGATGCCCCTGCCTCAAATTTCTGGTGGGTGGGTTAGGGTGTGGAACAGTTCTGGCAGATTGAGAGAGATCATCAAGACACAGGCCACAGATAATGCCATTCAATCTTTATGAGGTCGCGGCTTGCTGTTGTTCTATAGATGTTGTAATCTTGCAGCCCTGCTTCTGCATAGGCTGAGCATGAAGCTGAGTGCACAGAATCCTTTGAGGAGGTCATGGGATTGGTGAAAAGATGCTAGGCCTAGAAGACATGGCTTCTAGTCTTGGCTGTGCCCTGTTTGATTTTGGACGCATCCTGTGTCGTCTCCCACCCTAGTTTCTACTAACATGACATATAAGCTGGCTGCACTTCATCAAGTCCCAGCTACTGATTTTCTGGGAGTATGTAATATGTGTATAACCATGTATCAGATTGATTAGGACCCATTTGTGTGACTGATATCACATGTCCAAAATAGTTTCACATTTATAATCTTAATTTTTAACCATACTACAAACCTGTGAGATAGAAAGGGTGAATATATTTGTTCCCTTTGACGTATTAGAAAACTTAGGCAAATAGAGATTCAGTTAATAGTAGAGTCCAGGTCTCTTGACTCTCATTCTTGGGTTCCCACACTAAATTAAACTGGATTAGTCTTTTGGGATAAGTCTGAAATGGAATGCAACTAGATTCTTTGTGGAAAAAATAACTTAATAAATTCTATTCAATTCCTAAATGAGTAGATAAAAAACAAAGTTGTATTTCCCTTGTTGAGAATTTGCCTTTGAATCCCTCTGTGAAATGAATTAGAATGTTTTCTTAGGATGTAAGAAATATACAAACTCAGAAAAAGCACATCTCACATATTTTTAAATGGATAATTTCTCCTGGGACTTCTTTACATTCTGAAAATTCACTTTATTATTGCATTCTAAAGTTTGTGGCTTTAAATGCCATGGCATCTGAGTCTAACTTTTATTGGTGATATTTGTGGTTATCAGTTTCCACTGTCACCCTGTCCCATTTCCTTTGTTTTGTTCCATAGATATGATTTGGTTTATGAATGAGGGCTTTTCGATCCTTCAAGATATGTTTTTGTGAATTGGTTCAATAATTTGTTATTGAAAAGCAAAATCCATCAGAGACATGTTTGCCTACTTCCTTTAAAAAGAAATATTTTCATAGAGACCAACTGTCTATTCATCATTCATGCCTCTTCTTTGTATGTTTTAAGGACATAGCCACAATTCTTGTTCGTTAAATGTGTCCATGAATGTATTCAACCTGAAATCCCAGCTTCAAAACTTCTAAAATTTGGAAATTACACAAGTGTCTTAGTCCAAAAAGAAACTGCAGGCCTCTGCCTTGGGTGCAGACACAGAGTAAGTTGGCAGGCCAGACTCAAAGAGGCCCTGAGAAGGAGAAGGAAGTCTGACTCTCATTCTTGGGTTCCCACACTAAATTAAACTGGATTAGTCTTTTGAGATAAGTCTGAAATGGAATGCAACTAGATTCTTTGTGGAAAAAATTTGGAGTTGCCTTTTTATGTCACAACTCTGATGATCGCATATTTCTCAGCTGAGTGCTCCCTCCTTTCATTACTCTGAGTTCTTAGTGAAGCTTTTGACTCAGACCCCTGACCTTGAGGGCTACCTATGAGGCATCATTCAAGCCAGCTGCCCCCTCCTACCCATTACAGAAAGCAGGTTCTTTGATTGCAGGTAGTCTAACTTTTTGCATTCCTGTGAATGTTTTTAATTGATTTACATAAACTCAAATTAACTTTAACTAAGGTTAAGGTTTAGTGTCTCAAAAACTGGGAGTTGCAACAAAGAACTGCTGTATCCCTGTATGCCTGCATCATTCTTCAACCACAAATTTATCATTGGATGCTTTTTTGTCATGTTATGGCCACATCAGAAATAGATGTTGTATTAGTTTATTCTTGCTTTGCTATAAAGAACTACCTGAGACTGGTAATTTATAAAGAAAAGAGGTTTAACTGGCTCATGGTTCCACAGGCTATACAGGAAGCATGGCTGGGGAGGCCTCAGGAAACTTTCAGTCATGGCAGAAGGTGAAGGGGAAGCAGGCTCGTCTTACATGGCTGGAGCAGAAGGAAGAGAGAAAAGGGGGAGGTGCTACACACTTTTAAACAACCAGATCTCGTGAGAACTCATCATCACGAGAATTGCAAGGGGGAAGTCCTCCCCCATGATCCAATCACCTCCCACCAGTCCCGTCTTCCAACATTGGAGATTACAATTTGATGTGAGATTTGGGTGGAGACACAAATCCAAACCATGTCAGATGTCCTGTTCCTTCTTGGCACTAACATAGGAGATTCAATGAAACAGAAGGAAAAATTTGCTTTCTGTCTGCTCTACATATTATTCATATTCAATAGTCATATCCTGTTGGACGTTTCCATGTGGTGGACACACTGTATTATTTCACCCTCCTGAAAATGTAGTTTTCATGAAGTTGTTGTCTTTTCCACCAAGGCACGTGGTATCTGTCTTCCCATCTGGCTTCACATGTGGAGAGCTTGGAAAAATACAGGTCTTGAGTCCATAAGTCTGAGTTGAGACTCTGGGGTCAGTTGCCTATAGAGCTCCACCAGTGATTCTTATGATCAGCCGGATTCAGGAACCACTGCTTCAAAGCCTGTGTGTCCAGAGTCCCCATGACCACTGGCTAGGTTTGATGATTCACCAGGAGGATTCACAGGACTCCGCATATAGTTGTACTCATGGCTATAATGTATTACAGCAAAAAGATACACAACATTGCCCAACTCTACAACTCTTTAACTCTTGGGTCTCGTCTTCACTGAGAGAGGAATAGCTAGCTGGCTTGTAAATGCAGATGTCCTCAAAGATCACAGGGACATTGGACCATCAGGTAGTTATTTACTCACTTTTCATGTTCTATTCTCTTTCCTAGTTTTCAAATGGGATTGCATTTTATCTAATGTCTGGGAAGGCACAGTTAGAAGAAATGATATTGAGTGGTTAAGTTTCATATCATAGCCAAGTCACTGAAAGCTATGAATCACATGATTCCCCTTCAGATCCCCCAAAAGAAATCATAATTTTGAAGTTCAACCTTGTGGGCCACCAGGAATATTCTTAGGCATTTGTTTTATGTTAGCAATACGTTGACACTTTAATTTTCTGCAGCCAGAGGCATCTCCCTGCATCTACAACCTTCCAAGATTACCTGGTAAAATAGAGCTGTCTGCTTTCAGGCAGCTGTATGGCAAAATCAAAGGGAGAGATGATTCTTTATTCTCATGGGAAATTTCCAGATGGAGAATCTGAGCATTTCATTATTCAACCTGCACATTTTCTTCCTTCTAAACAATTAGGCTTTCTCTGAAGTGCTTTTATGCCTATTTACTTTTATTCAGTTCACTTATTCAGGTGAATAGTGGAACAGCATGTCCCTTGCACAAAATTTCTCTTGAACCTAATAATGACAGTCATTTACTCAGCTTACTTTCCAAGGTACAAAAGCTCCTTCTTGTTGGACTTGTTTTCTATTATTTAAATCACTTCTGTCATTCTTCTCTCTTTCCCCATTTCTGTACATCCCTAGAAGTATGGGCCAAAATTGAACTCAGTGTTTTCCACCCAAATATACTGCAGTCTGATATATATTTAAAGTCTTTACAAAACTGTTGAAAATTATATGTAATTTAATATATATTTAATTTTAAAAATAGATTAAACATATTTTCAATTTTTCTTTTAAAAAATATCACACATAACTTACATTGATCACATATTAGGGTGTAATTCCTTGTCTGTTAAAAGACAATTTTAAAAATGTATACGTTTTAAAAAGCAAGGAACTTTGGCAGTAAACTGATAAAAATTCACTATGGGCCAGCAGCTGAGAAGAACTGCTCTCTATGTGTAAGAGTAAGGCACAACATTGAAGAAATACCTTATCTCTTTTTTTTTTTTTTTGAGATGGAGTCTCTGTCACCAGGCTGGAGTGCAGTGGTGCCATCTCGGCTCACTGCAACCTCTGCCTCCTGGGTTCAAGTGATTCTCCTGCCTCAGCCTCCTGTGTAGCTGGGACTACAGGCATGCGCCACCACACCTGGCTAATTTTTTGTATTTTTGGTAGAGATGGGGTTTCACCATGTTAGCCAGAATGGTCTCGATCTCCTGACCTCATGATCCACCCACCTTGGCCTCTCAAAGTGCTGGGATTACAGGCGTGAGCCACTGCACCTGGCCAAAAGACCATATCTTGATCTCAAACTCCCACTAACTGCAGATCTTTATGCTTGTCACTATACTTGCCTTGTGTATTAGTTCGTTTTCACACTTCTATAAAGACATTACCTGAGAATGGGTAATTTATAAACAAAAGAGGCTTAATTGACTCACAGTTCTGCATGGCTGGGGAGGCCTCAGAAAACTTACAATCATGGTGGAAGGCAAAGGGGAAGCAAGGCATGTCTTACATGGCAGCAGGAGAGAGAGAGAGCAAGGAAGTGCTATACTTTAAAACCATCAGCTCTTGTGAAAACTCCCTCACTATCATGAGAACAGCATGGGGGAAACCACCCCCATGATCAAATCACTTCCCACCAAGTCCCTCCCACGACATGTGGGGATTACAATTCGAGATGGAACACAGAGCCAAACCATATCACCTGGCACTGAAAGCCATACTGTACTTTTCTTCGACGGGGACTCCCCTGCATTGCCTGCTCATTTCCAGCTTGAGGTCTACTGTAATCTCCAGCCCTTTTCTGCTATGCTCATTTCTCCTTTTTTCTTTTCTTCTTCTTTTTTTTTTTTTTTTTTTTTTGAGATGGAGTCTCACTCTGTTGCCCAGGCTGGAGTGCAGTGGTGTGATCTTGGCTCACTGCAACCTCTGCCTCTTGGGTTCAAGTGATTCTCCTGCCTCAGCCTCCTGAGTAGCTGTGATTACAGGCACCCACCACCACGCCCGGCTAATTTTTTTCTATTTTTAGTAGAGACAGGGTTTCGCCATGTTGCCCAGGCTGGTCTCGAACTCCTGACCTCAAGTGATCCACCCACCTCAGCCTCCCAAAATACTGGGATTACAAGTATGAGCCACTGCGCCCCACCCTCATTTCTCCCTTTCATTTGAAATGAACCATCTGCCATTTAGTTGCTATTGAGTGTCTTCCTATATTTTTATGATTTCTTATATTGAGACTATTGCTAGTCTCAGTAGCAAGTTAACTAATAATTATATTTCTATGATTTAGAATATTCCCAACCCCAGCTAGTTTCATGTCCTTTGGAAATTTGGTGAGGTTGTTCTTGATATTTTCAACCAAGAAGTAAATATTTTGAACAACGTGATCACTGGGACTGCTCTGGGTAGGGGATAAAATGGACAGGTTTCGAATATTAGAAGTTTTTACTGAGAACTCTGATGTAGTAGCTACACTTTAGTGCAGAGTGATACAAAATCCAAGAGTCAATGTTCCCCCCGCAAAGTGTATTCTCAAACTATAAAAATATCATTCAACAACAAAAAAGAGAATTCCAAGTGATAAAGAATGCTTAGAAGAAAATCTGTGACATTTTTTGAGAATTGGCTCTTTTGCTATCACCAGGCTCAGCTGTTTAACTGCAAGGCAGGTGTTGTGGTGCAGTGATGTCAAAGAAAACATTGGCTATGTCACCAGCATTTACTATTTGCTTGGCAGAAGATATTAATGGTAGGGTTTATATGTGTGTCTTGAGCATATATGTGTACCGTTTGGGGTTGGGGGAACATGAGGATAGAAGGATGTGAGCCCATTGAGTTTGTACTGTGATACATACCTTCTCCAGATTGGATCTTATAACAATCATTGTATAGATGACCACTTGATTTGGTGGGTAGCTAATATGGTATATTTATTTCACAGTTTCACATCTTTATCATTGTTTTTATATAAAAACAATGCTTAAGTGGGGTTTCAGAACAGATATTTCCTTTTAAACTTTTTTTAAAAAATCACAAATATGATTGGCTCATACAACCACATTTCACCTCTTTTCACCAGCACTCCCACCCATTCCCGTTAGAAATATTTTGTTAAAAAAATCAGGTGATCAAACTCATAGAAACTGAATTGTGAGAAGTATAATGGGAAAAGGAATGAGAACCTGTGGCTCTAGGGAGTTACAGAAGGGAAATCATCTTTTAGAGCCTTGGTTTATTTCTGACAGGAAAGGTAAAGCCGTGCATTTATTAGAACAGGAAGCTAAGAAATTAAAGATGGCGAGATTGTCTAAAATAACTGAGGCTGAACTGGAAGCCTTTACCCTGGCACACTCAAAAATCACTTTTGGTACTGTTGGCTGAGACTGGCCGAGGAATGTGCATCTCTGGCTGGATTTGGAGAGGGCAGCTCACCCGCAACCTGAACATAGGTTCTGTAACGTATCTCATTGTTACTCAGAAAGTTCAGTACTCAGGGCCAGCACGCTCCTGCTCATGCGGGATAAGCCACTCATAGCAGACCAGCTGGAAGGATCAGGGATCTGAGCAAAGCCAAGTTTACTTAAGCTAAGCCACTTGTTCCTGGGTCAAGCAGTTTGTTTTCTAATAAGCATCATTCCTGATCATTAGAGCAAAGGGATGAATGCTCCTCTTGGAATGATACAGGGGATCTGCCACTGGGAGAGTGTTGCTCAGTGTTAGAGTAGCAGCAATGACAGAATGACAGCGACTCTCTGAGTCAACCCAGTACTTTTAGTACCCCATCACTATGTGAATAAAGGCAGCTAGAAAATGGACTCAATTCTGCAAGCCTTCATGGCAACAGCCCATATTAAGACTTCTAGAACAAGTTAAAAAAAAATCTTCCATTTCCATCCATGCATGGGAAAAGGGCTTTAGTATAGTTTAGGATGGATGTGTGTATAATAATAAAATGATAAGATATGCATAGTGGGGGAATAAAGCCTCAGAGTCCTTCCAGTATGGGGAATCCATTGTATCTTAGAACCGAGGGATTTGTTTAGATTGTTGATCTACTAATTTTTTCTTCACTTATATTTGAATTTTCAATGATAGGACTTATTGGAAATTGGGGATAATTCTGTTGTGGTATTAAATAATATTCATTATTTAAAAACTCATCTTGGTATTGAGTTAGTGCATTGACTTCCAATGAATTGACATAAGCCCATATTTCATTTTAACCAGAAACAAAAACTAGAAAATGTTACTCCCTAAATAGGCAACAATGTATTTTATAAGCACTGCAGAGATTTAGTAAAAAACATGTATAGTTACTTTAGAAACAACTTCTGACACTTGAGGGTTACCCAATGGTCTCCTTCCCATTCTTTATATGAGGTAAATGCAAACCAGGGAGCCACCGAATAAACAGCCCTGAGTACATTTGTAATCTTGGGCTCCATGGGAATGTCCTTGATTAAGATGAAAGAGGAATGGACTGATGTTTCTATTACAAGATCCTATAATGCTAGGACTTCTACACAGCTTAGAACAATGGTTGGAGCTTCATTCTTTGAGCAGAAAGACTCAAATATTATTTCAGTCACTTGTAGCACCATTGGATGTGGGTGCACACTTGGCCTAAAATACCATTTACATCATTATCTTGTCCTGTTGAAGACCTATGGCATGCAAGAAATTTAACATTGACTCAAAAATACATGTAGTATGCCCAGTAAAATACATTGGCTAGCATAAAAATCAAAGGAAACAGTAGTTTGGAATAGTGATCAACATTACTGGGGTTTTGAATTGTGAAATAATCAACAATCCTGCCCATCTTTTCTCGGAAGACAAACTTGAACTTGTCGCTGGTTTTCATTGTCAAGTCACTGTAGTCAACGTTGTCGCTGGAAATTTCAATGCTGGCAAAGCTGATCTTCCGTTTAAAGCTGGAGATGGAGCTGTTGATGATATTAGTAATACTGACTTCTTCTACTTCCTTTGTTGTCCCCTAGTTCATAGACAATGCAGTTAGCTTAAAAGACTTGACTCAGCAAAATAAATAAGTAGGTAATGAGCTAATAAAAAGTTTAGAGGCCTAAGTGTTGAATAATTAGGCTTAATAGAGAGTGGCATTGAGTGCTTCAGAAATTGGCCAATAAGCCAGGCTTGGGCTCCTGTTGCCCTGTTTGGAGACACCTATTTGTAGGTCACCAGCATATATAACAGGAGGAGTAAACATGGCCTACTGTGGATATCCTGAGCAGTGTGCCAGATGCGAAATGCTCAGGCTTTGAAGTTAGTGGACCTGGGTTCAAATTCCATTCGGCCTCTCACTATTGTGAAACTTTAGTCACCTCAATCCCTCCAAGACTTTATTTCCTCGCCTGCCAAATGGTGATTGGTATTGCCATCTTGAGACTGATGGGAAGATTAAATGGTAAAAAATGGAAAGCATCTGGTAGGTGTTTGATGACTTCAATTCTGTTCCAGGGAGAAAGGAGTAACTGATTACGAGAGATAATAGAAATCAGCTGTGTCTTAAAGGCTTTGCCACCAAAGCAGAAATAGTGATGCTCCCTGCCATTGCAAGGAGTTGCCATTCTCCAACATGGCTGGGGTCAACTCCCAGGAATGTGGGAGTGTAGTGAAGTCAGAGAGAGTGTGGTTTGGTTCCTTGACCAGGCCGCTTGCTAGGTGTGGGGTCTTATGGGAGTTACCATATCACTGTACAGGACAATGAAATGAGTACCATTATTATCCCAATTTTACCCTTGAGAAATGTGCCACATCAATTAGTGGCACATTTCTCAAGAGTAAAATTGGGATAATAATGGTACTCATTTCATTGTGTTGTTGGATGAACTAAAGGAGATGTTGACGGATGTTTAGGACACAGTGAGTACTCCATAGTGCAGTGATTATCATATACACAGCAGAATAAGAGCTTTCTGGTGTCTTTAGAGGAGGCTGTCAGTATTTCACCAATGTCCATTTTGCCAATCTAGTAAATCCAGATTCTTGGGCGGGGGGATGAGGAGGTAACTCAACTTCCTTCCTCCCTCATAAGGAAGCCTAAGGGAGCAAAATAAATAAAAGCCATGTTCCTCTTTGGCTGGCACACGTGGTCATTTGCCTTTGGTGCTTGGATGACATGACTATGAAACATTACTCACTGTAGCCAAACCCAAGGGAAAAAGCAACTGGATCTTTGGGTCATTTTGATTCCTCATTCTACACTATTAGATCCTCCGTGGTCCTAGCACTTTGCTCAAGGTGGGCACCTCTTCTGAACTGGATCCCTATCATTTTCTTGCTTCTTAGCATGAACTTTAGAATGCCATTATCTATCAAATTTGGCTTCCAAATAACACTAGGGGTCCATGAACCTGTAAAGGGTGATAGTTAAGAGCATGGTCTAATGCTCTCTGCAAGTGGGAATAGCGGATAAGTGTCAGGCTTTGGAACCAAGTAGGTTTAGGTTGGAATCCCAGCTCTACCTCTTAGTATCTATATCCCCTGCGGTAAGTCTCTTTCCCTTCTTGTTATCAGATTTCATAAATTTAAAAAAGGAGACAACCTTATTGGGTTGTTATGAGCATTTAAAATAATATAGTATTTGCAAAAGGCTTGTTACTGTGTCTGGCACATGTAAATGCTTGATAAATAATGACTATTATTATTATTTAGAGAGCTGGACTATAGTGTTCCATTGCTAAACCAAATAATGACAGTTTTTCTCAATTAGCAGAAAAATATGCTCACCAAGAAATTTGTCACAATCTAATATTTCCATACATTTTTCAGTAAAGCATTACTTGTATAATTTAAGGACAAAATAATGCAACAAAAGAATTAAATAGTAAATATATATTAATATAAAACTTGCAAGCAGCTGATCATGTTTTTTTCATATTGGATTCTTCATGGATGCTTGCTCCTGTGGTTGTGATTTTATGCTGCATACAGATAACATATTTTCTGCTGGAAAATTAAACATATTAATATCTCATTGTATTTGGTGAAAAGAATGGTCTTTTTCAAGGGGCACCATGACTTCCAGCTGCTCCCACCTGAACAAGGATAAGACTCACTGGAGCACAGGGAATCACTGCGGGTGGGGTGGGGATAGAAGCCAGGTCCAGCCCATGTCTACAGATCAGCACACGGCACCAGTGATGGATCATACACAGGGCCCTCAAGACTCTTACCCTATCTTTGGCTGCCATCTGCTGTAAGGAACTGTAGTGAGCAACTGCATATTCTAGCAAGGCCCCAAACACAAAGCTAAAGCAGATCCCCAGGTACACATCGATGGCCTTGATGAAGCAGTTGGTGTTGGGAAGAGAAGTGCGGGACCCGATCATCAGTGTGGTCATTGATAACACGGTCGTCACTCCTGGGAAAACAGGCAGGGGATGTTCCTACAAAGTGACTGGTTAGTCCTCCACCATAGCCTGGCAGAGTGTCCCCATTTGAGAATTGGCAGGGTGAGGGCAAGACCCAGAAATGGAATGCATCTCATTTTGAAAAGTCTGCGACCTTCTAGAATAGGGTTGATTTGTCCATTTTGTACAGATATGAGGGATGTGTTTTTTTTTAATGTTTCACGTTCTGTCTTCTCCTGGGAGGGGGTGATAAATATGCAAAAGAACTGACAATAGACCATCTAAGCACAATGATCCCTTACTTGTCACTGTAAAACTTAAGTTTAAAAATGCACCACTCCTGGCAGGGCATAGTGGCTCACACCTGTAATCCCAGCACTTTGGGAGGCCAAGGTGGGCAGATCACTTGAGGTCAGGAGTTCAGGACCAGCCTGGGCAACGTGGTGAAACCCCATCTCTACTAAAAATACAAAAATAAGTTGGGCATCATGGCACATGCCTGTAGTCCCAGCTACCTGGGATGATAAGGCAGGAGAGTCACTTGAACCTGGAAGGCAGAGGTTGCAGTGAGCCGAGATCACGCCAGTCCACTCCAACCTGGGCAACAAGAGTGAAATTCTGTCTCCAAAAAAAAAACAACAACAAAAAACCCAGAATCCTAAAGTAGTCTCTTTCTGTCTCTCTCTTTCTTTCTCTGTAAAAGAATCTCCCAAGAAAACAACTCTTGGAACTGCCTTAGGAATATCAATGAAGACAATGGTAAAAGGAAAAAAAGTAAGTAACCTGATAAGCCAGTTCTTAGAAATCTCCTGTTGGAGCTGCTTACCAATGCAGGTTCTTGCAGGGACTGAATCGAGAGAGATCCAAAATGAAACCCAGGACAACACCACCAGGAAAGTGGAAGGAACGTAGGTTTCCAAAATGAAATACAGAACATTCCTCCGAAGCTCAAACTGTAAGACCAATCTAGTGTAATTTCCTGAAAGGGTAAACAACAGATAGGAAATTGTGTCTGTTCGTGTAGCAAGTGGTTTCTCTATGGGATGCTTAACTATATGTACATTAAGCCCTCTGTCATTGATCTAAATCTGGTTATGTATGAACTGTCATTATGATTTCCACAGGAGACACTGCTGTTGCATTGAATGGGATTTATAGGGGCGCTGTCCTGCCTTATGTCCAACCTGGGCTTTTCTGAATCACAGTATTCCTACAGCAGTGCAATCAATACTGGTTTTCTTGACGTCTGCCTCACTAGACAGTGAGTTCCTTGGGGGCAAACACTGAATCTTTCAGTTCTGCACTCACAAAGTAGTTGTTCAATAAATACCTGTTTAATGAAGATTACCTGTGACCATCTGTTTCTCAAGGAATACTATGGAATAGACCTAATGGACCTATTAAATATAAGTGAATTTTTGATGATTTCAGAGGCACCCCAGATTTTATACTACTTCAGGGCCATCCTTAGGGAATCTAGCAGTGTATTCTAGATGTGGGAAAGGCATGTGTTAGAGAGCTATCAGTAACAGAATTCTCTGTGGTAAATAGGCTACTGTAGCACAAAACATATATGTCCATGGGTTAGAGTCCCAAGCTCTGCTCCTGCTGTGCTTCTATTATGGGGAGGTGAGCAGTAGTGGCCAGCACTGGTGTGGATGCATGAATGAAGAGGTTATCCTCTGGGAACAGGAAAAGTCTGGCTTAGATTGTTGTTGGGGAAAAACAGGATGGTGAATGGGAGCTGCTCCAACCCTCTGTCACCCCCAAATTAAAGCCTGAAATGAGAAATTATACCATTAAAAAAACAACAGACATATGCCTGGATAAATATAGTATAGAATAAAAATATGTACTTTTCGAGCTTGGTGAGACCCTAGAGATTACTTATTATTTTACTTTATTGATGGGTAAATTGAGACACAGGAAGTTTTAGTGATTTGAAAAGGACCTGGAGTTGATGTTAGAAGAAAGAATAAAAACCAGGTCTTTTGCCCGTTGGTCCAGGGATGTTTTATCAGTCTACACTGCCTGCTTTATTTTCTTGATTTTGAAAGTCAATGTTTTAAAAACAAACAAGCAAACCTTAGAATCAACATTTGACTAAATAACGACCCTCTTTTGTACCTAAAGAGGGTGGTTATGTGCTACATGAGATTACATAATTTTGAAAACTGAAGCCATTTTTTATATGAACCCAACTTGGGAATCCAGATTTGGTAAACTATGACTGCATAGCCCTAATTTACAAAGTTGTCTTTAAAAATAAAGTGTATTTATTTGCCCATTATAAAAATAATTCATGATAATTACTTAAATTTTGGAAAATAAAGCCAGGCTTGGTGGCTCATGTCTGTAATCCCAGCATTTTGGGAGGCCAAGGCAGGTGGTTTGCTGGAGCTCAGGAGTTCGAGACCAGCTGGGAAACATGATGTAACCTCATCTCTACAATAATACAAAACATTACCCAGGCATGATGGCACACACCTATAGTCCCAGCTACCAGTGAGACTGAGGTGGGAGGATCACCCAAGCCCAGGAGGTGAATTTTGCCGTGAGCTGAGATTGCGCCACTGCACTCCAGCCTAGGTGACACTAGAGTGAGACACTGTCTCAAATAAATAAAATAAAATAAAGTAAAATAATAAGTAAATAGATAAAAGAAAAAAGAAAAGAAAAATTTGGAAAATAAGAAAAGTAGAGAGAAAAAATCATCTTTCCTTCTATTCCAGTCTTTTCTCTATACATACCCTTTAGTTTCTAATTTTCATGTAACCATGATCTTGGTGTGACATATGATTTTTAATGTCACCTAGGCTCAACTAAAATACACAGTAGGCCGGGCGCGGTGGCTCATGCCTGTAATTCCAGCACTTTGGGAGGCCAAGGCGGGTGGATCACTTGAGGTCAGGAGTTCGAGACCAGCCTGGCCAACATGGCGAAACCCCTCTCTACCAAAAATACAAAAATTAGCCGGGCATGCTGGAGGATGCCTGTAATCCCGGCTACTCAGGAGGCTGAGGCACAAGAGTCGCTTGAACCTGGGAGGCGAAGGTTGCAGTGAGCTGAGATCGTGCCACTGCACTCCAGCCTGTGCGAAAGACTTTGTCTCAATTAAATAAAATAAAATATGTAGTAATTTTTTAGGGTGCAAATATTGATGAGAATAAGCGTTCTTAATATTATCATAAGGAAGTGAGAGGAAAATGCCAGCTGCTTTTATATAACATCACATCTTTCCAAACATGTCTATGTAAAATCGCCAAAGACCAAGAGATGCATTTCTGGTAAATGAAATGAATAAGTAATACTTCCTGCCATGTTTGCAATAATTAGAGTGTTCATGCTCTTGTTGGGCATTGCTGCTGTCTTCTTCATCTTTGAGCTGTATTCTTATTTTTATTCTTCAGTGTCAGAGAACTAGTGTTCCAGTGAGAAATATGAATAAATTTTATGCATGATGGAGGCACGGAATTTGAGCACTCATTAGCAAGTATCTGGAGGTACATGGTGCAAGGCTTCAGAGCTGGTCCAGAGGTCTGTTCCTCAGTGGACCATTTTAATACTGGGTGTGGAGGAGGTGGAATTGCTCAGCACAAACCCTACTGTCCCGCTCCACTGCATCCCAAGGAGGTAAAGTGAGAAGACGATATTTCTGACTCAGAGAGCAACCCTACACCTCAGTTCACTTATTTTTATTTCATACAGTTTGTCACATGAGTTACCTGTCTCCTGCTGCGATCTGGTGACTAAGGTGAAATACCGCTCTATGGTGTACTGAGCAAGCCGCAGGTGTTCCAGTCCACGCACAGAGTCGTTCCCTCTCAGCCAGGTGAACTCCACATCATTTCCATCATAGCCCCCTGGCAAATAAAATGGAGCCCTGGTCAGTGCAAGGGTGTTCCAGATTGAACTGGTCTGGTCTGGAAAATGCTATAATATGGAGACAGCATGAGTTCTTTCTTCATAGTGATAAGTCCAAGGACAATCCCATGCAGAACTTAGCAAGATTTCCCAAGTGCAATTGCAATGTCTGCTCTGAATGAAGTGACCTGCCAGGACGATTTGCCGTCAATTGAGAGCTGGTCTTGTGTTAGGTACTGCGTAGATCTGGTGGATGATAAGTCATTAGAAGTGGCCTCCCTCATTATTTAAATTACATTTATTAAGCACATATCTGTGAACACGCAAAGATACTGCCTTTCAAGATTGTATAATAGCTCTGATGATATTTTCAGGGACTTAAGAACTGATCTGTTCATATTTCTATATTGGCATAAATGCAAAAACAAAAACAAAAAACCTGCTTTATTAAAGCCTGTAAAAATGCACGTTAGATAAGTCTCAAAGCAGTTTAATTAATATACTTGATAATAGTAACAATAGTTACCTTTTGAACATTTATAAGTACTTTATACATTATGTCACTAATGTTCTTGTAAACTTGCAAGGTAGCCATTTCTATATTTCCTCAATTCTAAGATGGACATTTCTTTACATTTTCTGAAATTGAACTGGATCTTGTAGTTGATTTATATCTATATAATATATAAATATTATAATATATATAATATATATAATATATAATATAATATAATATATAATATATAAACGTATATATGTATTTTAATATACAGTAAAGCTTATATTTTTTCCTGAAATGTTATTATTCAATAAATGCTGTTCCATAGAACTCAGTCACTATAATGATTTTCCCACATTATTCTTGAAAACTCTCAGATTCAGAGGGGTTGCATAACTTTCTCAGGATAACAAGGCAAGCAAGAAACAAAGTTACCTTAGGAAAGTTTAATCCCAAAGTCTATGAGTGACGATGATAATAATACCTATCATTTAATAAGCAATTGCATTTCCAAGTGCTTTACAACATTATCATCTCATTTAACCCTCAATGTATCTCTTTGAGAAGATACATGAATGGTTCATAAGCAAACAAAAAGATACTCAACATCACTAGTCATTAGGGAAATGCAAATCAAAACCACAATAAAATGCCTCACACCCATTAGATGGCTGTAATAAAAAAGATAGACAGTAACGAAGGCCAGCACATGCAGAAGCTGGAACATTAGCTAGTGGGAATGTGAAATGGTACAACCACTTTGGGAAACAGTAACAAAGTAGCAATTTCTTTAAAACTTAAATATATATTTACCATTTGACCCAGCATTCCACTCCTAGGTATCTGTCCAAGAGAAATGAAATCCTGTCCACAGAAAGACTCACACACCAGTGTTCATAGCAGCACTACTCATAATAGCCAAAAGGTGGAAACCAAATGTTCATCAACTGATGAATCAATAAATAAAATTTGATATATATATCTATCTCATCTATCTCACATGAATATATATATATATATATATATATATGCATACAAAGAAATACTACTCAGTAATAAAAAGGAATAAAGTACTGATGCAAGCCATAACATGTGTGAACCTCAAAAACATGCTAAGTGAAAGAAACCAGATGCAAAAGACCACATAGGGCTGGGCATGGTGGCTCATGCCTGTAATCCCAGCACTTTGGGAGGCTGAGGCAGGTGGATCACCTGTGGTCGGGAGTTTGAGACCAGCCTGGCCAACATGGTGAAACCCTGTCTCTACTAAAAATACAAAAATTAGCCAGGTGTGGCAGCGCATGCCAGCTACTTGGGAGGCTGAGATAGGAGAATCACTTGCACCTGGGAGGCGGAGTTTGCAGTGAGCCTAGATTGCGCCATTGCACTCCAGCCTGGACAACCAGAGCAAAACTCTGTCTCAAAACCAACCAACCAACCAACCAACCAACCAACCAACCAACCAACCAACCACATAGTGCATGATTCCATTTATAAGAAATATCCAGAAAAGGCAAATTCATACAGACAGCGAGTAGGTTAGTCATCGCCTGGGAGCTGGTGATGGGAAAGAGGCGTGACTGCAGATGGGTACAGGAGTCTCTTTGGGGTGATGGAAATATTCTAACAATGACATGTGGTGATGGTTGCACTACTCGGAAATGTACTAAAAATCTTTGAACTGTACAATTAAAATGGGTGAATTTTATCGTATATAAGTTATACCTCAATAAAGCTGTTAAAAAACAACTCTGAGTCAGACACTATTATTCTTCCCACTTCACTGATAGGAAACTGAGGTCCAGAGACATTAGTTACTCACCCAGAGTCACAGAGCTAGTGATGGCAAAACTCAGTGATTTCGGTACCTGTGATCTTATACATAAAGGTATATTGCCTTTGTTTTCAAAGACTACTGGGAAATGTGATGCCGGTGTTGGAACTAACATTTTGTTAAGTCTCACAGTATGGTATCCATTGTCTAGCAAGGGTTATCTCGCCCTCCCCAGGGAAGAGAAATATAGCCATGAACTCTTAGGGGATTTCCAGGTAAAAACTGTCTGTGGACTTTCCCTTGGAAGCATCCAAACATGTACTAAAGCCAGCTGTCTAAATACGGCTACCATCCCACATTAAAAAAAAAATCTATGAAAGTGGGTAGTACAAGTTTCTACCTGGACACTCTGACTTTACAACTAGTAAATGCTCACAATCATTACATTATGGTCTCTCTGTCCCTGGGTGAATAAGGAAAACTGTGGGATGGTATCAGTTCTTTTCTAGAGATGGTACTTAGAAAAAAACCCATAGTGAGGTTTCTGTACCCAAACACTGCTAATAAACATTCAGAGAAAGCTCCCTCCGCTCACTGGGGATGGTATATGTGAAACAGAGGCTGAACAGAGAAAGCTCCCTCCGCTCACTGGGGATGGTATATGTGAAACAGAGGCTGAACAGAGAAAGCTCCCTCCGCTCACTGGGGATGGTATATGTGAAACAGAGGCTGAACAGAGAAAACTCCCTCCGCTCACTGGGGATGGTATTTGTGAAACAGAGGCTGAGGTTTCCAGGAGAATCTGTCTCCTGGGATTTGAGATGAGCCCAGCCACGATACACGGAAGGTAATAGCTTTTTCCATGTGGGACTGAAAATGAGTTCTCTTTTTGATAACCTCAAGTTTTATTCTGCCACCAAACAGCTGTATTGCTTCAAGAAGTTTCTGCATGCATTTAATCAATAAGATAATTAATCTGTTTTTCTGGGTCTTTAATTAAATGTCTGCTTCTGAAAAATGGCTTCTGCTTCATAATGGCTGTGCTTCTCAGATGTTGCCCACTTGTGACCTTACGTAAGGAGTGCCCACTGCTCTCCAGAGTTTGACTATATTTCTCCCTCCACACACAAGCCCCACCTTGATGCCTTAATAAATCATATCTGCAATGTTGTTTGCCTATCACAGGTGCCCCAGTTTGGTGGGCATTTCGGAGCGGTTTACTAAGGAACAATGGAGATTACTTAACAATGCTAGGGAGTTCATTCATCACACATCAACCTAGAGTTAAATCCTCATTCTTCATCACAGGCAAATCCCCAGGTTACAGTTTAGATGCCCATTTACTGGCATGACTGTGTGAGCTTTATATCTATCAAGCAATTTTTTTTAAAAGTTGGAAGCACGAGTGATAAATGTCAAGGATGGCTTTGCATATTTGCCATCCCTTCTGCTTTGTTCCTTCTTGTACATAATCCTCATCTTAGCAGATTCTGAGTCCCACTCCTTGTCTCTTGGTCCATTCCAGCTGATGCCCTATGTCTCATTCCAAGTGACACTTTCCCTAGGAAAACTCTGACCCCCCCCCCATTACTTTTCATTGTTGTAACTCATTCTGTTATAATTATTTAAAGTCCTGCACCCTCTATTAGACTGTAGAGTTCTCGAAGACTGCAGCATTACTTTTATCTGTGTATTGCAAACATCTACCACAGTACCTCACATAGAATCGTCATTTAATGGTTGAATGGATGAATTGAATGTATTTAAATGAGGATAGACAGATGGAACCCAACCAGCCATCCAGACTGGCTGGAGACTTTAGTGGGACAATATATAAAACTAAAGTATTAGAATGAGAAAAAAGACTTTCCTTAGCAGACACAGGAAAGGACAAACACTGGTCTTGGTCCTAGGTAATGCAAGGGAACTGGCACAGGGATATGTCTGGGACTACTGTGTGGTAATCAGGTTGCAATTCAGTTGAACATTCTGGCAGGATTTGGGGAATCCAACAAAAGCGTCACATGGTTACTCAATTTGGGGAACAATGATGATAATAAATGGACACTGGAGAAATTGGGAAGGAGGTATTAAAAGATTTTCATTATCTCCATATTACTGTTTAAAAGCACTTTATGGTATACTCAGGAAAAATAAGCAGCTCAGATCACAAACAAGCCACTGGAACAAACTCCCTATGTGACTCTCCAGCCCAGTGGAAGGGCTATTAGAGTTCAGGGAACTTGGGACCTTGGGGCCATTCCACCTGGGTTGAAGTCCCCGTGCGGCTACTTCACTTTCCCTTGGGAAAATTGCCAAATCCTAATGAACCTCAATTTCTCTATCTGCAAGATGGGAAAAACAATATACATATCTCTCAGGATTGTTTGCAAGGTGTCTAGTATAGTGACAGACATGGATTAAGTAATTGTTAAATGGATGCTACAGTATTTATTGGGAAAAGAATATTTATTACTACATATATTTTTTTGTTTGAGATGGTGTCTTGTTCTTGTTGCCCAGGCTGGAGTGCAATGGCACAATCTTTGCTCACTGCAACCTCCACCTCCTGGGTTCAAGCGATTCTCCTGCCTCAGCCTCCCAAGTAGCTGGGATTACAGTCACCCACCATCACACCTGGCTAATTTTTGTATTTTTAGTAGAGATGGGGTTTCACCATCTTGGCCAGGCTGGTCTTGAACTCCAGGCCTCAAGTAATCTGTCCACCTTGGCCTCCCAAAGTGCTGGGATTATAGGCGTGAGCCACTGTGCCTTGCCCATTTATTACTATTATTATTACTATTATTGTTAACAAAAAAGTTGTTCAGTCAAGGAGATTGGGGCAACAGCAGATTGAGGCCATAAAACACATTTTGTTACCTCCTCCAAGAAGTCTTTCCTCACTAGCCTCTCTACTTCCTTTGCAATGGGGAGTGAGGTTTTTCTTATTATCACAGTGCTTTGCACAGAAAAAAAAAATAAAATAGTGTTTTAGACATGAAGTCCTTGCCCATGCCTATGTTCTGAATGGTATTGCTTAGGTTTTCTTCTAGGGTTTTTATGGTTTTAGGTCTAACATTTAAGTCTTTAATCCATCTTGAATTAATTTTCATATAAGGTGTAAGGAAGGGATCCAGTTTCAGCTTTCTACATATGGCTAGCCAGTTTTCCCAGCACCATTTGTTAAGTAGGGAATCCTTTCCCCATTTCTTGTTTTTGCCAGGTTTGTCAAAGATCAGATAGTTGTAGATGTGTGGTATTATTTCTGAGGGCTCTCTTTGGTTCCATTGGTCTATATTTCTGTTTTGGTACCAGTACCATGCTGTTTTGGTTACTGTAGCCTTGTAGTATTGTTTGAAGTCAGGTAGCATGATGCCTCCAGCTTTGTTCTTTTGGCTTAGGATTGACTTGGCAATGTGGGCTCTTTTTTGGTTCCATATGAACTTTAAAGTAGTTTTTCCCAATTCTGTGAAGAAAGTCATTGGTAGCTTGATGGGGATGGCATTGAATCTATAAATTTCCTTGGGTAGTATGGCCATTTTCACGATATTGATTCTTCCTATCCACGAGCATGGACTGTTCTTCCATTTGTTTGTGTCCTCTTTTATTTCATTGAGCAGTGGCAACAAAAGCCAAAATTGACAAATGGGATCTAATTAAACTAAAGAGCTTCTGCACAGCAAAAGAAACTACAATCAGAGTGAACAGGCAACCTACAGAATGGGGGAAAATTTTTGCAATGTACTCATCTGACAAAGGGCTAATATCCAGAATCTACAAAGAACTTGAACAAATTTACGAGAAAAAAACAAACAACCCCATCAAAAAGTGGGCGAAGGATATGAACAGACACTTCTCAAAAGAAGACATTTGTGCAGCCAAAAGACACATGAAAAAATGCTCATCATCACTGGCCATCAGAGAAATGCAAATCAAAACCACAAGGAGATATCATCTCATAGCAGTTAGAATGGCAATCATTAAAAAGTCAGGAAACTGCAGGTGCTGGAGAGGATGTGGAGAAATAGGAACACTTTTACACTGTTGGTGGGACTGTAAACTGGTTCAACCACTGTGGAAGACAGTGTGGCGATTCCTCAGGGATCTAGAACTAGAAATACCATTTGACCCAGCCATCCCATTACTGGGTATATACACAAAGGAATATAAATCATGCTGCTATAAAGACACATGCACATGTATATTTATTGCGGCATTATTCACAATAGCAAAGGCTTGGAACCAAGCCAAATGTCCAACAATGATAGACTGGATTAAGAAAATGTGGCACATACACACCATGGAATACTATGCAGCCATAAAAAATGATGAGTTCATGTCCTTTGTAGAGACATGGATGAAGCTGGAAACCATCATTCTCAGCAAACTATCACAAGGACAAAAAACCAAACACCGCATGTTCTCACTCATAGGTGGGAATTGAACAGTGAGAACACTTGGACACAGGAAGGGGAACACAGGAAGGGTGTGGGGAGGGGGGAGGGATAGCATTAGGAGATATACCTAATGTAAATGACGAGTTAATGGGTGCAGCACACCAACACGGCACATGTATACATATGTAACAAACCTGCATGTTGTGCACATGTACCCTAGAACTTAAAGTATAATAAAAATATATATATAAAACAAAAAAAATGAAAAAAGAAATAAAATAAAGTCTTTGTGATTTTTTAGACCTAAAAATGTAGCCCTGGACATATTTGCTGACAAATGATGAGTACATTGATGAAAAGTCCATGACCTTTTTCATATCTTCTACTGGGACCTGTGGCTGATATGATCTTGGGAGAGTAAGGGTGGGTGGGTGGCAAAGAACATGGTCATAGAACTCATCTGGAACCACAGACCCTTTGAGAGTTAGTAATCAGATAGATGGCATAAATTAAATATTAAAAGTTTAGGTCTCAGGGGCTAGTCTATATTTGTTGTCACCGAAATGTTTTTTATGAAATGATTGTCCCACAAAACGCTTATGAAAGAAGATTCCATGGTTTAAAACGTTTGGGAAGTGCTACCACTCCTTCTTGGAATTTCACGTGGAAGTAACTTATTAGAGCCCGTTAAAAACTCTGCAGCAGGCCAGGCACGGTGGCTCACGCCTGTAATCTCAGCACTTTGGGAGACTGAGGCAGGCAGATCATGAGGTCAGGAGATCGAGACCATCCTGGCTAACATGGTGAAACCCTGTCTCTACTAAAAATACAAAAAATTAGCCGGGCGTGGTGGCGGGCGCCTGTGGTCCCGGCTACTTGGGAGGCTGAGGCAGGAGAATGGCGTGAACCTGGGAGGCAGAGCTTGCAGTGAGCCGAGATCGCGCCACCACAGTCCAGCTTGGGCGACAGAGCGAGACTCCGTCTCAAAACAGAACAAAACAAAACGAAACTCTGCAGCAAAGAAGAATGTTAATACTTAAGGCTTTATGAGTCATCTGGTCTCTATCACAAATACTCAACTCTGCCACTGCAGTACAGAAGTAGCCACAGACGGTGTGTAAGTACATGGGCACGACTGTGTGTCAGTAAAACTTCCTTAGCAGAAACAGGTGATGGGGCTGGATTGGGCACACCAGCCGTTGTTTGCTGACCCCTGGCCTAGACCACCAACTACATTAAAGCATTTCCTTTGGTTTTCTTGTCCACTCATAGGTGGAGATATCTGGTACTAATGCATAATGGTTCTCCCCAAAAGATATTAGGCATATCTTTGAGAAGTCTCTAAATCTGTCTGGAAGTACAGTCAGAAGGGCTGAATCCACGATGAATCAACATTAAGAAAAGAAAGGTCACTGTGTATGAGATACTTTTCATGAATACACACACCTAAGTCACCCAGGAAAATCATCTCAGGAGCCTGTAGGATGTATACTTACAGCTTTCCAGCTGCAACTTGCATGTCTGTGTGTCCATGGGGTATTTAGACAGATCCATGTTACATGCAACAGTTGTCGTGATTCTAAGAGGGAAAAACAGGTTCAAAAACAGTATTGTGAGGAAGTTATAGAAAGTTCACATTCCTTCGAAGGCCCACTCAAAGAAGACTTTCACTGGAACTCTTAAATGAACATGTAGCTTGGAGTCTGCATGTAAAGCATCCTTGAGGCTCTGGGTGCTAAAGAATGTGTGCATGAGGCTTGGTTAAACCTGGGTCCAGAGTGGAGGAAGTTGGAATGCTGGCCATTCAAGGGGCAAAACTTCTGGCAGTATCACAGAACAGACAGATGCATTGGCTCGAGATGCTTTAGCATCCAGTTTTTAAATTTTATCTTCCTGACAGACCTGGGTGGGCCTAGAACAGTGTTCACCATCACTATCGTCACCACTTGACAGCAGGCATAGGGACTTGCATAGGCTCATGTGGCTCTGAGTGGCAGAACTGAGGCTGCAGCCTAGGTCTCCTGGCTGTGCTCTTCTCATGAGGCCCTGCCTCCTCATGGGAACCAGGATGCAGAGGCAGTGGGGGCCCCAGGCACTGTGGCTTTGGGGGCTTAACCCCAGAGATATTCAATTAAAGGTCAGTTATGCCCTCACAGTGGAGATTGCATTCACCAGGCCTCTATCTTCCTTTTTCTTCAGTGTCATACATTTTTATTCAGCATCCTTATTTATTAAGCACTGTGCTAGGTACTTGGGGGAAATGGAGGTGATTACAGAATGGTGCTCACCTCCAGGATGCTCACTCACACTCCCTTTAGGGAGACAGAGACTAACAATAGCTATGGTTTACTGAGTGCTTACTGTGAGCTAGTCCCTGGGCTGAGTGCTTTGCATGCATTACCCCTTTGAACAGTTCTACTAGGTAGGAAATATTTTAATTCTCATTTTACTGCTGATGAAACTGAGGCTCTGAGAGTCAAGTAACTTGCCTAAGGTCACAGAGCTGCTGAGGGACAGAGCAGGGACTTGTACCAAAATCTTTATGATTCTAGAGCCAGGCTATTAAAACATCACTCATTATTTGTAATCCTTACACAATATTGATTGTGTTGTGTGCCATAATACAGACAGACACACATGTACACACAAATGCATGCACACACTCACACATCCACATTCACACATTGCTGTGGGAACATGGGGAAGGGGAACATTAACGATGATTGGAATTGAGGTCAAAAGAGAAGTCTAATTATGTTTCATGAGACAAGAATTGGGCTTTGAGATGGTCTTTGCAAAACTCAGTACAGTTGAGGCATGTCCAGAAATTCAGTTTATCGGTTAGCTCAACCCTTGTTTTATAACTTTAGACTCTTACTTAAGATTAAACATCAGCCCCATGAATATTTGGCTCCTGGCCTCCTCCCCAAGGCCTCTGGGAGCTTTAGGTTTGCACAGTCCTTGCACAGGCAGGGATGAGTCCTGTTCCATCCAACCCGGCTCCATTAACAATTGGGTGAAAGGAACTTGAGCTTCAGGAATTTGGGGAGATGGCAAAGGGGAGCCCATGGCTGCAGGTGGCAGAGACTTTGGGGCACTGCACCTTGGTTTTCTCTACAAACATGACTCAGACAAGTAGAGTGGTGTTCTGGAGCTGCTGCAGTTCCACTGGGCCCCAAGAAAGGAAAGTTCCTTGCATGCACCTCTCTGTCGTCTCTGCCATTGCCCTTATTTCTTCCCTTGCTAACTTCCTTTTACCCTTTAAGACATAGCTCAGAATCCTGTGAAAGCATCCTGTAACATCACCCCCAAACCACTCACCTACTCCCTAACTTGGGCCCCAGCACCAGGGACCTCCTTTGTTTCCATGTCCGTGTCTTGAGGACAGGTCAATGCCTTACTCAGCTCTATCCTGTGGCCAGCATGGGGCTTGGCACAGAGCAGGCATTTGGTAGATGATGAACTGAGAGAGGGACCTTCTATTATGGGGGCAAGGATCTAAGAAGCCATGGGACCTCACAGTGGCTATTTGAGTTCTGGTCACAACTACCCAAGACACATCTGCATGTTTTCTCCCAGCTGCCGTCCTCCACCCCTGAGGTCACAGGTGTCCGCGTACCTGAGGGCATACAGGACCGTGCCATTGGAGAAGAGGCGGATGAGCCTGTTTCCCACAGTGACTTCATGGAGGAAGGACTTCTTGGACTCCACAATGTAAGTATCTGGCACCCAGAGGAACTCCACGAGGCGGGCATCCAGAGTGAAGCTCTTGTTGCCTTCAAACACCAGCCGCTGGTCCATCCAGCGCTGTCGGAGGTATATGGTGGCTGTGTAGTCCTGGGAGGGGGAGGCAGGGTATGGAAATGGATGGGGGTAGTGGGTGAGAAAACCCCACCAAATGGAGGAAAGTGGTCAAAGTTTACTCCCCTCCCCACCTCCACTTAGAGCAAGAATACACAGACTTTGGTGAATAAAGTTACCATTCTAATTGCAATATGCCACTACCCCAAGACTGGGGTAACTGATAAGTCACTCCAGTTACCCCAGTCTTGGGTTAGTGGCATATTGCAATAAGAGAACAAATCGCCTTATTTATTCTAGATAATAGCTCCTATTGCCAAAAGGGAACGCCATGTTCAAGACTTTAACTTACTTGGTGTGACAGCTCACATTGCACTGATCACTAAGGCCCCACCAAATTGTTGAATTTTTTGGTGGGCTAAGTGCTTAGGTTGTCCACGATTTATCTGGAATGCACAGCATACCCTCTTGGCAAACTGCCTTTAGTTTGCCCTTGTCTCGAATATGTTCTCTTAAGGGAGACAGTCGTTGTCAGCATCAGCTGTCAGTTTTCCTCGGGTTGTCTCCCCCATTATAAAAGACCATGTAATGGCCAGGCTTGCCTACTACACTTTCATTCCTTTCCCCAAATTTTATCCATCACCAAGTGTACCCACTTCATTGCCTGGTTTCTCTCCTTCTGGCTCTTGAACCGATTTTCTTCCTGCTACTCAGGAAATCTGCTCTACAAGAATCTTCCATTGTCTTACTCAGAAAATCTGCTCTACAAGAATCTCCCACTGTCTTGAGTTTGGAGATAGCACTCCAGCTTCTGCCATTCCAAATGGAGGAGGGCCATGAGCCATTCTTTTTTTTTTTTTTTTTTTTTGAGCGGCTAGAAAGCATATCCCCTTTAAACACACAGAGAGGGACTACTTGGGTAGAGTACAAAGGAACAGCGCTTACCATGTTACTCTCTGAAATGCTAGAGATACTTGCAATGTCCAGAGTCAGCGCTATCTGTACGGGTTCTCCTAAGATAAAAAAAAACAAGAAAGAATGGAAACACAACCATGAGCTGTCTTAATACTATATTAGTGCATTCTAAAAAAGATTAAAATTACAAAAGTTGTGCTTGGTTGTTAGAAAAATTTAAATATTCTATAAATATAAAAAGAAAAATTTTCTTATCCCCTCTCAAGAGTAACCATTGTGTATGGTGTGCCTCTCTTTTGTATGAAAAATATGCACACATACATAGGTATCTTAATATGTAAGAGAGACTACCTGCATAATTAATGCTTTTTAATTATTATTATTATTATTTTTGAGACAGAGTTTCACTCTTCTTGCCCAGGCTGGAGTGCAATAATAGCACGATCTCGGCTCGCCACAAACTCCGCCTCCCAGGTTCAAGCGATTCTCCTGCCTCAGCCTCCCAAGTAACTGGGATTACAGGCATGTGCCACCAAGCCCGGCTAATTTGTATTTTTTTCTCCATGTTGGTCACGCTGAATTAACGCATAAGGAACATAGTGCTAAGACATTTGCCACTTCTTACATGGAGGGTTTTTCCTATGGCATTTGTAAGGAACTAATTGTTTAGAAAGGTAACAGATTTGGTAATCTGATTGCGCACAGATGTTGTTTTATCCCCCACTTGGCTAAGTAAATTTACCACAAGAGGCATTCAAGACTCATGGCTGAGCTTTTGCTGACCTCCTGATACTTTGCTTCTCTTCCTTTACTCTCCTGGAACCCTAAACAATTTAGAATTTCAGAACCTCCACACTTGGTCCAGTGTGCAGACTGTTGGGCCTCAATCCTGGAGTCTCAGCAGACAGATTGAACTTCAGAGAGAGAGAGTTCTATCTCTAGAGACTGAGGTGTCAGAGCCACCTTCAAGAAGCCAGGCCAGGTCAGGGAAGTTTACTTCTCTTTATATGGAGATGTGGAATAATGGACCTAGATCCCAGCTCTGTCACCTCCCAGTTCTTTATTTGGGAAAAGTTATTAAATCTTTCAGAGCTGCAGTTCTCTTACCTGCAAGTGGAGATCATACTGACATCACAGGGTCATGGGAAGGGCTAAATGAGATTAGACGTGTGACATTGTCTTTGTGGAGTGGCGGCAATGGGGAGTGTAAGAGAAGTGCCTGCCTAGCCGGACATCCTGAAGGTGTTCATCATTGGTTATCTGTACAAAGCTCCCAGCGTCATGTCCATCAGTCACGTAATAATAGGCGCTCAATAATGGCATTTCCCTTCCCTTCCCCCTCTCTTCCGTAATCCTAGCTAATTTTGGAAAAGGGACAACTTTATTCACCAGGCTAATAGATGCAATAGCATTCACTTGCAATAAATAACCCCCGGGGGTACCTCAGGGGACTGTGATAATGCATTAACCAGGAAGAGGCCAGGCGGATTTCAAAAGAAGCTTAAAAACATCTCATCGGTAGGAATACGGCAAGGCAAACTACTTATTAATCTAAGGAGACTAAGCCATAGGATATAGGTAGGAATTTGAAAATGAAGTGTTAGAGCCAATGCAATTGAACAATAATTGAATGTTAATATCTGGTGGGAAAGGGCGAGATCTTTGAGGGCACACCCTGGAAGGTGCTGGAGTGACCTGGTGCTAAGTGGCTTTCTGCCCCTCTGGGCAGCAAGGTGCAGCTCTGAGACGAGAAGCCTGGAGTCAGAGACAGGTGTTTGAATTCCACTCAGGCCACCTAACAGCTTTGTGATCTTCAGCAAATTTCAAGTTTCTCTGTGCTGCAGTTTCTCTTCTTTTTCTGTCTTTCTTTCTTTCTTTTTTTTTTTGAGATGGAGTCTCCCTCTTGTCGCCCAGGCTGGAGGTGCAGTGGTGCAATATGGCTCACTGCAACCTCTGCCTCCTGGATTCAAGTGATTCTCCTGCTTCGGCCTTCAGAATAGCTGGGATTACAGCACCCACCACCATGCCCAGCTAATGTTTGTATTTTTAGTAAAGATGGGGTTTCACCATGTTGACCAGGCTGGTCTCTAACTCCTGACCTCAGGTGATCTGCCCACCTCAGCCTCCCAAAGTGCTGGGATTATAGGCATGAGCCACTGCGCTTGGCCTATGCTACAGTTTCACACCTGTAAAACAGAGCTACTAGAGCCACTGTGGTTTGAATGTTTGTCCCCTCCAAAACTCTTGTTGACATTTAATTGCCATTGTAAGAGTGTTAAGAGGTAGGACCCTTAAGAGGTGATTAAGCCTCATGGTGGAACTGGTGCCATGATAAAAGGGCAAGTTCAGCCCTCTCCTGTCCTCTCTCTCACCCTCTCACCTTCCACCATCTGATGACACAGCAAGAAGGCCCTTGCCAAATTCCAGCACCTTGATATTGGACTCCTCAGCCTCTAAAACTGTGAGCCAATAAACTTCTGCTCATTATAAATACTCAGCCTCAGGTATTTTGTTATAGAAGCACAAAACAGACTGAGACAAGTGCCAACCATTGAGAGTTGGGTTGGCACGGTTACGGCATCTACTTTAAGTGCCATAGATCCGTGTTAGTTGCCCTCCCTGAAGAATGCAGAGAATGGAAAAGACACGAGAGCTCCACTGTGCTTTCTGTCCAGTTTATATTCTACACCGTCTAATCTAGGCTTTGCCTCAATTGGCTTTTCTACTGGACCAGAGCTTGCTCTTTCTTCCCCTTGAGTTATAAAAGCAAGCTGTGCCACCAGAGGGCAGCTTTCTCCCAGGAACGAGGTCAAAGCCAGCTCCTGGGTAGTGTTCACTAGTGCCTGCTTACAAACCTTTGCTTTGTCCAGCTCAATCCCTAAGAAATCCTATGAAGGTCTTGTCTCTTTTGGACTTGGGGTCCTGAAAACTGGGTGCACAGACATTACAGAGAGCAATGGCCCTCCGTGGGCCTCCAGCCTGCCATGCAAGTATAGGGATTTTCAGGAGTGAAGTGCCAAGAGGCACAAAACAAGGGGTATGGGGTTGTGCTTTTCCCTTTTTTAAACTGAAGACTCCATGCCCCATTTTCACCCCAGGTGGGATGAGGCATCACATCCCTTTAGGCCTACCCCAGGCTCCCTGTTCTCAGAATGAGCTCCTTGCCCAAGGACCCTGCACCTTGTTGGCCAGTGAGTAGGCAAACAAGAAGGAGTGTATTCTGACTTAATTGTTTGGGGTTTGGGAGGCAAGAGAAATTGTTGAGTGGCACTAACCAAGGCGTGCAGACTCACGTGCTTGTCATACGTGTTCAGTAGGGCCTGGGAAAACCAGGGGATATTGGAGCCTCTTTAGGTTCTTTAATGTCAGGATCTCACATCTTAATTGTGTCTCAAATCTGAATGAAAATGCATCTCTCCCATCTCCAACTGAGCAGGTGTGATTGACTGAGGGCCTCGGCTGCTGTGCTTTGGAATCTACCACCACACTTGCTCCGAGGCCACACTTCTCATGGGCCACAGCCAACCACAGACTGAACACAGTGGGGATATCAAAGTGGCCTGTTCCTGGGAGGCACAGAGATGGGAGACTCCTCTGAATGCACCTGTAGCTCAAGGACTCCCTGGTGGTCATTCCAAACACTGAGGACTGCCCTTCCATCTAAGATGCTTCCACCCAACCTCCCTTCCTTCCCTCTCTCCTTCCCTGAGGCCAGACCTGCAGGTCTGACAGCTCTCCTAGCTTGCCTCTCCCGCTGCCTCATTCTCCCTTCTAGACATAGTCCCCCTAAATAGCTTGAAGAAGTCATCAGCTCTTGGCATCTGCTGCCCGGAGGATCTGGACTACCACATGAATCTTAGATCAGACCAGAGGGTTTTATTATCTGAGGGGAGGAGCAAGGAGGAGAAGGGATGAAAATAACCCACACTCTGTTGATGGGGCAGGCACTGTGCCTCAGGCTTACACACTTCATTCAGTCTTCCCTGTGAGATAGATGGATGTCCCCATTTTACAGAAAGGGACAGTGAGGCACAGAAGGCTAAACCACTTGCCAAGCAGGAGAGCTAGGAGCCAAACTCAGGTTTGTTAAATGCCAAGGCTCTTTCTGTTGTTTTCTGCTATGAAGAGCTGTGCAGTTGGCCTCACTCCCTCCCTCCTTGCTTTATTCTTTCAACAGATATTAATCAGCAATTTGTTATATGTCACGCACTGAGCTTCTATGGGGGATAGTGAGGGAAATGAAGTCAGACTCCTTCTAGGGCTGCAGCCTGGAGCCGGGACAGACATGAAATCAGTTATAGCATAATGGGAACGGCTATGATTTTGAGGCATGTTCACAAGGAAGTGTGAAGAAAGGGGATGGGGCCTGGAGGAATCAGGGGAGGCTTCTCAGAGAAGGCAGCGTTTGCTCTGAGACATGATGGAAAATTGATATTTTCTAGGGAGTCAAGTTTAAAGAAGCAATTCCAGGAAGAAAGCCTCTGTAAAGGCATAGAGGCAGGAGAGGCCAGGGATGTCAGGGAGCATTCTGAGTACACTGGGGAGCATTGTAGGAGGGGAAGGAGCGGGGACTTGGGTGGATGAGAATGGCAGACAGATAAAGGCTGGGCTGGGAAGGGCCTAGTGTGCCTGGACTCTACGCGAGCATGCTGGGACACATACAGGTGTTCCAACAGGGCAATGACCCAGGAGGCATCCAGATGGCAGTTTGGGGAGTCAGCTGAAAGGGCTCAGGCTGGAGGGGGAAGACCAGATGGGGTAGCCTGGTGGCGCATGGTGAATTCATTGAATAATGACCCTGGAAGTGGGGGCAGGAGGACGACAGTGTGTGAGTGTTAGGAGGCTCTTGCAGCCTCCACAGTGAGAAGGAGCATTCCTTTATCTTGCAGGTGGAGAGGCTGGGTGCCTTTTTCCAGGCAGTGTGAAAAATCATTGGTAGCCATCCTCATCCATCATTGCCAATCCTTAACAGGCTGCAGATCAGAAAATGGAGTCAACTAAAACCTCCCGAAACCCTCCACTGCTTATTGTCTCTGTTTTCGTCCCTTTGAATGATGTCCTGGACACAGAGGATGACCTACCACCAAAATTGGGCCTGAGAAATTTGTTATATCCTGCTGTGAGGTTCTCAAAGCCAGGCAGGGAAAGCTTGTCACTTCTGCCGACCTCGACGTTGAACTGACTCCCCTGGATGCACATCCTGGAAAAGAAATGGGCTTTGTTGTGTTTGCTTGTTTATGTGTGAATCAACACGTGTACACACCCTTGAGCTTGTGTTTGCCCACGTGTGTGTGGGTGTATGTGCCTTGCCCATGTACCAGCAGTGACATTCCTACAGAAAAATCTCTTAGTTTTCAGCTATTGAGTTAGTATCTCCATTTTTTACCCATTTGCCATAGATCAAAATATCATGGTAATTTGGAAACCCTCCAAGTCTCTTCTTTAAAAACATAAGGGTTCATTCATCTATGACCATATTGGAAGCTTGTGTTCTGTAAATAGAGTAAATGGCAGGAAGTTTCATTGTTCGGTGCTCCAGGGAAGTGAGTGGACCGGGTTTTGCCTTGCTGTGGGTGAATAGGAGGAGCTGCCCCCTCCCACCACATGCCCGAATGCAAAGCAACGCAGATGGAGGCCATTCTGGGGGTAGCAAAGCTCACCTCTCAGTGAAGAGACTCAGACACACGAAGGCCAAGTGGAGGCTGTAGTTCATGTTGAGAAGCTGCTCACACCAAGGGGCTGAAGTAGGAATCACCTGGGAAACAGGGGGCAAGGTAAGTGGAAGGCCGTGCAACAGGCTCACCTGCTCCTGGCCAGCCTCTCTCTCTGGTGGGTGGTCGGTACAGCATTTTCTCAGCATGCATAGGAAGCAGCCTCTTTCCATACCTTTCGGTTACAGCTCCTTCTCCCTGTGTTCCCTCCAGGAATGACTTCATTTTGGAGGATTATGTTTTTTTTTTTTTTAATTTTTTATTTTTTTTAAACAGGGCCTCACTCTGTCATCCAGGCTGAAGTGCAGGGACATGATCTCGGTTCACTGCAGCTCAACTTCCCAGGCTCCAGCGATGCTCCCAACCTTAGCCTCCTGAGTAGCTGGGACTACAGGCATGTACCACCACACCTGGGTAATTTTTTTGTATTTTTGGTAGAGATGGGGTTTCATCATGTTGCCCAGGCTGGTCTCGAACCAGCTCAAGCGATCCATCTGCCTTGGCCTCCCAAAGTGCTGGGATTACAGGCATGGGCCACTATGCCTGGACCAGGATTATGTTTTAAATCTATCCCAAATTAAGACTGGGACCTTGTTTGGAGAGTGGTTCATCAGCACCAGAAATGCAGCCAGTTTATCCTCTGGGCCATATCTGCTGGGAGCCAAGGCTATCCTTGCCCTGTCCTTGTCCCAGCTTTACCAGGAAGGACACTCTCAACTCTACACTCACCTTGACCAAGCCAGACATTCTTTTATTTATCCCCAGGTCTAGGCTTGTGGGGTCAGTCATGTAGACAGGAAACAAAAACCTGAGAGCCTCCAGTGTCAGGAGGTCATGAGTTAGGTGCTGTCCCACAGAGCTCACTCCATCCTCACAGTGGCCTTGTGTGGTGGGCGGGTTAATCCCTATATTATTACGACAAGGAAACAGGTGCATGGGAAGGACACCATGCTAGTGAGTGCCAGGGGAGACTTTGAATCCAGGGCTGGCTGCCTCCCCCCCGGTACTCTCTTCCTTCAGAGCAGGCTGGGGCCTGGGCCTTAGTTGACCCGAGGATCCTTGCTGCTGTCGTGACCTCCTAGACCTTGTCCCTGTGTTTCCTGAAGCCTTCCAGCTGGTGTGTATGTGAGGACCATCCGTGGGGCATGGCCCAGGGGCCCGGCCTCCTCAGCTTCAGGAGCTGCTGTCAGGCGTCCCTCTGAGGGAGCAGGGGGTAGCCAGGCAGGCCAGCCTGTGACCTGTCATGCTGGTGACAGCAGAATGGGGGTGCTCAGGCTCAGGCCCCATTCTCAGGCAGCCCTGGGTTGATTACCTTCTCTGTGGCAACTTCTGTGAAACAAGCCACTTTCTAGAATCTGGCCATTCTGGAGCTTAGGGCATGATTCAGCCACTCATTAATGTTATTTTACTTTCAAAACCAATACTCGCTCACTGTTGAAATGGCAACAAGTCAGAAGTTAAAAGTATAAGTCCCAATGATGTGTCAATATGGATTCATCAATGAAAACAAATGTGTCCCTCTGATGCGGGATGTTGACAGTAAAGAAGGTTTTATGTGTAGGGAAGGCTCAATTTTGCTATGACCCAAAATTGCTCTAAAAAAGAAGTCTATTTAAAAAAACATAACAAAAACAAAAAAGTCCCCCCCCATTTCTTCTCTTTTGTCTCATACTTCAGAAATAACTACCGATAACAGTTGTTTTATCCACAGATACACATATATATTTACATACATATATATCTCTATATCAAAAAAATTAAAAAGCAAAATTGGGGCAATAGCATGCTTTTTGCGGCTTACTTTTTTAACTTAATTATAGCAAACATTTATTGAACACTTAATGCATGCTTACAACTGTGCCACGCATATCTAGAATCCTCACAACTCTTTGAAGTAGGGACTACCATTCTCCCCATTTTACAGGTGAGAATACTGAGGATTAGAGAGGATAAGGAATATTTCCAAGGCTAAGTAGTACATGAGGGGCAGAAAAGTACATCTAAGCAAGCTGACCCAACTCCTCTTAATGAGTGCACCATGAAACATGCTGTTTTGCAGTATCAGTGACACCTTCCATGTCAGTTCCTATAATCCGCCTTATTCTCTCTAATGGCTGCAAGGTGTCTCATGGTCTGAATGTACCAACATTTCTAGAACACATCTTCTACTGTGAATGCTGTTATTTCCAAAGTTTTTACGTTACAAAATCAGTGAAGAACAGTTTTGCACACAGGTAAATTCTTATCATTCTGCTCTCTGTTATGTTAGCTTTTTTGTTCTCACTCATTGAAAATACCAGTTATAAAATCAACATTATAAATCTACCAACGATCATATTCACATTCTCTTCCTTTAGTCCATCTCCCCAATCCCTGTCCTTTCCCTGTCCAAGCATTGAGTTTAAGGGGGTCCATGGAGCAGCTCCCATGCCCTCCATTGCCTCATTCAATTTTCCACAGGTTTATTGAGCTTCTCCTGTGAACCAGGCATGTGAAAAGCACCACCAGAGCACCCACCCATCTAGTGAGGAAGAGACATGTGTGACTGGTGAATGAACATTCCCTACAGCATCCTCTAATAGGAGCAGAGGACAGGGGATATTTGGTATGCAAAAGAGCAGGGAGGATGGGGCAATGTCAAAAGGGAAGTCACAGAAAAGGTCATTTGATTCTTGAAGAGTGAGTTGCATTTGCCAGGTGGACAAAGGAGAGTGGGGGCCCTCCAAATGTTGGACAGAGATGTGCAGGCTTGCCCACGGCCTCTCTCCCACATGCTTATCAGCCTCTTCCCACCAGCCCTTGGCTGTCTGTGTCTTTCTCCTGGTCTGGCCTGAAGGAACATGGTTCCACTTTGGCATATTCCTCATTTCCTCCTCCTCCTATAGGAAATGGCCCTCGATCAAGTGATTTGGGGAACCATCCAGTCTTCAGTTCCAAGACTCCTCTTGAATAGTGCTTTCCCAGTGGCCAAACTTCTGTTAGGAAGATGTAACATTTGGCCCTGGGCCTCTCAGCCTCCTCTAAGGAGTCTCATGATCTGAGAAGCTTCACCCAGGCTAGAGCCAGAAATGTAATCCCATCCTACCGTGTTTGCTTGGTTAAGTTGCTAAACACGTCTCATTTTATAAGGGAAGAAAAGAGAAGAAAAAGGCTTCTAAATGCCCATGAATTGTTAGAAGCCATGTCTGGTGCTTAATTTCATTTAATTCTCATGGCTGCTGGCCCAGAAGGTGTTAATTTTTAGAGTCAAATCTTAGATTTGCAAGGGGATTTGGCTGAGGTCACACAGTTAAGTGGCATGATTTAAATCTGTTTTCCAAGTCCCTTTTCTTTGCCCTGCATTTAGGAGGAGGGCCTTCAGCACCCCCAAGCTGAACTGGATTCCACTTGAATCTTGTCCTTTTTATACCAAACCCATCTGGGGGATGGAGTGTTGCATCCGCAGCACATCCCAAGTGACAAGTGCAGCTGATGCCATCACTCCCTGTGGTAGACGAGCCAATCGTTAAGTGGCTATTTATGTGTCGGCCAGCCTCAATGGAGGCTCAGGCCACCAGTTCTGGTACAGGTGCTGGGGGATGGAATTTAGTGGAGAGGTACTGAGCCACCAGAGAGCAGTGTCCTAAGGGTTGTCCCCAAAGCTGCAACACAGATGTTGACTGGAACCACCTAGCCTTCTGCATCTGCAGGGACATGGTGCTCAGGAGGCCCTAGGAGGCTCCTGAGTAGGGGCAGCCTATGCATTATCCTGCCCCGAGGGCATCTCTGGCCAAGCTCCTACCTCCACTTGTAGAGGAGACCTTGAGCTCTGGATCCTGATACACCCGAGTCATTTAACCTCTCAGAGTCTCAGTTTTCCCATCTGACAAATGGGAATAGAAAGCATTCAATAAACATTAGTTTTCATTCTCCTCTGCCTTCCGTGTCTTCCATGGGAATTCAGTGATTCCACTATGACTAATAGAACCCAAATCTCAAGCTCTTTCTATTTCTATATACACCCCAGGTGCCACTCAGAGTGTGAGCTAACTGGCACCACCTCAGGAAGTACAGGGTCAGGCACAGGGCATTAAGGTCACATAGGGAGCTGATGGCACCTTTTTCTAAACCAGAAATCCAGCCTAATGTCTCCCAGTCTCCCCCGCCTCTTCCTGGCTTGGCCTACTGGGCTTCTATACTCCGTGCTCTTGGCCTCTATGTCTCTTTTGAAAACTTCCCAGGCTGGAAGCAGAAATAATTCCAATATGTGCAAGTTTCTACTACCGTTTCTACTCTATTCCCAGAATTTCTACCATGTAAATACAGTGACCCCCAACCCCAACTTGTCACCTCCAGCTTCCTTCCTATGCAGGCACAGTTTTCCTATCCTTATCACTTCAGCATAGACAGAATCATTTGTTGGAAAGCAGGAGTAGAGCCCGAATTAGGTTAAGGTGAGGAAAGGCATTATTGCCATGGGTCCCGCTTAAGAAAATCCCAGAAGATAAAGTGGTGCGGCGCGTGCCCTGTGTCTGCTGGTCTTGGCCAGCTGCTGCACAGGGGTGAATGACTGTGGCTGTAGTGAGGACAGCAGGGGCTCTAATCTTGGCTCTGCTGCTCGTCCTGCAGTGGCGCTCCCTGATGCTCATTAGGTGTTCAGCAGAGTCCAGGCCTGCCCCCTCCCTCGGTCCCAGCAGGGCTTGTATTTGGATCTCCCTCCCTCCCCTCTCTCCAGACACCTGGAGGGGCCAGCAGTTTCCTTACCAGGTAGTTGTTGAGGCTCTGTTAGGGCAAGTCCTTCAGGCCTACAGGCAGGACTTCCAGGCAAGGCACGGTCTTCTGGGTCCCCAGGGTTCTCCTCATCCTCAGCCCTGTCCCCTCGTATGTGGACACGCAGCCACCCTCAGATGGAGTGGCTCTCTGGGGAAGAATGGAGCTGCTAAACCTGCTGTGCAGAAACAGAGGTGGGCGGAGCCTCTCAAAGCCCCATCCTTGGTGGGGACACTGACTTGTCCTGAGTGTCTGGAGATCGTCTGGTCCTGAGTTTCTGGAGATCGTCAGCTCCTGCTATAGCTACTGCCTCCAGGGGTTTGATTCTGAGATCATGTCTCAGTCATGCTCCCAGACCTCTGCCAGAAAAGACCCCTGAGATCAAGGACCCATGAGAGTCAGATAAAGTGGGTGACCCCCACCCACTATGCCGGGCTCTGAATTTGGTGGACAGCCCTCCACCCTGGTGCAATGGAATGGCTATAGTGGCCACTTCACCTCCTTAGGCCTCAGCTTCCCATCTATAAAATGAGAAGCTGACTGTGTGTAAAACTCCGATTTCTTGTTGTGTATTTTAAGAGCATCTTTGGGATCAACAGAAGGCCTATTCTATGTTAAAAGAGACTTTCATATCCCAGGACCTAGTGCTTTCCAGCCTGGGAAGTTTCAAAAAGACTCATAGAGGCCAAGAGCACAGAGGATAGAGGCCCAGGAGGAGGAGGCGGGGAGACACAGAGACACTGGGCTGGATTTCTCCAACCCTCCACCTTCCCCCATCCTGCTCTCACACAGAGGATTCTTTAACTTCCCACAGAGTCCTTTCAGGAGCATCCCAGAGAGGGAGGCCTTCTTCCTCCCTGGCCAACCAAACCTCCTAACAGAAGTGCTTCGACAGTGCTCACTGAGCTCTGGGTCATCCCCTCATCATAGCCAGTGGCCCCAAACTCACTCTTGGCTCCAGCCATGCAGGTAAGGGGAGGGATTCCTTGGAGGCTTGGCCTTGCACCCTGAGGGAGCTGGGAGCCAGGAGGGACTCAGATGGAGGGGCAGAGAGAGAGCTGAGGCTGTGGTACGAGGCCCAGAGGCATCTCCTTCCCTCCTGACATCATGGCGAAGCTCCTGCCTAGACCCAGTCTAGGAGCCGGGAAGGGAGAGAGAGAAAGGAAGGGGAGCAAATGGAGGGGCAGGAAGGGGAGGGCCACAGTGTACAATGAACCATAGATGCCTTTGGCCCCAAGCCAACTTCCTTAGTGAGCTTCTGGAGCCTGGCCAGCCTGGAAAACATTGCTCCGCTGGTGGGTAAGGAGTGGGCACCTAAAGAGACAGCGCTTTCATTTCTCCTGAGAGGACTCACTTTCACTTGGGAACCTTGCTGGTGGCTAGAGCAGGAATGGCTGAGGAGCCGGTTTCAGGTTCTCAATGAATAGACAGTGATCTGGGGCTTTTCTCAAAAAGCCTAAGATATTCTCACACAGAACAAAGGCTCCAGAGTAATAAAGACAATTCAGAGCTGGGAGGTGGGGGTGGGAGGGTTTCCTCTGACCCAGGAACAGTGAGACTTAGATGAAGGAACATGGGCTGGCTAGCTGCATGGTCCTGGACAAGTTGCTTAACCTCTTTGGGTCTCCATTTCTTATCTGACCAATGGGGCTGATGCTTCCTTACAGGATTGCTGTAAGGAGTCAGCAATGACAGATGTGGTAACACATCTGAAAGCACCTGGCACCTTGACCTGGCACATTGTAGACGCTCAACAAATTGTTCTTTTTCTCCTGATGGTGTAGTGTCTTGTCAAGTTTGTGCTTATCTATCCAAACCTCCATCCAGATATCTATCTATTATCTATCTTCATCACCATTATCTGTCAATCTGTCTATCCTGTGTTTAATCTTCCCAATCATATTGTTAGTATTTTCATTGCAAGGGGCTTGAATTGTACTTCTATGTAGACATCCAGTAAATATGTTAAGAGACTGATTACCCCTGGTGGCCAGGGAAAGCCAGATCTTAAGTGAAAGTAGGTATGATAAGGCGTCTTATCTCCCACTTTCAAACAATGCTTCATTCTAGTGTTGGCTTCTTCTTAGATTTTCTTCAGATCAAGTGAAGAAATGCCTGGGAGGGGAATTTCCAGGAAAACTAGGTTCTTCTCCAGTATTCCCAGGCATTCTTGCTCCGTGGATCCAGAAACCCCAGCAACCTCTGCACCACACCTCATTTCCAAGTGTGACCTCTGGTCTCAGGAGGCCTAAGGTCAGTGTTAGGACGTTCAGGATGTTCAGATGTACTGCCCACAGGATACTGATCTCAGTGTCCACCTCTTACTCCACATGGTCATACTCTCTCCTAAGTGTCCCGGAAAAACAAAGGCAAGAGGACATAGATATGTCTTGCCTTGTACCTCAATCATAATGCATGCAGGATACTAAGTCATAATAACACCGTACATTTGTATAGTGCTTTGCAGTTTTCAGAGCCTTTGGCTGTGCATATGCTTTATCTTTGAGCCATATAATAATCCTGTGAAGCAGGCAGGGCTTTTTAAAAAATTGTTATTTTACAGATGAGGAAGCTGTGCTAGTCAGCCAGCTATTAAGGGGTGGAGTCGGCATGGACTGGAATCCAGGTCTTTGAATTTCAAATCAGCCGCTTACCCAAGTCCATTCAATAATGGTGGGGAGTACAGTGAAACAGAGTTCAACTAAAGCAGAGGACAGAGAAAACCTGTGGGTCTTCCCCTTGCCTGGGACACTGTAGTGGGAAAAGATTACTTTTTGCACCTGTGCTTCCCAGGAAATACTGCCTGTCAGAACTGAATACCCTTCTCACCTGCAATCCCAGCTGGAACGTCTAGGACAATCTCAACCCTCTCATCTTCCTTCTTCCCCCACCCTCAACACCTGATGGACCCTCACTCTTGATACCTTGTTCTGTCTTATCTCCCAACGCCTGGCTCAGCAACTCCTCATCTTAGAAATGGGCATCTCCAAAAAGAGGCCTGAATGGCTCTGTGCAAGATGAGCCTTTGAATTATAGGAGAAAATATTAGAACTTCTATGGCTTCAAACAATGGGAGAGATATTGTACTTTACTAATATTTACTATGTGCATGGATACTGGCTGCTCACCAGTGTGATAGGAAGACTGTCCAAGGTCATGTATAGCTGGGCCAAGCCACGTGAACCTGAGGATGGAGTGGGGGCTTTACAACATGGAGGGCTTGGTCTTGCAATCCTTTGCTTTGGGACCAGGTTAAATGGATTGATGATTTGTTTTCACCAAATTAACCCTAAATTGATGTGTGGCTTAAAAAAAGATTATTGCAAAAATGAACTACTGAAAGGAGATAACACTAGTAATGGAAACAGCAAGAAAATGGTAGCACTGACACTTCACTCATCGTCACCTAATTAAACATCTTCCAAATGAAGAGTTTTCAAACTCTTGTTAAAAATATAAAAGTGCCAATGGCAAATGTGGAAGAACAATTGATCGACATCAGAGAAGATGACATTTCCTAACTGAATTTAGACACAATTTGCATAATTGGTAAGATAGAAAAATTATTATTATAGCAAGCACAGCCAATGTAGTTAGTGCCTTTTCCATTTGGATTTCTGCACTTTAGTGAAGTATCATTTTTTTCAATTCTGAAAGTGATTAGAACTAAATATCAAAATAATTTGAACTTAAAACTAGTCTTCTAAATATCATAATGCAGAAGCTTAATATGAAAATAATACAAACATGATAAAACATAACAACCTCAGTACAAATATTAGTTTTCATAAAAATTTGTTCCAGTGAAAAGGGTTTTCCTGGGTATGGTTAACAAAATAAAAGCTTAAAAAGTAGTGTTATGTCATCTTTCATCTTTATCTCACCCATTTAAATGCTTTTTTTTTTGTATATCTTATCACACATACCATATATTAGGACATAAGACAGTCTCTAAATAAATTAATGTACACAGGTTGAGGACATAGGATCAAAGTGTGGAGACAGTTGGGCCAGGCTATTGAGGAAGTTCCTGACTGTTTTTTCAACTTCCAAATATATTCCCCTCTTGACAATCACCAGGCCGATCTTCGTAAAAACCCAGAGCGGATCAGGTCACTTCTCTGATTTCAGCTCTGTGTTGAGGTGAGTGGGTAGCAAAGGGTGCCAGCCCTAGTTGCTGGGCAACTTCAGGGGCTGGGCAGGCAATGTGATGCATGAAGGCTGAGTGTAACGACTGGTGGGAACCGTGGTAAACAGGAGAGTTCTTTGGCTAAAAACATTCCAATCTGAAAAAATGTAAACCTGGACAGGTGACAAAAAATACCGCTGTGGCCTGGATCCTATGTGGGGGCTGGCAATGGTAAGTTCGGAGCAGGTCAAGACCAACCTTGTTTCTCTGGAAAACGCTGTGCATCTCTCCAGGTAGGTCCCTTGCGGCTTCCTCCCGAACACTCTGTGCATTGTGGTCATTCCTAGTTTGTGCTAACTTTGCTCTGTGATATCTTCTTCCTGGCCAACGAAGCTTTAGCTAAACTAAAACTGGCCCTGATGTTCTCTCCTCCATGGAGTGCCTTGACTTCCCTTGGTAACTTTCTCTCCTTGTGCTGCCCTTGTACAGTGCTCTTGCTGGGCCTTACTGGGCTCAACAGTCACGGACCTACCTGTCTCTACCACTAAGCTAGGGCTTAGCTAGGGCTCCTTGAGGTCAGGTACTTTGTTCTGTTAATTGTTTCATCCCCAATATTGAAGTCAGTGCCTTGATCACATCGTGGGTCTTCAAAAAGTCTACTGAGCCAATGAACAAATGCGATCAATGGTATCTGCACATTTGGGCAACAGCAGTGTATTACGAGCTTCTTATATTTGCTTCTAATTTCTTTGTTTTTTATTTATTGAGATAGAATCTCGCTCTGTCGCCCAGGCTGGAGTGCAGCGGCATGATCTCGTCTCCCTGCAACCTCCGCTTCCTGGGTTCAAGCAATTCTCCTGCCTCAGGCTCCAGAGTACCTGGGATTATAGGCATGTGCCACTGTGCCCTGCTAAGTTTTGTATTTTTAGTAGGGATGGGGTTTCACCACATTGGCCAGGCTGGTCTTGAACTCCTGACCTCAGGTGATCCGCCTGCCTTGGCCTCTCAAAGTGCTGGGATTACAGGTGTGAGCCACCGCTCCCGGCCTGCTTCTAATTTCTAATAATAATAAATACATACCTTCCTCTTGCTACACTGCACAACCCACACCCCCCGCCATTGCCCCAGCTCCAAGGCATAAACCTCCAGATTCTAGAGATGCTTAAAGGACTGGAGAAAAAGGCAATGGCAGGTGGTGAAAACTCATTTCTCAGCGATGTCACTGCAGTGGAGACAAACCATGCAGGTAAGGCAGTGTTTCCCAAGATGTGGCCTGTCCAGAGGTGCTTCTGTCAGAAAGAATCACCAGGGGTGTACTTGTTAAAACGCACATTCCTGGGCATCTCCCCAGACCTACCGAATCAGAAGATCAAGAAATGAGGCCTAGGAATCTGAATGTCAATCAGCTCCCCAGGTAATTCTTATTGACTCTAAAATTTGAGGACTATGGCTATAAGGTAGAGCTCTCATTTCATTCATCGTTGATTCAGTTAATAAATATTACCGAATACCTACTCATTCCATACCAGGCACTGTGCTAAGTGCTGGTGGAATAATGCTGCTTCAGTTGCACCTGGCCTTTCCTTTGAAGCTTACAGTTTAGAGGTGGAGGCAGACAATACCTAAGAAACACATTTAGGCCGGGCACAGTGGCTCACACCTGTAATCCCAGCAATTTGGGAGGCTGAAGCTGGAGGATCACTTGAAGTCAGGAGTTTGAGACCAGCCTGACCAACATGGTAAAACCCCATCTCTACTAAGAATACAAAAATAAGCCAGATATGGTGGTGCATGCCTGTAATCCCAGCTACTCGTGAGGCTGAGGCATGAGAATAGCTTGAACCTGGGAGGCGAAGGCTGCAGTGAGCAGAGATTGTGTCACTGCACTCCAGCCTGGGTGTCAGAGTGAGACTCTATTTCAAAAAGACAAAGAAAGAAAAGAAAAGAAAGAAAGAAAGAAAAAGGAAAGAAAGAAAGAAAGAAAAATTTAACTACAGTGTGTGATAAGAGCTCTGAAATACAAAAAATGGAGCAGGGCTGGCCAGGTTAGATGGAATGACCTAGCAATATCTCTTCGAGAGGTGACATTTAAGCTGATTCCTAGAGGGTGGGAAGGAGTCAGCCATGTGTTGAGGAAGGCAGGGGAGGCAGGGCAGGGCCTGGGGCCAGAGCTCTCTCAGGGGTTGCAGGAAGGCTGGGCAGGGGCTGGGGGCAGAGCTCTCTCAGGGATTCAGGGAACACCCTGTGGGAACCCCTAGCCCAGGCAAATGGGTCCTGACTGGAGGAGAAGCAGAGGGCTGGCCTTCCACCTCGTCAGCAGCCTCCCCATCTCAAATCCTGGGAAACTGGAATAGCTACGCTAACATAAACCTCAGGTTAGACTTGGAATCTTTCATAACTCTTGGGGTTCAGCCAGACTCCCACAGTCTGAGAACCCCCAAAGCCAGGGGAGGTCTCCACCCACTCTCTCCAACCCTTGATGCTTTGTTCTTTTTCTCTCAATCAGCCTTTTCTTCTGAGCTGCTAAGTCACTGGCACCTTTAGAAGACTGTCAGAAGCTGAGGTTATTAAAGACCTCAAGTCACAAACACAATCACTGGCACTGTGGGCCACAGGGCGATTGAGGGAAAGTGGGTTGGATCTACCGAAAGCAGGCTGAGTCCCTGCTGAGGACAGACCATCCACACCCCTTACTGTGCACCGTGGGAAGCTGCTTCCAGGGAGGGGCGGCCTGGACGAAAGATCTGTGGCCGACACTGTAATCCCAGCCGCGGAGACTGGGAACCATTACAGGAAACAACCTCACCAAGTCCCCAGCATCACTTTACCCACTGTAAAGAGCTCAGGCTCAGCATGCCCAGCCTTACCACGTTCCCTCAACTCAAATAAATAATACATTAAAAAAATGAAAAAGCATTAATGCCATTGCCAGAGGGTCAGGCAATACATACATTAGTTTCATTTATCAAAATGCTTCCCTGGTCAGTTTCCAGGGGTTCTTGATTCCAAATATACTTCTGCATCTTCTACAGCATGTTTTAGAGCTGAATGGGGCTTCTTATTTCTCCATTTCATTCACCAAGTTGACCCTGCCCACCCTGGCTTGGCATTTTCCCCGGGAGCTAACGGGTGCTGCTAGATGAGGGGGTCTGAGGGTCTGTGTATCACAGAAGATGGAAAGTCTTGGTGGTGAGGCCAGCCGAGCTTGGGGCTCTGGGATGGTGGGTCTTGTTTGGCATTGGACATTTCAGTCTACGTGGCTGAGTGAAACAGAACACAGGCATTGGAGTCAAACCTGGGTTCTGGTTTCTTGGCTCTGTGATCTTGGCAAATCACCAAGTTTCAGTTCTCAGTTTCAGTTTTTCTTCTGTAAAATGGGGATAACATACCTACTTTATAGTATAAGTAGGCTATCTTACATTTTGCCTGGTACAGGGTGTGCTCAATATGTATTTTTTTTTTTTAGATGGTGTCTCGCTCTGTCATTCAGGCTGGAGTGCAGTGGCACGATCTTGGCTCACTGCAACCTCTGCCTCCCAGGTTCAAGTGATTCTCATGCCTCAGCTTCCTGAGTAGCTGGGATTATAGGTGCCTCTCACCATGCCTGGCTACTTTTTGTATTTTTAGTAGAGATGGGGTTTACCATGTTTCCCAGGCAGGTCTTGAACTCCTAACCTCAAGTGATCTGCCCACCTCTGCCTCCCAAAGTGCTGGGATTACAGGCTTGAGTCACCACAGCCTGCTCACAATGTATTTTTTGATCTGTAATTTCAGACCCAGGGCCTTGAGTAGCCAGTTGCACCCTCCCTGGAACCATTTGGTGGTGTAAGATGCTGGCATGGCACCCAGCGTCAGAAGCCTTCCAGCCCCAAAGGGCTAGAGTCAGCACACATGGAGAGGATCTTTGCAGCACTGGGTTCTCAGGGTTCTGCAGCAGCATCAGCCTGCTTGGTTGGCTCCAGAGCCTTGGGATACAGATCTCATGGGCTGGGGCTCACTTTGCTGACCTTCACAGCAGCTCAACACCAGCCTCAGGGCAAACCCAAGTCCCAGCTGCCAACCACTTCAGATAAAAACAGGCCCACAGCAAAGTTTTCCATTTCTTAATGGAATTTTATTATTCCATTAATTTTATTACTTTTTCCTTTCAAAAAAATTTGAGAGCCAACTGTGTGTCAGGTGCTTTTCTAGGTGTTAGTGACACAGCCGTGAGTAGAGTCCCTGCTTAAGTGAAATGTATATCCTATAGGTAAGAGACCAGAAAATAAAGAAATGTATACAGACGTCGATGCAATGTTGCGTAGGAATAAGCACTATAAAGAAATGTAAAGCTGGCTAACGATGACGGGGCATGATGAGGGTTCTATTCAGATGGGCCTAAAATAGAATGTCTCTTCGAAGAGGTGACATTAAAAGGAGGCCCAAAAGAAGGAATGCTGTTCTATTCCTGCTCCCCTCCTCCACCCTCATTGTGCTCTGGTCAGCATTATTCCTGGAATTCTACTACAATCAGATCACTTCCCAGCTTAAAGATCCTTCAGTGGTTATTTTTCTGAAAAAGCCGGAACACCTTTGGCATGGTATTCAAAAGATTTCAGGATACGGTCCCAAAGATCACTACTCTGTGACTCCCCAGTTTCAACCCACCCTGAACTACTCACACTTCTCCAACTGCCGCCAGGTGGCTCACCCGGTTTCTTTTTTTTCAACCCCTACCTTCCCCTAGTCTTTGCACATGCTGTTCCCCTGCCTGGAACGCCCTTTGTCTTCTCCCTCTTTTCCATCAGGCCAACCCCAGTAGGTCCCTCAGAGGCCCTCCTGTCCCAACCAGGTTTTCTCCTCATCTTCTAGGCTGACCCCTTGGATAGCACCCACCATACCATGAACCACAGGATCCTTAGTTTGTATCCTTGCCTGTCCTCCATACCAGACTATGAGCCCCTACAGAAATTATTTGCATCCATCCTTAATTCTTAGTATAGAACCAAACGCATAGCAGGTGTTGACTGGATTAGTAAGGGAAAATAATTCATTCTGTTTGTCACTTCATTGAGCCCTTTTCAGCATGGCTTATTTAAAAAATTATGGCACATAGTAGGTATATATATATTGATGGGATACATGAGATATTTTGATACAGACATGCAATGTGTAATAATTATATTAGGGTAAATGGGGTCTCCATAACCTCAAGCATTCATCATTTCCTTGTGGTACAAACATTCCAATTGTACTCCCTCAGTTATGTGAAAATGTACAACAAATTATTGCTGTCTGTAGTCACCTTGTTCTGCTATCAATAACAGATCATATTCATTGCATTGCTTTCATTGCATATTTTGTACCTGTTAATCATCCCTACATCCCCCCAACCCCACTACCCTTCCCGGCCTCTGTTAACCATCATTCTACTTTTCTATCCCCGTGAATTAAATTGTTTTAATTTTTAGCTCCCACAAATGAATGAGAACCTGGGAAGTGAGCTTTTCTGTGCCTGGGTTATTTCATCTAACATGTCCCCCAGTTCCATCCATGTTGGAAATGACAGGATCTCATTTGCAAAATCAGCATTTCCCTAACTGCCTCTACAGGTCAGTCACATTTCATATTCCAATATTCGCCATCACAGCCATTCTGTCCCCCATACCCTGCTCTTCTCATTTTTCCCTGCCTCATCTCCTTCTAGCAGCCTCCACAGTCGAGTCATTTGTTATGTTTATTATTGATTGGTCTCCTCCCCGTAGTGCACAAGCTTCACATGGGCAGGGTCTTTATCTCTTTTCTCCCTGCTGTATTCCAGTGCCTGGCACACGGTAGGGGGACACATTTGTTGAATGAATCACAGCAACTCAATGCTGCTGGCATTTCAGGATTCCCACTTGGGAACAGAGAGCCAGGGGGTAGCCTTGCCCAAGGAGGCACAACCAGTGAGGCTGACGGCAGGTTCGAGTCCCCTCCCAGCCTGAACTCTTGCAGCTCTGTGGGCTGCTTCTCAGTGTCCTGCTCCACAACCAGATTGAAAAGTGAGCCCGCTGGCTCAGGAGCTGTGCCCTGGTTACAGCTGGTGCTCTACCTGCTGGTGGTGGTGGGGTTGTGCTGGATTTCCTCATGCTCAGGAGTAGAGATTAGAGACACCTGGCTTCAGGTGGGGATTGGGGGTGGGTGGGAAGCCGGCAGGTGATTTGGCGGAGAGGCTTGATTTGCACAGACCCTTCCACTTCGGACTCCCAAAGTGCAGAGATTACAGGTGTGACCCACCTCAGCTGGCCAAGAACTCAGGTTGCTAATCCCTCCAGTATGCATTTGCTTTGTAAACAGTCCTGCAGCCAGCTCAGGTGTGGCCCTGACTTGGCCTAGCCAGGCCTCTTCCCGGGACTTCCCAGAGGTGCTGCCCTGCTGCTGCTGCCATCTTCCCAAAACTCTGGCAAGCCCACCTCAAATTCTAAAGGGGCGCTGAGGGCTCCAGTGAGGCACACTTAGTGTGCCCCCGCAAACTGAGTCCTCACCTTCTCCCATCCGTGCCCCCATCTCCTCGCCACCCCCTCACCCCCCTGCCACCATGCCCCACACATGCCAGTCTCAGTCACACCTCTGCCTGTACACACCCTGCCTGCCTGTCCCTCTTCCTGGAAGGCCTCTCCCTTCTTTTTCCACTTACTGAACTGTTCCTCCTCCTCCAAGAGCCAGGCCAAAGATTGTCCTCTCTGGGAGGCCTTCTTGCTGCCTGGCCCTCTACACACACATGTGCACTAAGATACTCTGTAAACACACATACCTTGTATACACACACACAAACACATGCACATACAAGGGCACAGACACACACACCACCCAGATTCTTCACATAGACATGTAGTTGTACACACAGACAAGACACACGTACCATATACACTATTCAGTCACACGCATATAACATATGCACGTACACCCATAAACCCCTTCCCCTCCACATGCACACACCCCCGTATTCCCTCCCAAATACCACCACTCACATACACAGATGTGCCCCACCACCCCTCCTTCCCCACACCCATCACACACCTGCCTCAGCCCCATACTCCCTCCCCTTGACAGCAGCTGCTCACCGCTTCTCTACGCTGCTGGGCCTGTCTGTCTTTCAGCAGGTCCTGCCCTGTGCCATGGCATGTTCATTCCCTGTCCCTCACTCCTTGACTGAGAGCCCTGTCTGAGCCCCGGTCCTTAACACTGGCATCTGGCACACGGAGGGAAAATTGGGAGGTGAGTGAATGAATCCAAGGGAGCTCAGGAGTGAAGGGTGGGGCTGAAATGAGCCCTGGAAATGATTCGGGCCAGGCGTAACAACCAGGAGAGTGCAACCCTGGGCATGAGGAGGACTGGGACAGGACAAGTGTATCTTTGTTTTGAATATCAAAAATAAACAAAGAAACAAAACAATAAAACAGCTCCCCAGGTGACTCTCATGTACATCCTTGGTTGAGAACTGCTGGTCAGGACCACCAGCCCCCCATTTTTTAAAAACAGGAGAAGCAGATGGTTCCACCCCACACAGCAGGGTCAGGACCTGAGCCTGGGCATGGTAGCATTGACTGAGCTTGCCTTGCAAAACTCATGAAGGGTGCAGGCTGTGGGATGATCACTTTACAGGCAGAAAGAGCACAGGAGGGCTGAGCTGCACCAGCTCTGGACTGCTGGGGGTGGGAATCCTAAATGCCTTTGTTTGGGGAGTAGCAGGTGCAGAGCAGTGGCCTTAGGTCAGGGGTGGTTTTTCCCCCAGCGGACATGTAGCAATTAATGTCTGGAGACATTTTTGATGGTCCCAATTTTAGGGGGCAGGTGCTATTCATACCTGGGGGTAGATACCAAGGTTGCTGCTAGACATCTTGTGATACACAGACAGCCTCCGTAACAAAGAACTATCCAGCCAAAAGAGTTAGCAGAGCCACGATTGAGAACTCCTGGTGTAGACAGAGGAACGTGGGCTTTTGAAAGATATCCGAGCTCTGCGTGTGACCCCGGACAAATCACTTCCCTGATGCCTCTGAACTTTGGTTTTCTCGTTCGCAAAAGGCAATAATCATGCCTATGTCACAGGATTATTGTCAGCATCAGCTTTCACTTTAAAGCACCTAGCCCAACACAGGGCGCATGGAAGGTGCTTAATAAACCGCGGCCTTCCGGAGCATCCTCTGCATCCACGGTGAACGTCCACCTTCCTTTTCTTCCTAAAGACTTCCACATTCGCCTATGCCAAAATTTTTCAGGATCTACATCCCAGCGTCTCCCTGATCTCTTGGCTTTGGAGGTAACCCTGCTCTGCCCAGGCCTTCCTCCCTTTGAACTTCATGTGCATGTAAGGGGGGGTTCTGAGTCCATCATCTTCCTCAATCCTCCCATCCTGAATATTCAAACATATCTGCGTTGGACACAGGGCACGTGGAGAGTGTGTGTGTGTGTCTTTGTGTGTGTATCCACTCATGAGCATTTTTACACTTTCCTCTCTGGTCTGGTTTTCAGCAAGATGATGATGGGGCATCGCTGATTTGGAGGTACAGCATTTCATCTGTAAACGTGTCTGAACGTACATCCTTAGGTGCACTCACCATCTGAAAATTAGAAAGGCCTACAACCACAAGTGAAACTTCCCTTTTCTCCAGTATTGCTCTGCCTTGCTCTAGGTTTTTGAGGAATCTGCCACCCTTGTTTGGACAGAACAATGTCAAGGAACTCCAGAAGGAGATGGTGAAGGATGCTTCCCAGTCCCAAGCATCTCTGGGCCTTGATGCTTTCCTGCCTGCCTCAGGAGTTCAATACACCCATGAGAGGTCCCCAGATAGCCCACTGAAGAGCCAGGTCCAGAAGCGAAGTTCCATGGGGAGTGCTCAGCCCAGCCTTTCTCTCTTCACTGGATGAGCTGATCTCTTCTCTGCAGGTGCAAACCCATAGTAGGGGCCACTGCCCCAGGCTGCTCCGAGCACGCTTTCCGTCAAAGTTGCCAGGGTCTCAGAGGCTGGATGATCAGGTGACTGTGCCCTGCCTTGCTGTCCTGCTCTGGAGCAGCACTCTTTGCCCTCGGTTGGCAGCCAGTTCTAGGGGCTGAGCTGACATGCTCATTCCCCTGTCCCCCAGCCCTTAGCCGCTGAGCAGGGCTGGGCTGCAGCAGCCTCTGTGCTCACCCCACCCACCCATTACCTGCTGTCTCCCCACCTGAGCAGGCCCTCCACCTGCCCACGATGAATTTTTCCATCACTCACCCTGAGAGGCCTCCAGGCCAAACAACCCTGCCTGCTACCTGCCCTGGCAAGTGGGCAGCCTGCTCCAGAAGACACCCTAAGGAAGACACAGAAATGCCCAGCCAGAACAATTGGCCAGAAATCTGGCTCGAGCTGTCTTCATGAAAAAGAGATACTAAATGAATCTTCACGAAAAAAAGACACTAAATGAACTTGAATGGGTGGATGAAAGCTTCTCTCATCTTAAAAGGTCACCTCCTTTTACGAGGTCACCAACACATCCACTAATTGCAATTCCCCCTTCTTCCTGTTGGAGTCTTAATGTAAGAGCTCCTCGTGAAGCTGGGTCCTCTTGCCTCCCTCCATTTGCTCCCCTCTATTACACCCCACCCCACCCTCTTTCTAAAATGCAGATCCCATCATGTCACTCCCTTCCTCAAAAGCCATCAGTGGCTCCCCATTGCCTCTAATAGAAGTTCTAAATTCCAAATCATGCTCGTTCAGGCCCTTCATGGTCTCTTCCAGCTGCCTTCCCTAGTCCTTACTCCCATTACAGGCTCACTTTCAGCATGCTTTAACCTACATCCCAGACACAGCAAGCAAGTTCTGCCTTCTTTGCCATTATGCTTTTGTTTCTTTTACCTGGAGTAATACCCGCCCTTTCCCATTTCCCCGCTCTTGAAACCGTACTCATCCTTCAAGACACACTTCAAATGGCTCTTCCTTTTCAGAACCTCCTAGCTCAAGTGACTCTCTTTTGTCCCATAGCACTTTGTCCCCATAACACAGCCAAGTGCTAGAGTTGATTGAATGCACATTTTTCTTCCCCAGTAATAAAATCTCCTTGAAGTCAGGGACTATGTGTTATTAATCACTGTGGTCGGCACCCCCCATGTCCTGCATCCCATTGCTTGGCATAGACTAGGGACTAGATAAATTGTGGAATTGAAGAGTGTTCTGCAAGCTGTTTTAGGAACCATGAAGGCTGACAGATGGGGGTGGGGGCTCAGCGACTGCCAGAAATCCAGGCAAATAGGAGTGTGGGCAGAGCAGTCAGCCTGGAGTACAACCAGGAAAGATGCAGAGATTTCCTGGAGGCATGCTCCAGTGGTCGGGAAGCCCGCCACCCATGATGACATGCTATTTTCCCATCTGTCAGAGCTAGGCGGCCTCTTTCCTTCCTCAGCCTCTTTCTCTTCTCTCCAGCTCCCATCTCTGGCTGTTCTCCAGGGGAAATTTATATCTGTAATGGTGGAATAATTAGCTCCCAAACCCGGCGTGCATTAACCTTGAATTGATGGTGTCAGCTAATGAGAGAGGGAGCAGGAGGGCTCAGGAATTATAGTGCACTCCTTTCTGCGGGGCCTGACTTGAGCTGATTGGTTTCTAAACCCCAAGAGAGTCCTTGCACATGTTTTCACTCCCAGGTAAGAGACATCATTGCAGGGGTTCCCACGTTCTATGTCCAACATCAGTCATCATTTTAGTCAAATATTCCCCAAACCCCAAGTAAATAAAACAATATATTTCTTCCCACAATGATATTATCTGTGGACCTCCAGTTGCTCTGGCAACAGGGAGATACCCTGTTAGTATGTTACCCTTACTTGCCAACTGTGTACACCTGGACTAGCTACTTGGTTTGAGTCTCTGTTTTCTTAACTGTAAGATGAAGATAATTATAGTATCTACTTTATAGGGTTATTGTATGAATCAAATAACCTCATATATACAGATGTTCAGTCCATAATGTGAGCTGTTATGATTATTACTTAATCCAGGTGAGCATCATGACACTGCATGTTTTCCAGGCCTCAGTTTCCCTCACTCTAAAATAGGGAGTGGGACTCGGCCATCAGTAAGTCTCATCTGGAATGCTAAGATGGGACCCTTCTTAAGTTTTCCCACCACGCTGTGTGCCCAATCCTCCTGCTATTTCTTATCACCTGAAATCTTGCTTGATTTGTTCCATTCAGTGATGTAAAAAAATTTAAAAATGTCTTCAATAATAGTGGTAATAGTCCTACTAATTCGACGATGGAGGAAGAGATTTCCCTTAAGAGCTCCAATTAAAGCTGCTTCTTGCAGTCCAGGGAAGTTACTACACCATCACCAGCTGATTCCTTGATGATTTTTATCTCTGGCAATCAACTGTATCCATTCACATTATAATCCTTACATCTGCATAGTATTTTACAGTTTAGAGGGTTTTTCCATCTCTATCGTCTCAATTCACCCTATCAATAATCCCCTGGCAGAGCTGGAGTAAATAATATCACTCCCATTTGATACACGGAAACGTTCATTCATTCGTCTGCTCATTCATTCCACGAATGTTTACGGAATGCATTTTGTACTAGCTGCCACAGTTCAGATGCTCGGCATATGTGGCTGAGGTGTCACTGCTCTAAGTAAGGGGTGGTTCTGGGTCAGGGTTCAAGGCCTCCTTGTGCTGGGTTCAGTGTGCCTGCACCCCCAACAATGCTCTCTTGCAGTCTGCCCTTGTTACTACCCCTGAATCCTGATGCTGAAGCCCTCATCCAAGAAAGCATTTCAGCCGAGGCACACCCTTGGGTTCCTCTGCTCAACCTTAGCCACCTGCTGACTTGCTGCTCACCCTTAAGCCCTAGCTCCTCTTCTGTGAGCTAGGGGGAGGCCCCAACTGTCAGGCCTCTGAGCCCAAGCTAAGCCACCATATCCCCTGTGGCCTGCATGTACACATCCATATGGCTGGTTCCTGCCTTAACTGATGACATTCCACCACAAAAGAAGTGAAAATGGCCTATTCCTGCCTTAACTGATGACATCGTCTTGTGAAATTCCTTCTCCTGGCTCATCCTAGCTCAAAAGCTCCCCTACTGAGCACCTTGTGACCCCCACTCTGCCCGTCAGAGAACAACCCCCCTTTGACTGTAATTTTCCATTACCTACCCAAATCCTATAAAATGGCCCCACCCCTATCTCCCTTCGCTGACTCTTTTCAGACGCAGCCTGCCTGCACCCAGGTGAAATAAACAGCCATGTTGCTCACACAAAGCCTGTTTGGTGGTCTCTTCACACGGACATGCATGAAATTTGGTGCCGTGACTCGGATCGGGGGACCTCCCTTGGGAGATCAATCCCCTGTCCTCCTGCTCTTTGCTCCGTGAAAAAGATCCACCTATGACCTCAGGTCCTCAGACCCACCAGCCCAAGGAACAGCTCACCAATTTTAAATAGGGTAAGTGGCCTCTTCTTACTCTCTTCTCCAACCTCTCTCACTGTCCCTCAACCACTTTCTCCTTTCCACTCTTCAATCTCTCCCTTCTCTTAATTTCAATTCCTTTCATTTTCTGGTAGAGACAAAGGAGACATGTTTTATCCATGGACCCAAAACTCCAGGGCCAGTCACGGACTAGGGAAGGCAGCCTTCCCTTGTTGTTTGATCATTGCAGGGACATCTCTCTGATTATTCACCCATGTTTCAGAGGTGTCAGACCACTCAGGGACGCCTGCCTTGGTCCTTCACCCTTAGCGGCAAGTCCCACTTTTCTGGGGAAGGGGCAAGTACCCCAACCCCTTCTCTGTCTCTACCCCTTCTCCACCTTTCTGGGGGGGCAAGAAACCCCCAACCCCTTCTCCTTCACTCTTAGTGGCAAGTCCCGCTTTTCTAGAGGGGCAAGTACCCCAACCTCATATCTCTGCACCCCAATCCCTTATTTCTGCACCCCAACCTCTTATCTCTGTGCCCTGATCCCTTATTTCCATGCCCCAACCTCTTATCTCTGTACCCCATCCCTTATTTCCATGCCCCGACCTCTTATCTCTGCACCCCAATCACTTATTTCCATGCCCCGACCCCTTATTTCCACGCCCTAACCTCTTATCTCTGCACCCCATCCCTTATTTCCATGCCCCAACCTCTTATCTCTGCGCCCCAACCCCTTATATCCATGCCCCAACCTCTTTCCCACTTTTCTGGAACGTAAGAACCCCCGAACCCCTTCCCTCCGTGCCTCTACTCTCTCTTTTCTCTAGGCTTGCTTCCTTCACTATGGGCAACCTTCCACCCTCCATTCCCCCTTCTCCCTTGGCCTGTGTTCTCAAAAACTTAAAACCTCTTCAACTCACACCTGACCTAAAACCTAAATGCCTTATTTTCTTCTGCAATGCCGCTTGACCCCAATACAAACTCAACAGTAGTTCCAATAGCAAGAAAATGGCACTTTCAATTTTTCCATCCTGCAAGATCTAAATAATTCTTGTCGTAAAATGGGCAAACGGTCTGAGGTGCCTGATGTCCAGGCATTCTTTCACATATCGGTCCCTCCCTAGTCTCTGTGCCCAGTGCAACTCGTCCCAACTCTTCCTTCTTTCCCTCCCACCTGTCCCCTCAGTCCCAACCCCAAGCGTCGTGAGTCTTTCTAACCTTCCTTTTCTACAGACCCATCTGACCTCTCCCCACCTCGCCAGGCTGAGCTAGGTCCCAATTCTTCCTTAGCCTCTGCTCCTCCACCCTATAATCCTTTTATCACCTCCCTCCTCACACCCGGTCCGGCTTACAGTTTCGTTCTGTGACTAGCCCTCCCCCACCTGACCAGCAATTTACTCTTAAAAAGGTGGCTGGAGCTAAAGGCATAGTCAAGGTTAATGCTCCTTTTTCCTTATCCCAAATCAGATAGTGTTTAGGCTCTTTTTCATCAAATATAAAAATCCAGCCCAGCTCATGGCTCGTTTGGCAGCAACCCTGAGACACTTTACAGCCCTAGACCCTAAAAGGTCAAAAGGCCGTCTTATTCTCAAAATACATTTTATTACCCAATCCGCTCCCTACATTAAATAAAACTCCAAAAATTAGAATCCGGCCCTCAAACCCCACAACAGGATTTAATTAACCTCACCTTCAAGGTGTACAATAATAGAAAAAAGTTGCAATTCCTTGCCTCCACTGTGAGACAAACCCCAGCCACATCTCCAGCACCCAAGAACTTCCAAACGCCTGAACTGCAGCAGCCAGGCGTTCCTCCAGAACCTCCTCCCCCAGGAGCTTGCTACAAGTGCCAGAAATCTGACCACCAGGACAAGGAATGCCTGCAGCCCAGGATTGCTCCTAAGCCGTGTCCCATCTGTGCGGGACCCCACTGGAAATCAGACTGTTCAACTCACCTGGCAGCCACTCCCAGAGCCCCTGGAACTCTGGCCCAAGGCTCTCTGACTGACTCCTTCTCGGCTTAGCAGCTGAAGACTGATGCTGCCCGATCGCCTCGGAAGCTCCGTAGACCATCACGGACTCCGAGCTTCGGGTAACTCTCACAGTGGAAGGTAAGTCCGTCCCCTTAGTCAATACGGAGGCTACCCACTCCACATTACCTTCTTTTCAAGGGCCTGTTTCCCTTGCCTCCATAACTGTTGTGGGTATTGACGGCCAGGCTTCTAAACCCCTGAAAACTCCCCGACTCTGGTGCCAACTTGGACAACACTCTTTTATGCACTCTTTTTTAGTTATCCCCACCTGCCCAGTTCCCTTATTAGGCTGAGATATTTTAACCAAATTATCTGTTTCCCTGACTATTCCTGGACTGCAGCCGCATCTCATTGCTGCCCTTCTCCCCAACCCAAAGCCTCCTTCGCGTCTTCCTCTCGTATTCCCCCACCTTAACCCACAAGTATGGGATATCTCTACTGCTTCCCTGGCAAATGATCACATGCCCGTTACCATCCCATTAAAACCTAATCACCCTTACCCCGCTCAATGCCAATATCCCATCCCACAGCATGCTTCAAAAGGATTAAAGCCTGTTATCACTCGCCTGCTACAACATGGGCTTCTAAAACCTATAAACTCCCCTTACAATTCCCCCATTTTACCTGTCCAAAAACTGGATAAGTCTTATAGATTAGTTCAGGATCTGTGCCTTATCAACCAAATTGTTTTGCCTATCCACCCTGTGGTGCCAAACCCGTACACTCTTTTGTCCTCAATACTTTCCTTCACAACTCACTATGCCGTGCTTGATCTTAAAGATGCTTTTTTCACTATTCCCCTGCACCCCTCGTCCCAGCGTCTCTTTGCTTTCACTTAGACTGACCCTGACACCCATTAGGCTCAGCAAATTACCTGGGCTGTACTGCCGCAAGGCTTCACAGACAGCCCCCATTACTTCAGTCAAGCCCAAATTTCATCCTCATCTGTTACCTATCTCAGCGTAATTCTCATAAAAACACATGTGTTCTCCCTGCTGATCGTGTCCGATTAATCTCCCAAACCTCAATCCCTTACAAAACAGCAACTCCTTTCCTTCCTAGGCATGGTTAGTGTGGTCAGAATTCTTACACAAGAGCCAGGACCACACCCTGTAGCCTTTCTGTCCAAACAACTTGACCTTACTGTTTTAGCCTAGCCCTCATGTCTGTGTGCAGTGGCTGCCGCTGCTTTAATACTTTTAGAGGCCCTAAAAATCACAAACTATGCTCAACTCACTCTCTACAGCTCTCATAATTTCCAAAATCTATTTTCTTCCTCCCACCTGACGCATATACTTTCTGCTCCCGGCTCCTTCAGCTGTACTCACTCTTTGTTAAGTCTCCACAATTACCATTGTTCTTGCCCCGGACTTCAATCCGGCCTCCCACATTATTCCAGATACCACACTTGACCCTCATGACCTTATCTCTCTGATCCACCTGACGTTCACCCCATTTCCCCACATTTCCTTCTTCCCTGTTTCTCACCCTGATCACACTTAGTTTATTGATGGCAGTTCCACCAGGCCTAATCGCCACACACCAGCAAAGGCAGGCTATGCTATAGTACAAGCCACTAGCCCGCCTCTTAGAACCTCTCATTTCCTTTCCATTGTGGAAATCTATCCTCAAAGAAATAACTTCTCAGTGTTCCATCTGCTATTCTACTACTCCTCATGGATTATTCAGGCCCCCTCCCTTCCCTACACATCAAGCTCAAGGATTTGCCCCAACCCAGGACTGGCAAATTAGCTTTACTCAACATGCCCCGAGTAAGATAACTAAAATACCTCTTAGTCTAGGTAGACACTTTCACCGGATAAGTAGAGTCCTTTCCTACAGGGTCTGAGAAGGCCACTGCAGTCATTTCTTCCCTTCTGTCAGACATAATTCTTCAGTTTAGCCTTGTCATTCCCTTCTGTCAGACATAATTCCTCAGTTTAGCCTTCCCACCTCTATACAGTCTGATAACAGACCAGCCTTTATTAGTCGAATCAGCCAAGCATTTTTTCAGGCTCTTAGTATTCAGTGACAGACTAATGGTCTATTAAAAACACACCTCACCAAGCTCAGCCACCAACTTAAAAAGGACTGGACAATACTTTTACCACTTTCGCTTCTCAGAATTCAGGCCTGTCCTCAGAATGCAACAAGATACAGCCCATTTGAGCTCCTGTATAGACACTCCTTTTTATTAGGCCCCAGTCTCATTCCAGACACCAGACAACTTAGACTGTGTCCCCAAAAACTTGTCATCCCTACTCTCTTCTGTCTAGTCATACTCCTATTCACCATTCTCAACTACTCATACATGCCCTGCTCTTGTTTACACTGCCAGTTTACACTGTTTCTCCAAGCCATCACAGCTGATATCTCCTGGTACTATCCCCAAACTGCCACTCTTAACTCTTAAAGTAAATAAATAATCTTTGTTGGCAAGGCTATGCTGAACCTCCTTAGGCACTCTCTAATCAGATGTCCTGGGTCCTCCCAATTCTTCGTCCTTTAATACCTGTTTTTCTCCTTCTCTTACTCCGTTTAGTTCTTCAATTCATACAAAACTGTATCCAGGCCATCACCAATAATTCTAAATGACAAATGTTTCTTCTAACAACCCCACAATATCACCCCTTACCACAAAATCTTCCTTCAGCTTAATCTCTCCCACTCTAGGTTCCCACGCCGCCCCAATCCCGCTCGAAGCAGCCCTGAGAAACATCGCCCATTATCTCTCCATACCATCCCCCAAAATTTTCGCCGTCCCAACACTTTACCACTATTTCATTTTTCTTATTAATATAAGAAGACAGGAATGTCAGGCCTCTGAGCCCAAGCTCAGCCATCATATCCCCTGTGACCTGCACGTACACATCCAGATGGCCGGTTCCTGCCTTAACTGATGACATTCCACCACAAAAGAAATGAAAATGGCCTGTTCCTGCCTTAACTGATGACATTGTCTTGTGAAATTCCTTCTCCTGGCTCATCCTGGCTCAAAAGCTCCCCTACTGAGCACCTTGTGACCCCCAATCTGTCCGTCAGAGAACAACCCCCCTTTGACTGTAATTTTCCATTACCTACCCAAATCCTATAAAACAGCCCCACCCCTATCTCCCTTCGCTGACTCTCTTTTCAGACTCAGCCCGCCTGCACCCAGGTGAAATAAACAGCCATGTTGCTCACAAAAAGCCTGTTTGGTGGTCTCTTCACACAGACGCGCATGAAACCGACCTTGCCCTTCTGTCCCCCTCCCTCCTTTGTGCCTGTGGATCCATCTCTACTACCATATTTACCACGTAATATTGTAATAGTTTATGTACCTGCATGTCTGTACCTGTTCCCCCACCCCCTCCACATACATCCCACCTGTATACAAAGCCACCAGACAGGAAATTCGGGAGGAAATTTGGGACCCTCATATGATCTCTGCACCACCAAAGTCAAGCCCAGCGCCGGGCACGGGCTCGGTAGATGTTGAATGGACAGAGTCATTTTGAATTTGTCCTTCCCCTTCCTGAGTAATGTTTGGTATCTCATACCCTCTGGGTGTGGATGAATGAGAAAGGGGAGAGGGAGAGGAAGTGGGGAGGAGAGAGTTATGAAAAATGGAAGCTGGAGACCACACCTGGTACCTCTCTGCTTCCTAGGGCAGATTGTTTCAATATGGGATGCCTCTGTTTATAGATGTTCAATAGCTGTAAATGGCTTGTGCATAAGAAACCTCCCATTCCACCCTTACTCATCTCCCACAGACCCTGGGTCAGGAAATTAGAAAGACAAAAAGCAGCCAGGTGACTTGCTTAGAGGAAATGAAAAGGAATTCATGCTGATTGCGGCTCAGGTGCTCCGGCTGCCTCATTACTAGGTCATATTATCCCCACGTAAGGTGAGTCAGTGGTCCCAAAGTTCAAATAAATTGCCCACGTTCACACTGCTGGCTGAGGTGAAATCTGACCCGAGGACCCCTGGTCCTTGTTGAGGCCCCTGCTCTTTCTCTACTGCACACCTCAGAAGAGTGTGGAGAAAGATCCAGAGGGAGTCTGGGATGGCCCCATGAGGAAGTGAGATGAGGGAGCTGAAGGTGCAGGTGCACTCAGGAGCACTGCCAATGACCAGGCTCCATCTGTACCAGGCAGAAGGGTCTCAGTGTAAAAAAAAAAAAAAATTAATCGATGACACTTAATAGAGCACAGTAAGACTTTCTTTGGTAGAGGAACTACGGCAATGGGGTTTTGCAGTTGGGGAGAGAGATTGGGCTCAGCTCTGAATACATCATGGGAAAGTAAGAGTTTACGGCCAGGGAGCAGGTGGGGTCAGTGGATAGAAAAAGACTAAGAGGAACTATCAGGAGTGAGAGGATTCTGGCTAAACCCACCTAAAAGATTTTTGCTGAAGGCAGACCAGGGCGATCAGACCTCACCTAGGGGAGGGCAGAGGGTGCAGAAGCTGAGCAGATATCAAGGGTGTTCAGATATCAAGGGTGGGGTGGGAGTTCTTGCTAAAACTGGGCTTTACAAGAAAATGCACAGATGGACCTAGGAGAAGGTCCAGGAGCCTGGTGAAGGTTTGATCAAGCAAATAATCTTTGTCATTAGATACAAATTAGACAGGTCAAGAGGTGGGAGAGGGCGATGCCTGGAGAAGGTTATGTTGAGCCTGGGGAGTAGTAGGGGTCTCTGTAGGTAGGCTCTGCCTCGTGTTTGTCTGTGGTTACCTTCCCTGCAAAGAGTCCCTGAGCCCAAGAAGATGGGCCAGGAGGTGAAGCCGTCAGGGCCCTTTATCCTGAAGAGACCACCAAGGAAGGGCAGATGGGAACCAGTGACAAACCTCTGAAGGGTCCCTGAAGCCAGAGCTCCAAAGCCCTTGTAAGGGAGAGGGTTGCTCTGCTGGTGTGTGTGTGTGTGCGCGTGCGCACGTGTGTGAAGTTGGAGGTTGTCTGACTCTCAGGAGTGTAAATCGACCCCTGTTGAGTGTGGTTCTCTGGGCTGTTGTCCCTGACGTCACCGACAGTGCCATCTGCAGTAAATCTCCCTCCACCTCAGCTGGCTCCTGCCCCATATGACCATTTGGGTCATGTCCCCCAACCCCACAGGGGCCCCTGCCAGACCAGCTGTCAGGCAAGGCAATTAACTCGTTTTACCAGACGACTCATGAGAAAATATCTCTGATTTGTGGGAACATGATAGATCTGGGAGCTGGCAAATGGCCACAGGGCAGGGACAGCCACCTGAACACAGAGTGCCAGCTCCCTCCCATCTCTGGTTTTGTTCAGCAGCAATTCCCACCTAGAGGCTCAAGCTGAGCTCTAGCTGCTCTCCCCAGCCTCCACCAGGATGACCCCGGCACCATGGGCCCTGACAGAAAGACCTGGAGCCAGGTCTTCGCAGGTGGGACTCAGGGACTGAGATCAGAATGAAGCAGAGGCCCTGCCCGTGACTTGCCTCCTGAGATCGTGTTGACATTGTCCTGCACTTGCACTCCACAGCGAGTTGGCCCTTCGTGAGATCGTGGTGTGTGTAGAATCTTCAGAGATTATGAACTGCCTTGTTCAACCATAATTTACAGGCTGGGGAAATATTATTTGAATTATATGTGGCTTCTTCACTCATTAGTTCAGTCAACATTTGCTAGCACCTGCTCTGGGCTAAGCCTTGTGGTAGGTCGTGGAGACTCAAAGAGGTATAAGACATGGTATATAAGACTCCCCTGGAGGGAGGGGTTCACAGACAACTGGAGGAGAGAAAGTTGTAAACAAGCAACCCACGATGTAAGGCAGGAAGTGCCATTATAGAGAAAGGGGCCTGAGGAGGTGGCAGAAAAGAGGCGGGAGGGCGTGACTACCTGGGACTCTGAGCAGACTCAGCAGGGAGGCAACACCTGGGTTCTTGATGATGAGCAGCCGGGCCCTTCTCAGTGGAGGGAACAGTCTGTGCAAAGGCCAGAGATTGTGAGGGGGAGAAGGAGTCTTAGGAAGACATCACGGTAGGTGACGGAAAGAGGAGTGTCAAGAGTGGGCCTGTGACCCATTAGGAGAAGCCAACAAGTTTGGTCTTTTTCACATAGACAATGGAGAGCCAATAGAGGATTTAACTGGGGAGCTGCTCACTTGGCAAATATAGCATGGGAACAGGGCTCATCTGCTAGACAAGAGTTCCAGTGGGGAGGTCATGTGGTCAGTGCCTGGAGACGCTGTGAGATTTAGGTGGAGAAACCTTTATGATGAGGCTGCAGACCAACTGTACTGCCCACCTTGCTAATCAACTCTGCAGGCCAGTAGGAAAGTGTATGTCCGGGTGCAGTGGCTCACGTCTGTAATCCCAGCACTTTGGAAGGCCGAGGCGGGCAGATTACGAGGTCAGGAGATCGAGACCATCCTGGCCCACATGGTGAAACCCTGTCTCTACTAAAAATACAAAAATTAGCCGGGTGTGGTGGTGTGCACCTGTAATCCCAGGAGAATCTCTTGAACCTGGGAGACAGAGGTTGCAGTGAGCTGAGATCATGCCACTGCACTGCAGCCTGGTGACAGAGTGAGACTCCACCTCAAAAAAAAAAAAAAAAAAATAGATAAAGTATGGACGACTCAACAAACTTCAGTCCCTACAGCTGGTTGGAAGGGCAGTGTCGAAAGTACATCTTGTCCCATTAAGGGTGGCACATAATCATTAACAGTAGATCATGCTCAAGCCAATATATAAACGTGGACATAAACTCATGGAAGTTTAGAGCAGAAAGGTTCTTATACCATCTTTTCATTAAGTTTTATTTTTCCATTGAGTTCTGAGACTAATAATCCTCCTCCTTTCCCCCTTTTCTAATGATCAAGGACCTTCTTTTATTTTAAAGATGGGAAAATTGAGATCCTGAAAATGTACACGAATTGCTCCGGGTCCCACTTGTGGCCAACAGCAGCGTTAGAACTCCCGAAGGCACACGTGGGGCTGTGACTCTCTGATTATGAAAGGACACCATTGCAAAGTACCTATAAGTGGGGATAGACTGATACAATTGCTTAGGAAACTTATGGAGGAAAACACACACACTCTCTTCTTCTTCTTGAATTATCTTGATCCCCAGACCAGAGGTTATTGATTTGCCAGCCATGTTTTCTCAGTTTCTGCAAGATTGGCCTTCATATCCTGGGAAGAGATAACAGGACAGTGAGAGGAGTGGAGAAAACACCTCCCTTCTTTCATTGCTGCCTGTTCCATTCAGGGAGCCCCTGTGACTCCAAAAGTGGCCTTTCTCCTCTGAGCATCTTAACAGAGGTTTCAGTAGAGGGTACTATACTAAATAATGCAGCCCTCCTTCTTTCTTCCATGCCAGAGAAGTTTACAAAACAAGGAGGAAGACTTCTACACCTCACAGCCAGGATTCCCTGCTCTGGCTCTCGGCTGCTGCCTCAGGGTGAATCTGTTGCTAGGTCATCGTGGCATCTCTGCAGGTATGTATTTTACATGTAACTCACTAGGAAGGATGAATTCAAAATTTTCTCTTTCACTCCTATCTAGAGCTGCTATATTTAGCAATAAAAACCCAGGAGGTCTAGTTAAATTTGAACTTAAGATAAACAATGAATGCTTTGCTAGTATGAGTATGTCCTAAATATTGTATCATTTGGTGTTTATCTGAAACTTAAATTTAACTGGACATGCTGGTATTTAATGTGACAACTATACTCCTACCATAAGCAAAATGGCCCGTATGCATTTTCTCTGCCCAGAGAGCAATTGCTTACACTTGTTTTTGCTACGATGCTCTGCTTGGAACTTGTTAAAATAGTTGGTCAAAATATGCATGTGCCTCGGGAATTCAAATGCCTGCATTTCTAGAATAGTGTGAGAAATGGAATCCAAATAGCAACACTTCTGATGATGAGTCACCAGCAGTGTATATTTGCCTGCTGCCAGTTCCTTCTTTGACTGGACTGAAAGGTCAGATAAGTGAAAAACAATAGCCAGCCACCGACTTCTACCGGAGCCCAGGCCATTAAGCACCTTTGATTTTCAATGGGCTGTTTTGGTGTTGGTAACCATTATGGTTAATGTGTAATTAGACCATGGAAAACACCTGCTTGAAGCCAGGGCTTGTCCCTGCTCTTTAAACCATATCTTTACTGATTGAACTATTAATAATTTGCTCATACCCGAGAGAAGGGTCGTCCCTTCCCAACCTCAGTCATTTAGAACTAATGTAACCCTTTAAAAGTTACAGAATAAAATTCACACACAGTGAAGGAAAGAAATCGTCTATGGACATGACCCAAGAGCATGGCAAAAGAGTTTCTGGCATGCCCCAAACGCTAATCGAGGTGGCTGGGTAATGTCCTGGTGGAGGAAAGAAGTTGTAACTAAGGCTGACACGTCTTCGGTAGAATTGCATGGTCTCTGGAGAATAGGAGAGTTTGCCAGTGGGGATGGTCAGCTTGGAGTCTTGAGATAGGAAACTCACAGAACAAGAATTCGGTAGTGTTTTTCCAGGGCCTTCCAAGGGAGAGAGGCTGGAATCTGCCAGAAATGTTTTAGGACATTGGAAAAGTTGTCACTGATGGAGAAAGGGTAGTTCATGAGACCTCAGCACAGGTCCGGGTGACAGGCCCTCTACCCGCCACCAACCTCCTTTTCCTTACCCTTTATTTCAGCTCAAGAAGTGATGTTCTTTTTATAATATGGCTTCCCTTTTCAATTTGTTTTTGGGGTTACCAGCACTGACTGTGTTGCATAACCTACCTTCCTTCCTTCTCTCTCTCCTTTCTTCCTTGCTTCCTTCCTTCTCCCCTTCCCTCCTTCCTTCCTTTTTCTTTTATTCTTCTTCCTTCCCCCACTTCTTGTTCTTTTTCCTCTTCTTGTTGCTGTTCTTGTCCTTCTTGTGATCTAATTCTTAGAATACATTTGTCAAGTGGAGTTAATTGTGGTTTGTATAAGAGCCTCTTGTGACTTGGGTTGTATGAGCTGGTTCTCTCTAAGGCTGGATAACTCTCAGAGCACTGGCAAAATCAAGTCCCTGGGCTTGGCATGCTGGAGGGCAGGTCCTGGAACACAGCAGCCACACCTAGGCCTTCTGCCTGGCCTGGCAACAGCTCTGTACTCTCTTGAACTTAGTCAAGAGAACACATGATATGCAGTTTTGTGTTTTATAACCAATCCTGTTTCGTTCCACTTTATGTGAACTTATCGAATTACACAAATCTCTTCTGGAGTGAAAGGAGGTATAAACAAGCAAACAAATACATCAGTGAATACTAGGCATCCACTGGTGGATCATACCCAGTTAAATATACCCAGTGTCCCTATTGCTGATGAATCCGGGACCCCAGCACCACAGATTCGGCACTTCAATTTGCCTGCTGGACATTCCGTTCTCTCAGCCATCTGAAAAATGGGCCCCAGAGCCTTTACATTAAATAGCTATTCACTGCCAGGCTTTTCTTGGCAAGATGCCAATTGGCCAAACTTCCTGTGTGGCTGTGGAAAAGGGGAGTAGCTGTTTTGCAATTGCAAGTGCATATAGAGCAGGTATACCTTTGTAATCACCTTATACATCGTATATGATCTGTGAGGAAGCTGTGCACAAAGGCGGGGGTTCTTACCACAGGGAAGACTGGCTGGCACATCCAATGCCATCACTGCACCGTTCTGGAGATTGTGTTTGCCATGTGGATGCCGAACCAAAAGGAATGTCTGTGGCGATATCTCCAGTTTCCCTCCTTTTGGTTGTATTTTTAGGTCTTATTGCCCAGGAGGCTGACTTTAATAATGTAAGAAGGAGGCGATGAATTTAAGGCTTATTCATCCATTCATGAAATAAATATTAACCAAGTACCTGCTATGTGCCCAGCACTATGACCCCTTTTAGCCTAACAGGAGCAAATGTGAGAAGCAAACATCTTGTTTAGCTGGTTCAGGGGTGACCAACATGTGGTTTGGTAGCCTGGACTGATATCTTGTTAGGTATATTAGAACTGCACATCACCATGAGGTCCTGAAGTTGGGAGTGGAGCCGATGCTAGGACAAAGCTGGGAGGGCAGGACAGGAGAGATGTCCAGACCTAGGCAAGGATCCAGGATGCTCCCCAACATCCAAATCCAAGGCCCCATGCAGAGTACTTGACTCTTATTATCTACATCACATGGTTTGAGCCAGGAAAATAGCTGGCAAGGTAAGTGGTTAAAATACTGGGTATGGTGTCAGGAGCTAGAAAAGCTGTAAGAATGAGAGGGGAAGTGTCAGATAAAACTGCCAGGATGACACAAGAGAAACATCTCTCCATCCATCCATCCATCCATCCATCTATCCATCCATCCATCCATTCATCCATTCACCCACCCATCCATCCACCCATCCATCCATCCATCGATCCATCCATCATTCCATCTACCCACTCATCCATCCACCTATCCACCTGTCTGTCCATCCATCCATCCATCCACCCACCCACCCACCCACCCACTCATCTTTCCATCCATCCACCCATTCATCTATCCATCCACTCATCCATGCATCCACCCATCCATCCATTCATCCATCCAACAATCCATCCATCCATCCATCCACCAATCCATCCATTCATCTATCCATCCATCCATCCATCCATCCATCCTTCCATCCGCCCATCCATCCATCCATCCATCCATCCACTCATGCATCCATCCATCCATCCATCCATCCATCCATCCATCCATTCACCCACCCGTCCATCCATCCATCCATCCACCCACCCACCCACTCACCCATCCACTTATCCATCCACCCATCCACCCATCCACCCACCCATCCACTCACCCATCCACCTATCCATCCACCCATCCATCCATCCACCCATCCACCCACCCATCCATCCACCCACCCATTCCTCCATGTATCCATCCATCCATCCATCCATCCATCCATCCATCCATCCATCCATCCACTCATGCATCCATCCATCCATCCATTCACCCACCCGTCCATCCATCCATCCATCCACCCACCCACCCACTCACCCATCCACCTATCCATCCACCCATCCATCCATCCACCCATCCACCCACCCATCCATCCACCCACCCATTCCTCCATGTATCCATCCATCCATCCATCCATCCATCCATCCATCCATCCATCCGTCCACTCATCCATCCATCCATCCATCCATCCATCCATCCATTCATCCATTCACCCACCCATCCATCCACCCATCCATCCATCCAGCCAGCCAGCAAATATTTATCAGTATCCATTCTGTGAAATACAAAGATAAATAAAAACATACTGGTTACCCTTAAGGAGCTTAAAGCATAGTAGGGAAGAAAGGCAATTAATAATGATTATAAATACTAGTTGAGCCTTGCTATGTTCAATGCATTTTTTGTTCCAGTTCCCCAAACCCTTATTCCCATGGGGTGGCACAAAGAGGGCCAGGTGTCATCTGTACCTGCTGTGGGTTGCGTTATGGGAGAGGAGCCCTAAGCCTAGGGAACCCAGATATTTCATAATGGAGAGTAAGCCTACCTGCTCTTTACATTGAAGGGAGACACTATATCTTCTGAGGCTATTTGCTTTGCAAACATTCTTGAAAAGATTGTAACCAAAGCAGTGTCTCTGCTCAGAAGACGTGCAGAAACACAAAAGACTCTTGGAAAAATGCTTCCCAACAATGAGAGGCTTTATTTTTTAGGATGACAGTGTTTTGGAAACAGTGAGAAACAGATACTGAGAGAAGTCCCTAGCCTGGGTACCCAGAGAGCCTTTTACCTTCCTCTGGTAGGACTCAATCCTGGTGTTGGTTACCCTAGACCAGGCCAGTGAAACAGGTAAGTCCAGAAGAGGGAACAGGGGTGGCAGCATTGGATACTCTCTCTCCTACTGGTGAATCAAATGCTTTACTTTATGAAAAACATGGATTCATCCTATTAGCATGTTGGAGCAAGTATCTAAATAGAAAAATAGTCCACCCTGGGGAGGCATGTGGGGTAGAGCAGGGTATATTGTCTACATTTCAATGTGATGATCTCAGGGAAGCAAGGACATTAAAATCTGTTGAGGATCTATAATGTACCCGGTGGTGCAATCATTTCTACAAACTTCATTTCATTTAATCTCATAGGAACTTTTTTTTGTTGTGGCAAAATACACATAACATAAAATTTACCATTGAAATCATATTAAAGTGTACAATTCAGTGGCATTAAGTCCATTCATGAGGTTGTGCAACCATCACCATGATCTTGTGTGAGAACATTTTCATCACCCCAAACCAGAAACCCTGTACCCATGAAGCAGGTACTCCACATTCCTCCTGCCCCAGCCCTGGAAACCATTCATCTGTTTCTGTCTCTGTGGCTTTGTCTGTTCTGAATAGTCACCATCATCTTTGATAGAGATCCTGTTATTCCCAGTTTACAGATGAGGAAGCTGCAGCTCGGAGGAGCTCACCTCCTGTCCAAGCTTGCAGAGGTGGCAGGGGGTGGATGTGATGGGTCTGTATGAGCTCCCTAGGTGGACGAGGAAGGTCAGTCAGTCTTGTTGCCCTCACGTCACCTTCAGGAGCACACCCACTGTTACTGTGTTCAGGGAAGAGGAGAGGAAGTAGGACTCCTACCCACCGGGCATGAATCAGAGGGAGGCAGGAAGGAGAGGGGCTCCAGGTGGAGAGAGGGTCCAGGCTGTGGGTAGCAGAGGCTGGTCAGCAGCAGGGTCAGGCCCCACGGTGGTGAGAGGCTCTCTCTTGCTAGAGTGGTGCCTGGGGCAGGGCAGCACTGCTGCAGCGGGAGCTTCTAGTGCAGCGGGCTTTGGCCCACATGCCCCCATTTAACAGCTTTGTTTACTTGGGTGGGTCCCCCAAGCAGACGCTCTGGGAAGGCAGCCAGTTCAGGTTTCTTTTTCTTCAGGGAAACCAGACCTGTCTTTGGCTGAAAGTCTCTCTGGTGTGCTGCCAACACCTCCAGGCTGTCTGGGGGGCTGAGTGCCTGAGTGAGAGTTGATGAATGGCCTCAGGTCAGAGACATCTGCCAACGAGTGAGCTGAGGGAGCCTTTTGTTCATTTCCTGGGAACCTGCGGGAAGTTGGGGCAGGGCGCTGCCCACCCAGTGCAGGCTGGGCCCTCAACATTCCCTTCTCCATGAGCCTCACAGGGTCACTTTCTGGGCCTTTACTCAAGCTGCTGGAACTCAGGGAGCCCCTTTACTTGCTTGGGGGTGCATGGTAGGTGTTTGGGGGTGTTCCTTCACAGATTCTTAAAACTCAAGAGGCTCACAGTCTCTCCTCTGTGGAATGTGGGCCTCCTCCTACCCTCAATCTACCTGGGAAGCAGAGTGGGGAGGAAAATGTGGGCCCGTCCCGGGTGTCCTAACTCATCCTCTGTAGAGGGACCCTCCTCCTTGAGTATCTCTCTCACCCAGGGTGTGGCATCCCTTGGTCCCGAGGGTCCTCAGAGGGTTAAAGCGTTGAACAAAAAGAGCCCTTCCAGATGGGCTGTGCCGTAGCAGCTGTCGTGAAGGGCCCCGCCAGCCCCCGTGGGCCTCTGGACACAATCATGACTGTATCTGGCTGTGTCTGACTCCAATCAGATGAGCTTCGACGTGAGGCATGTGGCTTCCTTCCGGCAATGAACTGTCTGGGGTGAATGTGACCCCCACAGATGTCTGTCTGCCTGCCTCCCTCTCACCTGGCATCTCTGGAAGGAATTTCTAATAGCAGCCTGACCCCATGGGTGAGTGTGCTCCTGGGGGTCAGGACGGTGATCTTACAGAACCTAATGAGGGGGCAGGTGGGCACGGGAAACAGCTGGATGCCTGCAAAGATGATCCTGGGATGAGTACCCTATTCTCACTTGGCATAGCAGGCACAGAGGCAGAGCAGCCCTGGTTCACCCAACCCTGCCACAGGCAGCCATGTAAACTTGAATAAATAAATCCCTTTGCCTCAATGAGCCCTTTCTCATCTGTAAAAGGGGATAATATGTTGCTGAGTTGCCGTGGGTCTTAAATGAGAGAATGCATGTGAAATACCTGGAAAATACATAAGAAATATAAGTAGTTATTCCAGAATAACTAATAATAATACTAAATAATATTGACCTTTCCATCCGACACCAGCTTATTCTGAAAGAATAAACAGGTTTACTCAGGGCGCAGTACCTCTGGGCGAGTCCTGAGCCTGTCCCAGCCTTTCCTGGGCCGTTTCTCTGATGTGTCCCCTGGTCTGGCCTCTGTTTGACTCAGCAGGGGACACTGCACTCTGTGTTTCTGACTCCCAGACCTCTCTCTGGGAAGAAGCCCCTCAAGCGTACAGCTCTATCACTAAAGGCTGCAAGCTGCGTTTCCGATTTCTGAGCGAGCACAGCTGGCATCTGCTCTCCTTCTTGAGCCTGTTGGACTCCTCACCCTCTCTACTTAGCTACTTTTGCTTACAATGCTTGAGCATGGACATCTAATCCTTACTGTCTTGTGGCTCAGGAGGCAGAGTAGTAGCATGGTGCTACTAGTGTGCTTTGGACCTAGATGGATGGTTTGGGTTCAAGTGCTGGCTCCATCATCAGCTCACTCCACTGGTGACATGGGGCAAGTGTCTTCACCTCTCTGCCTTAATTTCACCCTTTCTGAGTTGTGGACATGATCATCTTTCCTATCTACTTCAGGGCTATGGGGAAGATGAGATGAGCTATAGACACACAGGACTCAGAACAGAGCAGGGAAGAGGGGAAGAGATTCATGGCTTTTAATTGTTAGCAAGACCTTAAATCCTATGGGTCTGCCTAGAAACCATCTGGGCTCTGGGCAAAGCCTGGGAGAGGGGGTAGACAGCTGTTCTAGTTCCTAGATATGAGAGCTAGAGCTAGGGTGACGGTAGGAGGGAGGAAGAAAATGAACATTTCTCGATGCCTGTTGGGTGTCAGCCTCCTAGGTGTTTGCCCTGTGTTTATTCCCTTCCCTTGGTGAGAACCCTCAAAGGATGGGGCAAAGGATGTGTTTTGACTCTACGGCCAAGGAGGAAGCCGGATAAGGCAGCTGAGACACCTTGCCCAGTCTCAGTTAGCACATCATGAGTCAGGGTTCAATACCAGGTGTGTCTAAAAAGCCCATTCTTCCCTCATTACCATTCACCTCTCCCTATTGGCTGAAACTGTCAGTTCTGAAACAGAAGGGGGACTGTTATTCCAGACCTATTCACTGTCTCCTTGTTTGGACATATTTTAAGAGCCGCCCTAAGCGATTATGTGACAACTTATAAAAACTAAATACAAGTTCCTCATCGCAAACGTTCCAAACTGCCCTGGCAGCTTTCAGGTCAACTTATTAACCTGCTGAGGGTGGTTCTGCCAGCAATCTGTCCCTCTGTTGACCTGGGGACTTGATTGCACATGTCTGTCATTTATGGCCACAACAAAGTTAGAAAGACTCGTGGCTGGCTCTATGACATTTGTCATTTAACATTAACTTGAGTTTTCATTAAAAAGTGTTCCTTTCACCAGAAAAAAAATGAAGACCGCTCTCCTTCATATTAAAAGCCATCTCGAACCTTCTTATGTTTTCTGGGACTTAGACATCTTCAAAAACAATGAATACTGCCATTTTCATGAATAGCAGTTCCCCAGGCTTGGGTAGACAAAAGCCTCCAGTAACTGAGGCTGTAGAAATGGAAGCTTGGAAGACAGGGAGCTGGCCCATGTGGTAAGTGGGAGATACTTCGGCTATGGAAATCCCAGGAGACGTGCAGCATGGGGCAGTCCAGGAAGGCAGCCCAAGTCAGCTCATCCCCGAGACATGAAGAGAGGAGTTAGGCGGCTGACACCGCAGTTATCAAGAGCAAGCTGCTCCTGTGAGTGGGGAATGAAATCTGGGGGGCAGAGGGATTCAGAGGAAGGTGGAGACTCAGACCCCTCCCTGGGGAGCTCTCTGGAGTAGGGCTGATGTCAGAGAATGGCACTGGAAAGAAAGCCTCTGTGTTTGGTTCCACCGGGTCAGGGGCGCTTCTTCTGGAGGAAGGCAGAGGAAGGCGAAAGCAACCTCTTATTGAAATGCGGAAACCTCCCCACGTGCTCATCAATTACCAGGCCAAAGTAGGTGGAAATAGCTCCCCTCGCCTTCCCTCTGCAAACCGTCATTCCCACCCTTCCTTCCTGGTCTGTGGACTGTCATCTCCAGACAAAAGAAGACGCAGCTAAGCGCAGCCCCTTCACACACCCAGGACACAACAGAGTGGGTGGCAAAAAAAGACGTGGCTCGGGGAGGGAGGGAGGAGAGGCAGCTGGCTGCCTCTGAGGCCACAGACAGAGGCCAGTGCTCCGTCCTCATCCTAGAATGCTGCAGCTGGGAAGGACCCCAGGGCCTAGTTGCACTCATCTGCCGGGGAACCAAGATCCAGAGGAGGAGATGTGAGCATACAGCCTAACGTAGGCTGAGCTGCACAATTTGTTCATTCAGCAGTGGAGCCAGTGTCTCTTGGAGCAAAGGTGGGAGCTAACCCTTGAGCAAATTTTCTTGGATCTTCTGCAGATATTTGCTTCTGAGGGAGGCAATTTTGGTGGCCTGGCTGAAATTGGCTTACAGTGCAAGAGAAATACCTCCTTTGGCTAAAACTACTTTTCTTTTCTTTCTTTTTTCATTTTTTTTTTTTGAGACAGAGTATCGCTCTGTCTCCCAGTCTGGAGTGCAATGGCACAATCTTGGCTCACTGCAACCTCCACCTCCAGGTATAAGTAATTCTCATGTGAAACACCCCTGAGTAGCTGGGATTATAGGTGCCTGCCACCACATCCAGCTAATTTTTGTATTTTTAGTAGAGACGGAGTTTCACCATGTTGGCCAGGCTGGTCTTGAACTCCTGGCCTCGAGGGATCCACTGGCCTTGGCCTCCCAAAGTGCTGAGATTACAGGCATGAGCCACCACGCCCGGCCTGAAACTACTTTCCTTTAGGTATATAAGGAAACACCAACTAAACCTCTACCAACAGACAAATCCATGAGTGGATGTGGTCGGTGGTGACTGTCCCAGCTCTTCCACTTAGGCTGTGCTCCCCGCATGTTCTGAGCAGGTTACATTGCGTCCTGACCACAGCTCAGTGCCGCAGGCATTGCTATCACTCCCCGTGCCAGTCAGGGCCCTTCAAGAGCAGATGCCAAGATGGGGTTAGATGTCCCCGAGATGTATCGGGCAGGAAGTCCATGAAGGTAAAAGCGGAGGGTCGGTGTGGGTCTGGCATCTGTAGAAGGAGAGACTGGGTAGAAAGAGCCACAGACAGCACTGCGGGGAACTACCCTCCACGAAGCAAGTTGCTTGTTGGAGGACTCGGTGTCCAGCAGGAGTGGCCTGGAACTAAAGCCCCCTGGTGGCCAGTCCCTTTCTGGGCACAGCCTGGGGGATTTGGTGGCCAGGCCCCTGCAGCAGCCATCCCAGCTCCCCTCCCTGGGGTGGAGTGGGGTGACCATAGGAACATCGTCACCCCTACTCTGAACGCTTACTCAAGACAAGGTCAGGCAGGTTCTCTTGAAGGAGGTCCGAACAGCATTTCTGTGGCTTACAGATTAGGAAACTGAGGCAGAGAGGTCCAAGTGTTTTGGTGGCTGCTGTTGTGAGGAGGCATACATGAGCCTTTGAAAGATTCTGAGATCATGGAACAAAAGGTTTTTGTCTCTTAGATCCAGATTTCAAATAATTCACAGTCTTTTCATTGTTGATGTGGCCTGGTTAATGTCACTACTCATTCTGATTGTCAACTTTCATTCCTGAAAGGCTGCTGGGTGACAGCAGGAATGCCTCTGCACTGTTGGCCCTGTGGGCATTGGATAAGCCTGGGTGCTGGGGCAGGCGCCAGGCCAGGTCCTGGGTGGCCTCTGTAGTGAAATGCAGCCCTGGTTACCTCCAGCCTCCATCTCTCCTGGGGAGATTAACATTATTGAATCTCTACAACATCCTAGAACACCCTAGACAGGAGGTCTTTTTTTTTTTTTTTTTTTTTTTTGAGACAGGGTCTCACTCTGTCATCCAGGCTGGAATGCAGTGGCAAAATCATGGCTCACTGCGGCCTTGAACCCCCGGGATCAAGCAATCCTCCAGCCTCAGCCTCCCAGGTAGCTGGATCAGCAGATGCGCACCACCGTGATCAGCTAATTTTCTTCATTTTTTTTGTAGAGTTGAGGTCTCACTAAGTTGCCCAGGCTGGTCTGGAACTCCTGGACTCGAGCAATCCCCCCGCCTTGGCCTCCCAAAGTGCTGGGCTTACAGACATGAGCCACCGTGTCCAGCTGACAGGAGGTCTTAACATCCTTGTTTTTCGGACGAGGAAACTGAGGCGTGGAGAGGTGGAGACTTACACAAGATCATAGAGCGAATAGAGGGCAGAGCTGGAGTCTGAAGTCAGTCTGACCGACCATGAAACTCACATGTCATCCTGACACCATTCCAATCCTGTGAGGTAAGGATTATCATCCCTGTTTCATAGATGAGGAGACAGGGGCTCAGAGAGGGGGACTTATGTTCTTGAGGTCACACAGCATGTCCATCGCAGCAGTGGGGCTGGAGCCCAGCTTCTCAGACTCCAAGGGCCCCAGGAAAACCTTTCATCCTGTTTCAGCCAAGCGACTGCACTCAGAGGAAGGCACAGGCCCTGGGATGACGGGAACCTTTTGTTCTCTGGTCCCTGATTCCTGACCCCAGTCCCCACCTCCAGCTCTGTGGAGCTGGCAGACGGAGGAACAAGGAGGGACATCCTGCCTTTCCTGCCCCTTTGTTCCATGGTCTGGGGCCCTGACTCTGCAATACCAGGGTGATCACTGAATCAAGAATTAGGAGGCTGGTCCACGTCTTTGTGTCACTCTCCTGACCTTGGGTCACTGATTTGTAAAGTGCGGAGGTGAGGATGCAGCGAGGGGAAGGCTTTGGCACCAGCTTGGGGTTGTAGAACCACATGGGGCAATGCGAGTATTATTATCTTTGTGTTGTCTTCCTCCTGCCCCATGGCCTGGCCTCAATGCATCTGCTTGTCTGCAGCCCCAACCAGCGTGGAAAGCCACCTGGCAGGCCGCTTCGGACCTGCAGTGGGCCCCCACCCCCCATGCCCCCCCATCCCCTCCGGTGGCTGGTCTGGCCTGATGGAGCATATTTCTCACAGCTCTCTTGCTCTCCAGCCCTCCCCTCACCGAGCACTCTGCCCCCACCCTGCTTAGGGGAGAGTCTGTGACCCCCAGAGCAGGCTTCTGTGCTTCATCCCCCAGGGGAAGATTCCAGAGCAGACAACTCAGCTGCCTTTGTGACTGAAACCGAGAGTAAATGAAGGAATATTTATGAAGTCTCTGCAACTTGCCAGGTGCTTTCACTATGCAACCCTCCCTGCAGCAGTCCCGAGAATGTGATCCTGAGTTTACTTCTGATGAAAGCAAGGCTCAGAGGGGCCACCTGCCTAAGGGCGTGCAGCTGGAATGCGGGGAGCCAGGACTCAAGCTCTGGTCTGTCTCATTCACTTGGAAGCCAGGCCCCTTTCCTCCCTCCCGCTCTGCGTGCAGGAGCTCCGTGGTGGGGCAGCTGCCCCGAGGGAAGGTCCTTCTGACCGCCAGTGTCTGTGGCTGGCTGTCCAGGAAGCAGAGCCAGGACTGGCAGCTTGGGCTCCGAGGACTGCCTCTTCCTCTTGGCTGCCAGGGAGTTTCCAATCATCAGAAGAAACAGACTCTGGGAACAGCTCTGCCACTTGTCCCAGCCCTGCCCCAGCCTCTGAGCAACTGGAGCCCAGATGCCCTGGCCCACCCTAAGCTATCCATAAGCACAGGTGGGCCTGAAGGAGGCTCCCTGCTGGGCGTGGGCGAGGGTCTTGGCCTTCTAGGTGGGACCCTGCCTGCCAGGGGACAGCCTCTTAGGTGGGTGGGAAAGAGCTCTGTACTTGGGGTCACAAATGTGGCTTCTGGCCCTGCTCCACCAAGGGCCAGTGCGTGATTTTAAATAGATCTCTTCGCCTCTCTGAGCCTTAGTTTCTTGGTCTATAAAAAAATGGGACCCTAACCTCTCCTCACTGCGGTGTGGGAGGGAAAATGAGTCAAGGCAAGAAAGTGCTGGAAACTGAAAGCCCTGGGCAGGACCTGCTCCATAATTTGCCAAGTTCAGGGCAAAAATGAAAAGGTGGGGCCGGGCGCCCTGGCTCACACCTGTAATCCCAGCACTTTGGGAGACTGAGGAAGGCAGATCACTTGAGGTCAGGAATTTGAGACTAGCTTGGCCAACATGGGGAAACCCTGTCTGTACAAAAAATACAAAAAATTAGCCAAGCGTGCTGGCGCGCCTGTAGTCCCAGCTTTGCAAGAGGCTGAGGTGGGAGGATGGCTTGAGCCTGGGAGGTGGAGGCTGCAATGAGCTATGACCGCGCCACTGTACTCCAGCCTGGGCGACAGAGCGAGACCCGTTCAAAAATACATAACAACATAGCATAACATATAAAATAAAATGTAAATCAAAAATAAAAATGAAAAAGTGGGTCCCCTTGTTCACAAATTGTGAATTTCAAGGCCGCGGTGGCGGAGCGTTAAACCAAGCTCAGGGTCGCACGCCCTGAAGCCGGCGCTGGGCTGGAGTCCGGAACTGTGGAGGGTCCCCGCGGAGCCGCCGCTTTGGCTCCCTGGCCCGGACCTGACATCCACGCGACGGATCCCGGCGCATTCGGCGAGGCGCCGGCTCCATCTAGCGGCTGATGGCGAACAGCACCTGCCGCTCACACGCTGGTGGGCCTGGGGGCGCCTCAGACTCACACCCGCGGCTCGGTTTTCATCCCTCTCCATCGGTTACCACGTTCTCTCCATGGTCCTCCAGGGTCTCTCACTTGCTCCTGCCCTGTCATGAGTACTTTGGTCTACTCATTCGCCCACTTCCCCTGTTTTCTCGGGTGGTCCAGGAGGGCGGTGCGGTTCCTTGAAGTTCCCACGGTCCCTCGCAAGCTGTTCTCTTGCGGTCTCTGGAGGCACCCTGCCTGCAGCCCCTTTCCAGCCTGCAGCGCCATCTCACGCACCACCCCCTCGGAGCTCTTCTGTGGCTCTCTGCCACCTGCCGGGCAGGCCCGTTTCCTTCGTCCGGCATCACACCCTGCCCATCCCATCCCTCCCGCCTGTCCCACCCTGCGGCGTCCCATTTCCGCGCCAACCCGGCTATCAGCCTTCAGCGTCCCTGGCAGCCTCTGCCCCATGCACACCACTCCCCTGAGCGAGACTTCCCTTCTCCTGCCCGCGTTTCCCCCGGCCCACCTCTGACAGGAAGCCTTCCAGGATTACCAGAACCCCCAGGGTTGTCCTCCCTTTGTGTGAACAGCAGGGGGGAGGTGTCGGAGACAAAACGCCTCTGTTGGAGTGGGAGGTAGCCAGAGTAGGGGCGCGTGTAGAATGGGCTTTGGGATTGGACCAGCTGACCTGAAACCTGTCTCCATCACTTCTGAGTCGGTTTCCTTGTGGATAAAGTGGGACATCAAATGAAATAGGATTTTTTTTCTTGGTGAGAATTAAATTAGATAATTTATATTAGGCATTCAGAGTGGTGTCTGGCTCATTATGAGCACCGAATAAACGTTGCTATGGTCATTATCATTATCATTATTAAGTTCTGAACCCATTAATTACTGGCAGTGCGACCTCGGGCTGGTGGTTTTACCTTATTGAGCTCTCCCTGTCTGGAAAAAGGGGAGTTTATTTCTATTTGTATATCAGAGGGTGGTTGTGTTAGTAAATTAGGTGCTGTTCTTCGGTGCTGACAGTAGAAGTTGCTCCAGAAATGCTGTCCCTCTCTCCACCCTGCTCTGACCACCCATCAGAGTGCCCTCGCACAGTTCCTTCTTGGTTATCTAGAATCATCTAATTTTGGTACAGATTTGTTTTTTTTTTGAGACAGAGTCTCACTCTGTCACCCAGCCTGGAATGCAGTGGTGAGATCATGGCTCACGACAGCCTTGAACTCCTGGGCTCAAGCGATCCTTCTGCCTCAGCCTCCCGAGTAGCTAGGACTACAGGTGCGCTCCACCACACCCCTAATTTTCTTCATTTTTTTGTCTCACTATGTTGCATAGGCTGGTCTAGAACTCCTGGGCTCAAGTGATCCTCTCATTGTGGCCTCCCAAAATGCTGGGATTATAGGCCGTGCCCAGCCTGATACAATTGTTAAACTTCTGTGTTTCTTCAACCAAACATTAACACCCTGAAGGACATATTTTGGTTTTAATGGGTATGTTAGTCAAGGTTCTCCAGGTAAACAGAACTAACAGGATGTGTGTGTGTGTGTGTGTGTGTGTGTGTGTGTGTGTGTGTGTGTGGAGAGAGACAGATGGACAGACAGACACATCCCCAGAATCATTTATTTATTTTTATTTTTTTGAGACGGAGCCTCGCTCTGTCACCCAGGCTGGAGTGCGGTGGCGTGATCTCGGCTCACTGCAAGCTCCACCTCCCAGGTTCACGCCATTCTCCTGCCTCAGCCTCCTGAGTAGCTGGGACTACAGGCGCCCGCCACCACGCCCAGCTATTTTTTTTTTGCATTTTTAGTAGAGACGGGGTTTCACCGTGTTAGCCAGGATGGTCTTGATCTCCTGACCTCGTGATCCGCCCGCCTTGGCCTCCCAAAGTGCTGGGATTACAGGTGTGAGCCACCGTGCCCGGCCAGACTGATTTATTTTAAGGAATGGGTTTATGTGATTGTGGGGACTGGCAAGTCTAAAATCGAGACCCAGGGAAGAGTTGATGTTGCCGTCCCGAATCGCGTGGCGGTCTGGAGGCAGTGTTCTCTCTTCCTTGGGGGACTTATGTTCTCTCAGTTGAGGCCTTCAACTGATTGGATGAGGCCCACCCACATTATGGAGGATAGCTTGCTGTACTCAAAGTCTACTGATTTAAATGTTAGTCTCAGCTGAAAAATACCTCCACAGCAATGCCAAACAGACTGATGTTTGACCAAAAACTGGTTACCATGGCCTTGCCAAGTTAACACATAAAATTCGCTATTACGGTGGGCTAGCATTTACTACATAAGGACTTTATCCCCTTTATTCATTCCTCCTCTGCCCCCCTTTCACCTCCCCGCTTCCTTCTTTCCTCCTTTTACTTTCTTTCTTGACCACAGCAAGTTTAGTGTTCTCTCTTGCTCTTCTGCTTAGAATCCACATTTGTCTGTCTTTCCCCGGCTCTCCCCCAGCACTTGCCTAGTCTGTGTCATTGTGAACAGTGAGGGGCTTTGACCCTCAGGTAGAGCAGGGAGCGGGTTGGGGTGGACTGCATACTCTTCGTTCTCAAACCCCTGCCTTAAAATCCTTGTCCCCCTTTAGGCGTTCTCATGGACACCAGCTGAATATAGTTCACACTGGAGGGAAGAGTGACACAGGATTGCAGACCTCTGTTTCTCGCCTGCACTAGTCTGGATAAGGGGTCCCGACTGGGCTTTGGGATGAGGGCAGAAGGGGTAGACTGGAGTTGGCAGGCTTCCTGCTGGGAGTAGAGAGTGATGAGATGTAGCTGGAGAAGCATGGCGGGGAATAAAGTGGCCAGAAGAAACACTAGAGGGTTAGACGACGGGGCTTATTAATGGAAAGTGTCAGGTTGCAAGTTACAGAAAGTTCAACTAGAATTGCCTTTAAAAAGTGAATTTCGGCCTGGAGTGGTGGCTCACGCCTGTAATCCTAACACTCTGGGAGGCCGAGGCAGTCAGATCACCTGAGGTCAGGAGTTCGAGGCCAGCCTGGCCAACATGGCGAAATCCTGTCTGTACTAAAAATACAAAAATTAGCTGGGTGTGGTGGCATGCACCTGTAATCCTAGCTACTTGGGGGGCTGAGGCAGGAGAATTGCTTGAACCTGGGAGGCGGAGGTTGCAGTGAGCCAAGATCGCACCACTGCACTCCAGCCTGGGCAATAGAACGAGACTCTGTCTCAAGAAAAAAAAAAAAAAAAAAAGAAAAGCAAATTTCTTGATATTTATGGATACGTGCAATGAACACTAGAAGTAAATGTAACTTCATATGAAGCTTGATCTGCAGTTCAATGACATCAGCAACCCATTCTTTCATCCCTCTGCCTTGAATCACTGTGGTCTCTTTACCTACATTTCTAGCTTGGCTTCCCTGCAGATTACAGAATGGTGGCCTATAGGTCCCAGGGCTCTGTGTTTTTCATTCATGTCAGGCAGGACAATGAGCAACTTTCATTGTTCTCAGTAAAAGCCCTAACATTCCATGCTATTTGCGTGAGTTTAGGTTTTAAGCCTATTCCTAAAATTTCACTGTGGCCAGAGGCATGGGAGGTAATGATTGGCTTAGTCTTGGTCCCTATGTTTTATTCTAGAACTGGGACCTGTAGCATATCATGGGTCTTCAGGATCCTACCCGGTGGGGCTGGCTGCCTCTCGGGCTCCCCCCAGTCTTCAAGTTCTGAGCTTTGTTGGTCCCCAGTAAGGCAATGGAGCAGACTGCAGGGCTAGCTGAAGTCTGCCAGTTAGGTTGAGCCTTATTTTGATGTGGAAGGACATGCTTATTTCAGCTCCTCTAAGAAACCCATATGGCCATCTTTGCACAAGTCCTTGGCATGATTCCTTTTACAGGAGGAATAATTTGGCTCAGATTTGTGGGTTTGTTTTCATTGCTTTTTACTAATAGTTTTCATAGCATCTGCTTCCTGACACCTTCTGGTGTTTGTATATCATCAGAGCTAGTTTTAGGAATAGGTGGAGAATGGTCTTTATGCTCTGTAAGAAATAAAGCTGGGCATGGATTTTGGAGCTTGGCAGACTTTTAAGCCCACTTCCTGCTGTGTATGTAATTCCTTCTATGACTCTGGGCATCATTTTTTCATCTGAAAAATAGGTGCCTAGGATACCTGCCCCGCAGGGTTGTCATGAGACTCAAAAAAGATGTTGTCCATGGAGAACCCCATGATCCAAATCATGTCAAGCTCAGTGGTCTGCTCTTCAGAGAAGACTTACTCTCCACCCGCAGCCACCCTGTATACTCTTTAGCATGCCACACATTTATGCATGCCATTTCATCTAAAATAATTTCATTTGTCATCAGTTTCCTCCTGCTAGAATATGAAGTTTATGAAAGCAGGACACATGTCTGTCTTATTCATCATAAGTTACTGTTGTGAGCAACTGGGGCTCAGTCCTACCAGGGAAGTCTAGGAGATGATATAGAAGAGACCTCAGAGTTCTTCCTGCTGAGAGGAGAAGGATCTGGGATATTTGTCCACCAAGTCCCATCGGTCATTGGCCAAGGGCTTCTTCTAGGAGGTGTTGATGACCTGATCCTTTGGACTGATATGTCCATGGCAGAATGGCCCTGTGTCTTAGTCCATTTGTGTAGCTATAAGGAATACCCAAGGCTGGGTAATTTATAAAGAAAAAAAGCCTAATTTGGCTCACGTTTCTGGTGGCTGGAAAGTTTGATTGGGCATCTGCATTTGGTGAGGGCTTCAGGCTGCTTCCACTCATAGTGGAAGGTGAAGGGGAGCTGGGTGTGCGCAGATCACACGGTGAGAGAGGAAGTGAGGAGTGGGGCGGAGGGGTGGTGGTGATGCCAGGCTCTTTAACAACCACTCTTGAAGGAATTAACAGAGTAAGAACTCACTCAGCCCCAAGAGAGGGCCTTCATCTAGTCCTGAGGGACCTGCCCCCATGACCCAAACACCTTATCTTAGGCCCCCTTTCAACATTGGACATAAATGTCAACATGAGGCTTAGAGACTCAAATACCCAAAACATAGCGGGCTGTCATGGACACACTCTGTGATGGTTAGAGTCACAGACAAAAACTCTCGGGTGATTGCACTTGGCAGCAGTTGAGTCTACCTGCAGGGTGATGGTGAGTACCAAGGGGATTGGGCAAAGTGTCCATAGCACCTGCTGCACAGTTGAGTCCCCATCAGCAGGCGTGATGGTGAGAATTTGTTGGATGGTTCAAGAGGAGCAGGATCCCTCCAAGAAGACAAGTGGGAGATGAGGCCAATACGCTCTCATTGCTGCAACGTGTCCTTTCCCTGCTCTTCATTAGGACAACCATCTCCCTTTCTGTTGTTTATCCATCTGAGGACTACTTTTAAAACTTCCATCCACAATGAATTCTCTCTGAATATCTAAGCTGCTGATTTTCCTCTCAGTTTTAAGTGCCCAGGGCTGATGCTGGTGTCTTACTTGTGGTCTGGCTAACACAGGGAGAGGGGTACCAGTACTTCCTCTGCTCTAGAGCAGGGGTTTGCAGCCATAGGTGTGCATTGGAATCACCTGGTGAGCCTTTACAGCATACTGATCCTCAGGGCCTCACCTCCAGATATTCTGATGCAATTCATTTGGGATAAGGCCCAGGCATTTGGCACTTCAAAAACATTCCCCTCCTCTGCTCCCCAGGTGATTCTGACATGCAGCCAGCGGGGAAGGAAGGCAGCCACTGACCTAGATTTTTTTTTTTTTTTTTTTTTTTGAGACAGAGTTTTGCTCTTGTTGCCCGGGCTGGAGTGCAATGGTGTGATCTTGGGTCACCGCAACCTCCACCTCCCGGGTTCAAGCGATTCTCCTGCCTCAGCCTCCCGAGTAGCTGGGATTACAGGCACTCGCCACCACGCCTGGCTAATTTTTGTATTTTTTAGTAGAGATGGGGTTTCTCCACATTGGTCAGGCTGGTCTCGGACTCCCGACTTCAGGTGATCCGCCAGCCTCGGCCTCCCAAAAATTTGGAATTACAGGCATGAGCCACCGTGCCCGGCCTGACCTAGACCTTATATAGGCACCTGACACAGGCACCTGAAAAGGTCAGAGGTATGTCCAGCTTCAGAAGCAGCTTGATCTAGCAGATCAATGATATTATCAAAGGCTCGTTTCTGCTTGCTTTTTTTTTTTTTTCATCTCTCTGCCTTGCCTTATGTGATCTCTGGCTTATTAACCCTCTGATTATTAGATAAACTCTCAGAATTCCTAAATAGTTACTGGCATGTCTTAGGGCTATGTGCGCTCTCATTCATGTCTGGTGAGGGAGAACATCTTTGTCTCATCATTCCCAGCACTAGTTTGGAGATTCATGCTGTTTGAACCAGCGTGGGTCTCAAGCCTATCCCTGAATTGATCCTTGTGGCCAGGGGGATGGCTCAGACCACGCGCTTCATTCGCAGCTCTAGATGTGTCAGTTCTCCACCTTAGCCCTGTGTGCCCAGTACACCCACCTGGGTGGCCTCTAAAGAATTCTGAGGCCCAGGTCCCACCTTCAGGGATGTTCCTTCAGTTGGTCTGCTGTGGCATCCAGATGTTCACATTTTTCAAAGTTCCCAGGTGATTCTGATGTGCAGCCAGGGCAGGGAACACTGGCCTAGACATCATAAAGCCTCAAGATGCAGGTTAGGACCCCATATGGGAAGAGTCTCTAGGACAGATCCTCTCTTGGGCCTAAGTAGATGCTTTGCTGGGGACCAGCCACATGCCCAGAAGCCTTAGGGAACCACATGGCTACATGCAGGAAGCCCAGAGGAACAGGTCTGAACTATCCAACAAATTCTCATCATCACACTTACAATTTCCAACCATAAGAGGCAGCAGCCAATGGCCATCTGAGTGGGATGTGTCATGAATGCAGGAGATGTTTTTGTGGCCTCCCCCTGCCGGTGACTGTGGCTGCCTGAGATATTCCCCTTCTCTGCATCTGTTTCTCCATCTGTTACACAGACTCAAAGAACACCAATGCCTCTCTGAACTGACTTCAGATGAATGAGATTAGTGGGAAGTATCCTCATCCTTGGGGTGAGGCAAAATCCCCTTGTAGGAAGGGTCTATGATAGAGCGAGAAGAGTTTAGCCTCCCTATGGAGTCCCTATCAGCTGTGCTACCTTACGCAGGTCCCCCTTACCTCTCTGAGCTTCAGCAACCTCATCAGTACAACCAGGACTCTACCATCTGGAATGCTCCACATGAGCATGAAATAAGATAATGTATATAAAGCCCCTAGTGCAGCACCTGGCACAAAATAGGGTTTCAGTAAATTGTTTTCCTTCCAAGAATGCTACTGTTAGCTTTTAGTCTTTCAAATGTGATGTCAAATGGGGAAACTAAGACCCACAGTGTTCAACATGAGTAATCATTTGCTGGTTATAGGCTGAAGCCGCTTGATGGTCCTCTAGAGCCTAAAATCTCTCAGCAGGAGGCCCCGTCATCCTCTTTATCTCTGCACTCCCACTCACACCACAGGGGCTCCAGGCTTTCCATATCAGAGGGTCTTAGAAGTGGCAATCTTGTTGGAAGCAAAGTGTTGTGAAGGGTCTTGTCTCGAAGTTGCATTTGCATTTGGTCACAGTATTTGCATTTGGATTGGATGTTTGCTGGGGAAGGCTTGGGGGCTGGGGAGGATGAAGTCATTGCCTGGCACAGGCCTGGCACAACGTAAGTACAGTTGACCCTCCAACAACATGAGTTTAAACTTATTGGGTCCACTTACATGCAGATTGTTTTCAACCAAAAGTGATAGAAAATGCAGTATTTATAGGATGTGAAACCTGCATATATGGAGGCCAAATTTTCTGAAAACACGAGTCCCTCAGGGCTAGCTGTGGGACTTGAGTATCTGCAGATTTTGGTATGGAGAGTCCTGGGACTGATCCTTCACACATATGGAGGGACAACTGCACTAATAATTGGGTGTCAAATGAATGGACTAGCCTTCCCTTTTCACAGCTTACCTCTCTTACCTAACGGAGTCATGAAGAAGTGATTGAGAGTGTAAGAAATAGTTCTGTTTATTGGTTAGAACATGGTATAAAATTACAGCAATTTGCAGGCATTCTGGACTTCTTGGGAGGGACATGCAGCGCTGGGCTCAAGCAGGGGATGTGGTGGAGATATGGACCACTGGGCAATGGCTCCCTTCCTGGACATATTAAAGGACTTGTACTACCAGCACAAATGCCAGTGTGAGAGAATTATTGGTCCTCGTTTCTGGAAACAAATGACATGGGCAGTTTGGGTCATCAGACAATATCATGCTTAATAATTCAGTCCTATCCCACATATGTTAGGTGCTGGCTCTCCCAATCTGGTCATGACAGATCCTAATTGTTCTGGATAACTCTCATTCTTCCCACCAAAGGAAGAGAAACAGGCACATTGGTTTGGGAGGCCATCAGAGATGGTGTGCATCTGGCTCAGGTCCTCTTGCTTCCAGATTCACCAAGGTCTGCCTGACTTGGAGGCAGTGGGCTGGGGGCACGTAAGCAGCATATTTTGTGCACTACTGTTTAAGCTTAAGCAGAGGGACCTTCCATAGGGCAGCAGTGTGAGGAGATGAGCATGCTTCCAAAACAAACTCAAATTTCATCTTGTCTCTCTCAAGAAGAAGAAAGAGGAAGAGTTGGCAATCAGAGACTGAGCCACATGATGCTGGGTTCCATAGAAAGTCTTCAGCAGAGAATTCTTCCAAAGTGTAAAAGGTGTTTCTGTCCCAAGAGTTGGTGTGTAAAATCAGAACAAGGGCAGATCAGGGTGTTAAGGTGGTTGTTTAGTACAATGTCTCTGAGAGCTGAATGGCTGAGTGTCACCAGTTACATGACATTTTGAAACAGCTGGAGAGACCTCATGATGTTGTCGTCCTGGGAAAAAAGGAGGGCAAGAGGGTTAGAACTCTGAGTCTCCTCCCTGAGAGCTCTGTAACTCTGGTGAGCAAATGTCAAGCATGGGTTTCCTATATGGAGAAAACTCTACAAGGGTATGAAAAACAAGAAGTAAGGGTGGGGACCTAGAAAGTGATCAGTTCAAAGTAAGAAGCACCACCTGTAGCCTTAAAGAGGAATTCAGAAGAAACAAATCATCTAGTAAAATAGTGAGTTGCTTCTTTTAAGAAGCTCTGAACAATTACATCCACTGAAATGATTATATTTTTTCTCTTTTTATTCTATTAATGTGATTAATTACACTGACCAATTATTGAATGTTAAACCAACCTTGCATTCCTGGAATACTGCTTTAGATCCTACAAATTTTGATAAGTCATATTTTTATTTTATTTTTATTCGAGATATTTTCTTCTCTGAACCATGAATTAGAAGTGTATTGCTTAATACCGAACATTTGAGGATTTTTCTACATTCAATACTATACCTCAGAGAAGAAATAATAGAAAAATGTAAAATACAGAACATGCAATAGAGACATACAGTAAGAAAACCCCCCAAAGCGCTCTCTTTCAAAAAAATCAATAAAGTAGATAAATGCTTATTAAGACTGCTTTTCAAATTATCAATATCAGAAATGAAAAGGTTAATGTCAGTATAGGCTTATTTGGCTCATTATTCTGGCAGCTGGAAAGTTCAGCTGGGCATCTGCATCTGGTGAGGGTTTCAGGCTGCTTCCACTCACAGTGGAATGTGAAGGGAAGCTGGGTGTGCAGAGATCCCATGGTGGGAGAGGAATCAAGGTTGGAGGTGGGGAAGGTGCCAGGCTGTTTTACAACCAGCTCTCAAGGGAATTAACAGTGAGAACTCACCCCCAAGGGGGTCAGTGTTCATTCCATTCTAGTTGTTAAATATCTTGGATATCACCCTGCACATAGGACATCTACATAACAGGGTGGCTGTGATGTTTATGTATGTGCTTGAAACTTGATGGGGGCTCAGTATCTGCTAGGAACTTCTCCCCGGCTTTCTTACATTTGCTATTCTTCTTGGCTGGAGCTCAGAGTAACTCTGAACATTTCTAAAATAATGTGGGGGTACAAATGGATTTCTCAAAAGTAGATGAAGCAATTATTTCCAGTTCAGTCTCTGGTGGACTCTGGGGCTGGTCTATTGGTTAGACTTAATGAAAGTTGTGTTCCCAGGATCAGCATCACCAGTGTGACTGGGGAGAATGTGAGAAAAGTAACATCTCAGGCCCTACCCCAGACCTATGGAATTAGAATCTGCATTTTAACAAAATCATCAAGGATATTGTTTCACACATTAAAGTGTTAGAAGCATTGGTCCAGGACATTTGTGTTAAAGTGACCCAGATCTAGAGTCTCTGGGATTGAGGCCTGGAAATATGCATTTTCAGAATCATTCCAGGCAATTTTTATGCACACTGTGGTTTGAGAATCACACAATTGTAGGTTTTTTTCCCCCCAGCTGCTTCCTTGTAGTCTGGGAAATGGGTCATCAAGCCAGAGGCAGGCTAAAAAATAATGGTGTTGCCCTCTCGGGAAGTCTATTTTCACAGAGACCCCCTCTGAGTTTTCACATGCCCCCAGACCCCTACTTAGGCTCTCTGTTCAGTCTTGTGCTTAGCCAAGACCAACTGCAGGTCAGGTTGAGGAGTGGAACTGTGGACTTCACAGTTGTTGCTGGTGTTGTTGGCTCTGATGGGAGGGGTTGCAGGTATGTGCAGGTTTCTCATCACCTTCCTTCTGCAGGTCCCCAGGCCCCAGGTTTCCTTTCCCAGATGTAGAGTTATTGTGCCCTGAGATCTCTCCTTACCTCCTGACATGATTCAAGAAATTCATCTAAAGTTACGATGCCATCTTTATTTTTGTCCATTTTCTGAAAGACATAACAGAAAGCACTTTACAGAATCTGGTGATCTCCATTCCAAAGCTTACTCCCCTGCTTTCTTGCTGGAGCTCAGAGTAACGAGCTGGAGCTCATTTCATTCATTTCATTAACCAACTTTGCCCTGAGAATGAGAGTTGTCTTTCACTGGCCAGACAACTCCAATTAGGTCCTGATTACAACACTTTGAGCCCCATGAGCTTCCTTAAATCAAAAGACTTGCTCTGGACACTCATCACCTCACTGCTGGCTTATTCTGCTTCTTCTGTAGACTCCCTGCTACCCTGTCCATCTGGCAGAACACTGGGCAAAAGAGGTTCTGATTCTGGCCTGTTACTTGCTGTACAAACTTGCACAAGGCCAGAGAGGACTCTCTTTTCCCATCTGCAAAGTGGGAGGTTGAACTAGAGTGAACTCTTGATATTCTCTGATACTCCACCGCTAGATTAATTTTTTCCTAAAATGCCCCAATGATTATACCACTCCCTTAGTCAAGGATCAGCACTAGCTGCCCATCCTGTACCAGAGCAAGGCCAAACTCTTCCATTTAAAGGTCTCATAATCTGGCCCTATCCTAGTTTCCAATCTTATTTCCCCTTACTTCCCAGACACAAATGCTTAACACCTCCACAGTTGTAATTAATGAAGTCTTTCGTGTTTACCCTGATCCCCAAATTTTTATGGATTTAGAGTTCATACTATACCACTAGCGTTTAATAATATACTTTCTTGTTCTCTTCTGTCATGTACACTTGCAGCTTAAGGAGATCATCTGTTTCTTGAGGACAATGTATCTTATAATTCTTTTCTGTTACCAACCATGCTTAGTACAGGGTTGGACACAAATCATTTGCTCAGATGCTCGTGGGTTGACTTGATCTAGGCTGGGCTTACAGCTCATGTGCAGGGTGTGTGCACTTACCTGGAAGAAGACGTCCACATGCTGCCTTGGAGTGTCCTCTTTGAGCACAGGATATGTGTATTTCCCCATCATGTCATAGATGGCTTTGACAATGTCCATCATCTCCTGGAGCAGGGACATAAAAGCACACAGTGTGGAAACCATGAGGTCAAGCTCTTCCTAGGTGACAGAGTTTGGGGCTCCTTGTGCCCCTTGGCAATGAAAGTGATTAAAAGGTGAGGTCCTTCTTTAGCAGGTGATAGGGAGTTAGAAGCAAGCAGAAGGGGATATATTGTGGGAGCCCTTCTTAGAGAGGAGATGGTAGACAATTCCTAAATCCCTCAGAAGCTCATGGGTAGGTTACCTTGTTATGGGCATTGTCTTCAGTGGGGGGTGATTTGTGGGATCCCCATTCACAGGCTTGAGGCAAATAAAATACTATTCTGAATTTTTAAAAAGTTAATGTTCTAGCCTAGAGATTTAAAAATCCCCATAGTTTCTGCCACTGTTTTCAGTTAAGAAAAATGAACCAACAGCCAAGATTATCCACAGGGCACATGAGGCCAATAGTTCCACAGACTGAGGCCCTTATTAAAAAGATCAGTTCTCAAGTCCACTCCAAACCTATTGAATCAGAGAACCTTAGGACTCGGTCCTGAGAGTTTCCGTGTTTATCAAGGTACATTGGGAACCATTATTCTGACCATTCTGGCCCAACTCAGAATGGGGGTAAAAGAGCATTTGGGATGTTTGACCTGGTTTCTACAGAGACCCAGGGGACAGTCTCATTCCATGTGCTTATTTTATTTTATTTTTTGTTTAATTTTTGCATATTATGAATAATTTTAGACTTACAGAAAATTTACAAAATTAGTACAGAGAGTTCATGCATACCTTTCACTCAGTCTCCTCTAATGTTAACAACTTGCATAACCAGAGCACAATGACCAAACCCAGGAAATTAACATGGCTTCACTATTATTAACTAAACTACAGGGCTTATTCAAATTTTATCAGCTTTTCTTTTTTTTTTTTTTTTTTTTTTTTTTTTTTGAGACGGAGTCTCGCTCTGTGGCCCAGGCTGGAGTGCAGTGGCGGGATCTCAGCTTTTCAACTAATATTTTTTTCCCTTCAATGATTCTACATTGCATTTATTTGTTGTGTCTCCTTAGTCTCTTCTAATCTGTATGAGTTTCTCATTCTTTTTTTCTTTTTTCTTTTTTTTTTTTTTTGAGACAGGTTCTTGCTCTGTCACCCAGGCTGGAGTGCAGTGGCACAATCCCCGTCACTGCAGCCTCGACCTCCCGGGTTCAAGTGATCCTCCCGCCTCAGCCTCTCAAGTAGCTGGGACTACAGGCAAGTGCCACCACACCTGGCTAATTTTTTGTAGAGATGGGGTTTTGCCATGTTGCCCAGGCTGGTCTCAAACTCTTGGACTCAAGTGATCTTCCTGCCTCTGCCTCCCAAAGTGCTGGGATTATAGGCATGAGCCACCATGCCCAGCCTGAGTTTCTTTGTTTCCTTGTCTTTCAGGACCTCACACTTTTGATATGAGTACAGGTCAGTTGTTTTGTAGAATGTCTCTCAATTTGAGTTAATCCCTGGTTTAGTTATGATTAGATTGAAGTTATGCATTTCTGGCAAGAATACCACAGAAGTGATGGTATAACCTTCTCAGTGCGTCATATCAGGGAGTTACATAGTGTTGAGATGTCTTATTACTGATAATGTTAACCTTGATCACTTGATTAAGGTGGTGTCTGTCAAGTTTCCTTACTGATTTAGTATCTTTCAGTGGATCTTGCCTGCAAAAATTATTACTGTAGTGTTTGCCTGATGGTAATTTTGTATTTCCTTTATTCCTTCTATACTTATTAATTACAATTCTTCTGTAAGGAAGAGCTACCTTCTCTCCTGCATTTATTTATGTATTCAGTTGTTTATTTACATTAGCATGGACTTGTGGGCATTTACCATATTTTACAGGTTATAATCCAGTACTTAATAATTTTTAATTTTGCTCAAATTGCTTTCATTCTGACTATTGGGAACTCCTTCAGGTTGACTCCTGCAGTTTTTTTTTTTTAAGCACTTTTATACCTTCAGCATAATAAAGTACTCCAGGCTCATCTTGTATTTTCTCTTTCCCAATCTTAGAATCAACTATTCTTCAAGAAGACTGGTTCTGTTTATCGAAGAATGGTATTTAGAAATCAAAGTCTAGGTACTAGTATGCTCACTGCTACAGGGATGTCATTGCTCTGAGGTGCCCTCAACAGATAGAACGAGGAAATAGATGTCTCTATCCATGTGTTTATTTTTAAATGTGTGCTTTACAAGCCCTTCACATCTACATGGCCATTGATGCTTTTCCTGTCTGATATTTTTTTTTAATCACAGAAAGAGCAATTTTGTTGCTCTCTCAGGATTTTCATAGCCTACAACTTGGATGAGGTTATCTCCAAATGATTGCCAGGGGAAGATCCTGCTATCTTTTCTGAGAAGCTACTTATCCACACTTTCTTTTTCTTTTAAGGGGTACTTTATTAACTCTGCCCTCCAGAGAGGTCTGATAGATTAATGGGGAGAATTCTGCCTAGTTTGCAAATTACAAAAAGGGAGTAGGCACTAGTAAGTTTATTCAGTGATGGAATAATGAGTGAACCAAAGTTGAAGACCAACTAAATCCTATTTCTGTATTTTTTTCTTTATATGTTTTGCAAGGTAGTATTTGAATATTTTAGAGTATCATATATTTGCATGTGTATATAAGCATTTAGTTGTTTATAAAATTGAGATATCATACATACCACTTTATCAATTTAAAATGTAATATATTTAAAAATTTAATATATCATACTAATGTTTATTTTATATTACTCTTTCATGATTTTAAGTGGCCACTGGCTATTCCATTATATGTATTTACTGTAATTCATTTTACAAATCTGCTGTTAGTGGATATCATGGCTATCACATTCTGGGGCACTATTACCTGAAGACTCTTCTTGCTTTTAAGTCTTTGTGTCTATTCTTTATTTCCTTGGGACATATACCAAGGTGTGGTTTTATAAGGAGAATGGGATGCATAACTTTCAATGCTTTTGATACATATTCCTCAAATACCTTTTAGAAAGTTTATTATCAGAACACTTTCAGCAACTATGTATGAAAAACCACTTTCCACCAACCTTCAACAAAGACTTTACAAAACCTTTGCAATTTAATAGATAAGTGATAATTCATTGTTTTTAAAGATATACATTACTTTCTTAGTGAGGTCTCTAATATATGTATTGACTATTTTTATTTATTTTCCCATGAACTATTTTTTCATCTGCTTTGCTCATTGTGTTCACCTATTTCTGACTGGATTGTGAGAGCTCTTTATATATTCGTGTAGATTTATTAAATTGTTAAAATATCTTAATAGATTTTTAATTTATTTAAAGGTATTTTTACGCATCTACCATGTGCTAGATATTGTGTCAAAGAAATACAAAGATAAGCACGATGAATATGACTCTTGCCTTTGTTAAGATGAATGTCTACTGAGGAATATCAATCCTTTCTGTCATCATAAATTGCAGATTTTTAAAAACAAGTTTGTCACTTACTTTTCAACTTTGTTTATGGTATTTTTTGATATGCAGAATTTTAAAATATTTACAGTGTAAAGCCATCAATAATTTAAAAAATTGTTTCTAACTTTGATTTTATGCTTTTTCCATTCTTTGATCAGATATTCACATATGATTTTTAGTTCTTTTTTAGTTAAAAAGCAACTGTACATATCTATAGTGATTTTGTGTTTATGGTACCGAGTAAGAATATTTACTTACTTATTGCCAAAATAGTTAACCAGTTTTCCAAGAATCATTTAATGATTCATTACCTCTCTATTCAATATGCTCCCTTTATTATGAACCAAGATGGTATTTGTACCTGGGATTTCTATTTTGTTCCATTGATCTACCTGTTCCTTCTCTGATATTATAATATTTTAATAGTTTCAGCTTTATAATATATTTCAGTATCTGGTAGAACAAATCCCACCATTTTTCTTCTTTTTGAAAATTATCTTTGCTATTTTCATCTGATTAATCTTCCAATGTAACTTTATAACAATTGTGCCAAATTTCCTTCCCAAATAACACTTCCATTTTGATTCAAAATAAAATAAATTTAATTAGAGAAGAATTGCTGTCATTATAATATTGCTATCTTTATAATATACATCCTTTCAGAAGATGGTATGTTTCTCTACTTATCAAAATTTTCTTTCTCTTCATCTAAATTATGGATATTTAAAAATGCCCATGTGCTTTAAATTTTATTGTGATCACAATGAGAATATTTGTATTACAATTTTCTAGCTAGTCACAACTGATATATTGGCTACACAATTTCTTTTTGCATATGTATTTTATTACCAGTCACTTTGCCAGCTTTTTAAAAGTTCTAGTTGTTTTAAGTTGATTTTCTTGCTGTCTTTTTTCTCAGATAGAAAATCATGTCATTAACAAGGAATGTTGTAATTTTTCCTATTTAGATCGCATTTCCTTTTCTGTTTCACTGTGTTTGAAGAGCTTTCAGGAAATGTTAAACAGTGGTGATGTCTGACAGTGTGCAGACATCATCTTTTCTTGCCTCATCTTTTCTTCATCATCTTTTCTTGCCTCATCTTTTCTTCAGTGAGAATCTCCGCGTGTTACCATAAAGTATGAAGCTGTGTACCAGGCTGGGGTATTTTCTATTATGCTGAAGAAGTATTTTATTCCTAATTAATTGAATCCTGAAAATTATTATGAATAAATGGTAAATTATATCAAATGTGATTTTAGCATCAAATGGTTTGATCTTTTGATATATTAATGTGATAAATTATTTAATAGGCTTTCTCTGCTACTGGGCTATTCCTGCATTCCTGGAATAAACCCTATGTTAGTCATGTGCATTTCTTTATTTTATTTTATTGCTTTTTTGAGGAAGGGTCTTGTTCTGTTGCCCAGGCTGGAGTGTGGTGCAGTGATTATGGCTCAGGGCAGGCTTGAACTCCTGGGCTCAAGCTATCCTCCTGCCTCAGCCTCTGGAGTAGCTGGGAGCACAGGCACGTGCCACTACACCCAGGTAATTTTTAAATTTTTGTTTTGAAGAGACAGGCTCTCCCTATGTTGACCAGGCTGGTCTTGAACTCCTGGGCTCAACCCATCCTCCTGCCTCAGTCTCCCAAAGTGTTGGGATTACAGGTATGAGCCTTTAAACAGAGCACTGGGATTAATTTCCTATTATCTCATTTAGGATTTGTAATCTATATTTTGGATGATATTGAGTTCTTATTTTCTCTTACCTGCTTTATTTCACAGGATTTTTTTCCTTCAACACATTTTTTGAGTGTCTTCTATTGGTTAGGCACTTCCCCCTTACACCAAGTTTTTCAACAAATAAATCAAATTTATTGGAGCATAATTTACTTATAACAAATTCACCCATTTTAAGTGTACTGTTTGATGAATGTTGACAAATGTATCCACCCATGTAACCTCCACCACACTCAAGATATAGAACATTTTCACAACCAAAAGACATCCCTTCACACTTCTTCGCAGTGAGTGCCTCTCAAGCTTTGACACCAGGCAACCACAGATCTAATTTCTGTTACTATAGATTAGTTTGTATTTTCTAAAATCTCATGTAAATGGAGTAAAACAGTGTAAACTCATTTGCGTCTGGCTTCATTTACTCAGCATGAGGTTTATGAGCTTCATACACATTGCTGCATGCAACTATAACATTCCTTTTTACTGCTGAGTAATATTCCATTGGATGAACAGACTATGATGTATTTACCCATTGTCCTGTTGACAGACATTTGGGTCATTTAAGTTTTGAGATTACTATGAATAAAGCTGCTATGAACATCTTTGTACAAGTCTTTATGGAATTACATATTTTTCTTTTGGGGGTAAATATCCAGGAGTGGGACTTCTTTTCTTCTTCTTTTTTTCTTTTTTTGAGACAGGGTCTTGCTCTGTCACCCAGGCTGGAGTGCAGTGGTGCAATCTCAGCTCACTGCAACCTCCACTCCCCAGGGTTAAGCAATTCTCCCACCTCAGCCTCCCTAGTAGCTGGGACCACAGGTGCTTACCACCATGTCTGGCTTTTTTTTTTTTTTTTTTTGTATTTTTAGTAGAGACAGTGTCTCGCCATGTTGCCCAGTCTGGTCTTGAACACCTGAGCTCAAGTGATCCGCCTGCCTCAGCCTCCCAAAGTACTGGGATTATAGGCGTAAGCCACCATGCCTGACTGGAATGGGATTTCTGGGTTGTATGTTAAGTGTGTGCTGAGCTTTATCAAAGATGCCAAAATGTTTCCCAACGTGTTTGTACCATTTACATTTCTGCCAGCTATCTATGAGAGTTTCTATTGCTCCACATCTTTGCCAATGCTTGGTATTATCAGTCTTTTTAATTGTGGCCATTCTGTGCAATTGTATTTCATTATAGTTATAATTTGCATTTCTTTGAAGACCAGTGATATAGAGCAACCTTTCATGGGTTTACTGGCCATTCATATATCTTCTTTTCTTAAATATCTCATCAAATCTTTTGCCTATTTTATATGAAGTTGTTTATCTTTGTATTAAATTATAAATGTCCCTTATATATTTTGGATGCCAGTCTTTATATTGGTTTGGTATCCTGGTATCTTTATATATCTGGTATATAATTTGCAAACATTTTTTCCAAGTCCATGGCTTGCATTTCCATTTTCTTAAAGGTGTCTTCTAAAGCACAAAATTTTTAACTTTGATAAAGTCAAATTTATCTACTTTAAGAAATGATTCCTTATCCTTTCCTACTCCAAAGTTGTAAGAATGTTTCTCCTATGTATTCCTTAAGAAAACAGCTTTTGTTTTAATATTTAAGTCTATAATCCATTCCAAGTTGATGTTTATGTTTGGCATGAGGTTAAGGTTAATGTCCATTTTTGTTTCCAAATGGATATACAGCTGTGAAAACACGGTTCTTTCCCCTTTGATCTTTTTGGCATCTGTTGCATTGACATATGGGTGGGTCTATCTCTATTTTTAAAAAATATTTATTTTTTATTTTTAATTTTTGTGGGCACATAGTAGGTGTATATATTTATGGGGTACATGACAAGTTTTGATACAGGCATACAATGTGTAATAACCACATCATGAAAAATGGGTATCCATCCCTTCAAGCATTTATCCTTTGTGTTACAAACAAACCAATTACACTCTTTTAGTTAAAATGTTCAATTAAATTATTGACTACAGTCACCTTGTTGTGCTACCAAATACCAGGCCTTATTCATTCATTCTATTTTTTTTGTACCCATTGACTATCCTAACTTCCCCCACAGCCCCCCTACTATCCTTCCCAGCCTCTGGTAACCGTCCTTCTGCCCTCTATCTTCATATTGTTTTGATTTTTAGATCCAACAAATAAGAGAGAACATGGGATGTTTGTCTTTCTGTGCCTGGTTCATTTCACTTAATGTAATGACCTCCAATTCCATCCACGTTGTAGATGATTAAATCTCATTCTATTTTATGGCAGAAGTACTCCATTGTGTATAAGTACCAGATTTTCTTTATCCATTCATCTGTTGATGGACACTTAGGTTGCTTCCAAATCTTGGCTATTATGAACAGATCTGCAAAAAACATGGGAGTGCAGATATCTCTTTGATATACTGGTTTCCTTTACATGGGGTATATAGCCAGCAGTGGGATTGTTGGATCATATGGTAGCTCTACTTTTAGTTTTTTTGACTCTCTATTTTGATCCATTGATCTATATGTCTATCCTTATGCCAATTCCCTACCATCTTGACTACTGCACATTTTCATTAAGTCTTGAAGTAAGGTAGGTTTAGTCCTTCAACTTTGTTCTTTTTCAGATGTTTTGGTTATTTTAGGTTTTTTGCATTCCCATATCAACTGCTACAAAATACCTGCTGGGATTTTGATTGAGATCACACTAAATCTATAAATCAAATTTGGAGAATCCACATCTTAACTATATTGGGCCTTCCAACCCATGAGCATGATTTATCTCTGTGTTTATTTAGTTCTTTACTTTATTTCAGCAATATTTTATAGTTTTCAGTGTATGAGTCTTGCACCTGTTTTGTTGAATTTTTCTCAAAGTATTTTGTGCTTTTTGATGCTATTTTTCTTAATTTAATTTTCTGGTTGCTTGTTGGATGTAGAATTATAAATGATTTTTGTAAATAGAACTCATGTCTTCACTTTGTTAAATTCACTTATTATTTTTAGCAGTTTATTTGTAGACTCTTAGGGTTTTCTATTAATACAATTATACCATGTACAAATAAAGACAGTGTTAATTCTTCCTTTCCAGTCTATATCCCTTTGGTTTCTTTAAATATAGTGAATTATATTGATTGGTTTTTGAATGTTAAACCAACCTTGCCTTCCTAGAATAAAACTCACATAGTTGTATTGTATCATCCTTTTTATATATTGCTGAATTCAATTTGCTAATATTTAGTGAAAGCTTTTTTATCTGTGCTCACGAGGGAGACTGTTTTGTAGTTGTTTCCTTTCATAAGACCTTTTTTTCTTTGGTTTGGGTATCAGGGTACTATTGGACTTATAAAACAAGCTGGGAAATGTTCCATCCTCCTCTATTTTCTAAAATTTTTTTGTAGGATTGATATTAGAATTCACCAGTCCACCATCTGGGCCTATAATTTTATTTGGGAATGGTTTTTAACTGTGAATATAATTTCTCTAAATAATACAGAGCTAGTCAGATTTTCTGATTCTTTTTAAGTCTGTTTTTGCCTTTTGTGTCTTTCAAAAAACATGTTCATCTAAGAGCTTCCCAGGGGAATATGGATGGGCCCCTTACCCTAGCCCTCCACCATCTGACTCTGCTGACCTGTCAGGCTCATCCTGCACTAGTCTTCAGCTTCATACCTTCATCTGCAGCCATCTGAAGCCTTTCTGTTTTTGAAACACATGAAGCTCTATCTTGCCTCAAAGCCTCTCTAGTGGCTGTTCCTTCTGCCTGGAACACTTTTCCTGGCTTTTTGTATAACTGGTTCCAGTATGACGACACCTCCTTGGAGAGGCCTTTGCTAACCTTCCCTGCCAAAATATCTTCTACCTGCTGATTCCTTTTTGGCCTGTTTATTGTCCATCTCTCTATGCTGCTCCAGTGTGGGGCCTAGTCTGATTGTTCACCTCTTTACCTCCAGCACCTAGAACACCTAATAAGCCTTCAAATCTGTGTTAATTAAAAACATGACTAAATGAATGAGGAATGAAAGTTGGATAAACTCTCTGAGCTTACAGAGAGAAGCTTGCCGGGTTGAGGTGAAGATTGGTGCTGATATCTATACCTCCAGGCACCGTGCCTGGCACACAGGAGCTCAGCAAGTGGAGTGTTACAGGATGCCAATTTCCAGCTTCCACTGAGATACCAGGATACAGTGGATACCAAAGTGAGTTTTGAGATAGACCTGAGGGTATTTCACTGGCTAGAGACATGTCCTCTGAGGTTCTAAAAGTGCAAAGCAGTGAAGATTCAGAAATTATTTGTGATAATTTCTGTAAAGACAGCTGTACCTTCCATTACCCCCTTGGCGGTTGTATTAATAGGCAAAATAGTTTAAGGCCAATATGACCCAATTGTAGGTTCCTCTTCCTTAAAAATCTTTCTTTTCTATTCTAGGTGCTGCCTACAATTCCACCATTTCAACTTTTAGCTTTGACTTGTGGCTCCTAACCTTCCCAAATGCAGGTTCCCTAGGGAAGAGTAACTCTTCACACTGAAACAAGTCATTTTTATCCACTGTGTAATATCTACTGAATCTAGGTGACCCAGTGAGAATGAATCTGTTTAATCCTTTCTGGGCGCTTGGGAACAGGGCAGGGTAGGGCAATGAGGGAGGCCTTCTTTATTTTGCCAGGGACCAGCTCTGTTAGCCCCAAAGCAGAGCCTGCCTCATTCAGACAGTGCTATCCTCATGCCTGGGGCTGTTTTCTGTTGGGTTAGTTACCTTCACTGGAGCCCTCTCACACCCCTGGCCCCAGCTCACTTACCTCTTTGTTTATGTATCCGTCCTTGTTGATGTCATACAAATTAAATGTCCACCTTAGTTTCTCGTGGACAGTTCCTCTCAATAAAATCGACAGAGCGGTTACAAAGTCCTGAGAAGGGGAAAAGGCAGAGTGACATTAACCATCAAGCCATCAGACAGTGTGAAGCTGTGTCTTTGGGTCAGACTGTGATACTCTCACAGAATGGTGCCTCCTGCGTCCTCTTGTCTGCCTGGAGGATGTGGCTATGCTCTGTGAAGAGCTCCTGCCTTCAGTTCCCTACCCTGCCCCATTTTTTTGTTTTTTTTTGCAAGGTGCCCCCTTGAGGAAGAATGGAGCTCTGAGAGACACAGATCAACACAGCCAGCCCTGTTTTTGCCTTATCCATGGCTGCAGTGGTCTGTCTATCATCCCAGTGGCCGTATGGTCTAGTGGCTGAGGACGTGGACTGTAGGAACAGTCTGTATTGAGGGTCATTCTGCCTACATTCAAATCCATCCTTTATCATTTATGTGCTCTTTGACCTTGGGAAAACTACTCTATCTCTCTTTGCCTTACTCTCCTCTTCTGTAAAAAGGTAATCAATAATAAAACCCTACCCTATAGGGTTATTGTGGGAATTGGAGTAAATGAATTAATACATACAAAGCCCTAAGTACAGGGGCTGCCACTGGGAAGCAGTGTGCCCGGAAGCTCATACACTGTTGTTATTAGTCCCCTGAGTCCCTGAGTTCCTGCAGGCCAGGGAAAGTTGCTGCTGCTTTTCCCCATCTTTAGGAAATGCTTACAAATGGATAAACATGTCTTTGGTCTGACTGAGAGCTTTTGATGGTCCAGACCTTCCCCCAATGCCTTGAGATTTAGAGGGGGAGGTGATGCAGAACCAGAGGACCCCTAGAGTGGACCCCAGATGAGCGTACCTCGAACTTCACGGAGCCTGTCTGAGTGGTGTCGAAGGCATTGAAGAGGTAATGGGCATACGTGCTGGCATCTACAAGGCAGAAAAGGAGGGCAGGTGATGGGGGCAGGAATTCCACACAGGGAGAACCTTCCAAACAAGGCAGGGCTTCGACAAGAAAGAGAGGAGAGTGATGCTAGGGTGATGGAAAGGAGAAAATTATGGAGTGGGGCCCATTGACTCAACTCTTTGGGTTTGGGTGTGAAGTTAGATCTAGCAAAAAGTGAGATGAGCCCTTGCCCCTCCCTCTAGCCATCATGAGAAAACCATTCTCCTGCCTGTCTATGCATGGAGTCGTTGGTGTATGAATGGCACAGTGACTGCATGACAATGTTCTTCTGAACGGCCATGAATGCCTGGGATGAGCACTCACTCCAGAGTAGAGAGACCTGAACTTGGATGCCGCTGTACTACATAAGCTATGTGACTGTGGGCATCAAGCACGACCTCTCTGAGCTTCCCTTTCCTACCTCTCTACAATGGGATGTAGCAAGACCTATCTCTTGAAATTTTTTAAAAAGTATTTTAAACTACAGCTGTGCCTGGCATACAGTGAGAACTCAATAAACAGTGGCTCAGTGGAACTCAGCAAACTGCAATTCTGGGGCCTGCATGGGACAAAACTGCCTCCCCCACCTGATCTGGGTAGGGGCCCCACACACCAAGGAAGGCATCTGTCTGCTGCCAAAAAGGCCCATGAGAAACAGGGCCCAAGAAGTGTTTGGAATACTTGGATTTGCATTTTGTCAGGATCCAGGGAAGATGTCTTGCAGGAGACAGCTCTTGGTGACAGGATGCAAAGTGGCATGTGACACATGGAGGCCACAGGAGGAGTCACCGATGTGGTCCCAGGCCCATGGGGACACAGCTGGTTCCCACAGGAGTCGGGCAGGGCAACAGAGCAGCTGTTGTGGGCCTGGCACACTTGTAAACTGGCTTAATAAGCACAACTTTATGTTTCCTGCCTCTTTTTCAATTAGTTTATTTTTATAGTCTTCGGTATTTACTGAAGTTCTTTTACAAAATTCCAGCTTGTCTCAGCTATTTTAAGGAAAAGATTCAAAAGTGCCCTGCACAATGGTGGTGCCAGCATGGCAAAACCTGTTTCAGACCCTTATGGAATCTAATCCTGGTTTGCTACTCACCAGCTGTGCAATCTTGAGTACACTGCTTATCTTCCCCGAAACTCAGTTACTCCATCTGGGATTATAATACCTGCTTTCTAGAGCTGTTCTGAGACGTTGTGATGTTGCATTATCAGCCCTTCTTCCCCTTCCAGGGTGGGTTCATTTTCAGAGTTCTTTCCTGCTAAAGCTTTGGAGACTCCCACCTCTCACGATGAGGGAGGTGTCCTGCCCTGAGTTTGTCTCTTCCTCGAGAAGGAAGCAAATGGCAAGGAAGAGAGGACTTGGAGGAAGGGAAGGCTGCTTACCAGAGAGGGAGCTGGGCAAGATAGATTTCAAGGTCAGACTCACCTCCATGAGGGAAAAACTGAGCATAGATCTGCTTGAATGTGTCTTCGTTGACCACACCACTGGGGCACTCCTGTGGGAAGGGGAGAGAGTCAGCGGGAGGCATTTGAGGGCCAGCACTAGGAGAAGACTGGGCCCAGCCTTGGTGTCTGGGGTTCCTCATGATCCCCAGGGACAGGGACCTGTGCATTTCCACTTCTCCCAAGTAGTGCCATCTCAGGACTGGAGCTGCTTTGCAAAATGATGAGACATTGTCAGAGAATGGGCACTGTGAGGTGGAGAGATTTGGGGCTTTAAGATCAGAAAAACCTGGGTTTAAATCCTGGCTCAGCCAATACTAAGCTTTGTGACTTTGGCCAAGCCAGTCTCTGATCCTCAATATCCTTACCTGTAAAATGGGGGTAACAATAACTTCCCCAAGGGTATCTTATGAACCTATGTTAGGTGGTATTGAGTCCATGGTAGATGCCAAGCAGTGTAGATTTCTTCTCTTTTCTGGATGCTGTTCCCTCTGAGCCCAGTGCCTGCCTGGAAAACTTTCCCACAGGATCCTTCTCCAACTCGGCTGCCCACTGCTAATGCTGCCATCGAAGGAAAGAAGCCCTAATGGTAGGAAACTGGGCACTTGGCATGTGCAGTCAAGGCTAGTGTGGAAGGAAGAGGCATCCCAGCACCTGTCAGATAACTCCCAGGAGGGGCTGGAATCCCTGTGGGTCAGCAGTTTGGAGAACATTGAGGCTGTGGTCAGTTTGGAACTGACCCAGCTCAGCTCTACCTACAGACTGCACCTGGAGGGAGGGTGACCAGGTGCATGTCGCTGTAGCCCACCCCACTCCACACCACTCCAGGATTTGGGAATAAGATTGCACTCTGAGAGTTAAACTTAAAAAATAAATTAATATCCAGGATTGTATCTGAGAGCTCTCAAACTGGCCTGAGACTGCAGGAACACATTAATGTATTTAAAGTAACAACTAAACAAGGAACTCCCGTCCTCTGACTCCACTTTTGATTGTAACCTGGCTTCCATGTGGCTTCCAAGGAGAGCGGGTCCCAGCGAAGGGAGAGGAGTGTCTGTTTCCACTGTCAGTTCCATTTCCCAAGGTAAATTAATACACCGACATTCGGCTTACACATCAGTCTCGGTGAGCCTGGTTAGCATAAGTCAGCAGGGCCAAATCCCATTATTGTGGGGGCACCACCAGGTTGGAAGGTATGATTATGTTAAGGGCTAAGGCTTGACCCTGGGCCAGGGTGAATTCCTTGAGGATGTGCCACCCTGTGAAATTTCTGGGCAGTTGGCCGTTTACTGTCTCCTGAGGTTGCTCCATCCTCGCCTGGAGCCTTCCTTTCTAGCCAGGTGATCTCCCTCTCATGCCCCCTTTATAGAGCTGGCCTTCCTTGTACAGCCTCACATATGGGAAACGCCTTATGAGCTCCCTTGGCATTGGGGAGAGTGTAGCCTCACGTGGGAACCCCCCCCAGGCCTTCAGAGCGTGCACGGGTCTTACATTTTTGAAGCCTCGATAAAGGACCTGCAGCTCCCTCTTGGTGAAGTTGGTCTGGGCCTCGAGCTGCTCCAGTCCCTCGGGCCGATGGCAAACCATGGTCATCTCCAGCTCATCTTCAATCTTATCTGGAACCAGAGGAGATGGCATTGGAATGGTTGAGCTTGGGAGTCATTCTTGTTAGGTAACAATCTGGGCTGTCAAAAGAGTGGTGTCACGACCTGGGATCTAGGACTGTGGGCTGGGGTCACACTGCCAATGGCCTTCCTATCTTGAACCCCACTTCCCTGCCCTGTCAGCCTCTGCGTCAAACACCACACAGGGAGGGGGCTTCGGCGTTGGAGAGAAACATGTTCCCAGTGGAGGCAAAGGCAGAAGTGCTCAAAATAAATCCATATGAAAACATTTTCCTTGCTTTAAAAATAACTTCTTTGCATATTCAAATTGTTTCCCATGGAACCTTCTGAATATTCCAGAGACACAGGCAAGTAAGCAGAATGATAAACACCTCTAGACAGCAAAGGGAAACAAAATTATTTAAAGAAACAGTAAACTCTCACCATTGGGGCCAACTAGGAATGGATAGCATGATTTAGCAGAAAGTTCAAATTACGGCATGTTAAGTATTACTGATAAAAATCTGAATGTATTTACAGCGTATTGTTTTGTAATGTCTACTAGATAGCCTTAAATACTAGGAAAATATCTTAAATGGGAGCTACTTTGTACAAACCATTTGAAAGGCTCTAAAAACAGTTGTTGTAAGTAGTAGTTTAAGTATGTCTCCCTTATGGACTATAATGTAATATAAGATTGCATTAGTTATTTAGAAAGTGTCTGTCAATTAAAGCAAGGAATCTGCCCATCTTCCACTGAAGGATCACAAGGTCCAAGTCCGTGGAATTTTCAACGTTTTACCATCACAGAGGGGTAGGTGAGTGATTTCCTTTGGGCCCTGCCAGAATGTGTTCTATAAACTTACACCAATCAAGAATCAATTGCCATCTAACCTTCTCTGCCTGTTGTTGTCATGCAGATATTACCAAATCCATCTATTGAACAACTGTAAATCTGGGCTGGCAAGAATAGTGATGAGATGGGTGGCTGCTGGGAATATGCACAGACCATGTCTCATCCTGTGGCAACCCACAGCAAGCACAGGCTGAGTTGCCACATCAGGTGAGCAGGTGTATTAAATTGTGTGCATTTCTCTCATCAGTGTTGGTCTCATTGCACCAGATTTTCCCTGAAATTGTCACTTTCCCTTTTGAGACTTTGATCCCAATACAAAAGGAATCCATCAAATTAAGTTTGTATCTTGTACATATCCCCAAAGGTGATGGATGTTCGTGTGAGGCTCCCGTAACTTGGTAACAATTCCTAATTGCCATCTTTCTCATGTGCTGGGCAATACATATCACCTTATCCTGCTGGGACTAAGGCAGATGATTTGTTATAAATTAGATACTGTTTACGCCACAGAGACAAGTGGCCAATTTCCCCAGAATTCATAATTCTTACAGAGCCTTTAATTATGGTTGTGTTTGTAGCTAACAAGATAAGTAGCAATTATCTAAACGCTGAAGCATTTCTACGTAAATGAAAGGGCTTATTCTCAAAAAGAAAGAAAGAAAAGGAGAAAAATTCACATAAGTCTAATTCAGAATGCTTATATACATATTAATATTTTACATCTATTTTAACCCATTTTAACAGAGAAATTAATTGTTGGTTTGAATCTCCTAGCATTAGATCTAAAAGCATTTTTATTTTTAAAATGCACATCTGTTTATCTGTGCATATATTCACAAGAAACTTCCGAAGGGGCTGCAGAGGTTTTCACATCCCTCCTTTTGCCCCTTAGGAATTCCCTGGGTACGGCCCAGGTGGCTTGAGTGAAGAAAGGAGATGAAGCAAAAATCACATTAAAATGCAAATAAAGAAAATGGGAATATTGTATTTTTTGAGTAAATGAGGTATTCTTGAAGACATCCAGTACACTGTTAGATTTATCTTAGCCAGAAGCATGAAGGGTTTTTTGCAGTACACTTAATTCCTTGATCTTCCTGTGACTGAATTCCTCACAAGCTCGGGAAATTTCTTTGTGGGAGCTTGAGAGACTCTTTCCGACTCAAGAAACAGCACTTGTTTCCCATCACCTTCATAAAAAATGCACTAAGTAATTATTGAGATATCAACTATTAAACCCACTTCATTAAGGAGGAACTGGACTTTATTAATAAATGAGTTGTTTGCTGTCTGGGTAGCAGGATCAACTTCTACATCAAACAGATTCTGTAGTATCTGCATATTTGGATACTGACTGCCAAGCTTTTGTTTTGTTTTTCGTTTTCATCATTGGCTAAGTGTCAGGCTGTGGTAACATCGGTTGTGGAAGGAAATTTACTTCTTTGGGGCTCAAGATGCTGGGAAGTAGCCTGCCTGTGGATGTTAGGTAAACCAGTGGCCCTCTCTTTGTTTCTTCTTTCTTTTGCTGTATTTTATAGTAAGAATTGTAATTTAAATCACAACCCAGTATACACACATGTATATAAGTGAAATGTTAATGAAATATTTTGAAACAAAAACTCCATGAAATGATCCCATCCCTCACTAATGTGAGCTGTGCTCTGGTCTTAGTTTTAATGTATTCCTTTGTAGACTCGTGCTGGTTGTGACGCTCATGGGTCATGACTTTTGATTGAACTGCACTGATTTAACTTGTCTACAGCTGTGGCAACCTCACAGGAGTGCCCACGCTGCCGCTCTCACATCAGCTCTCCCTTCCCTTTCTTTGTATGCCTTGTGGTGCTGGCCGCTGTAGACACATTCACAGGAAACTTTACAGGTGACGGGCAGCGGTTTTCACCACCCTCCTGTTGCCACCTGGGGATTCCCTGGATGAAGCCCAGGTAGTCCCAGTAAAGGAAGGAGAATGGCCCTGTTCCCTGTGTGCAGGAGGAGAGAAGAGCGTGAACCCGTGGGGAGCCTCCTTGACAGTTCCTTCTGAGGTTTGTTCAAAGTCTGATGCCAGATGTTGCTAGTCATTACTTTGTTATAAAAAATAATGATGAGCTAGTTACTAAGTCAGACTTAAGTTTGAATGGTTGAGATAAAAATTAACTTGAGATGTAATACTATGGCAATAATGACATAACAAGAATAAATTAGAGCACCTTTTGTTTGTAAAGTACTTTTAAGCCATTCAGCGTTCTCATGCCTGTTGTTCCATAACCTTACGTGTGAAGGGAGTGAGGGGACCATTGCCCTGCGCATGTGATATTAAGAAGTGATTTTCTAACTGTGAGTGCCTCACACAGTGATGAATACCTATCACTAGGGGCAAAGAGAGATGGAATCACCAACTCTAGAGGATGCTACACAGGAAATTCTCAGATTGAATAGTAGATGATTTTGATTAAGTGATCCTTAATGTTTTGGGATCATAGACTCTTCTGAGTGTGGAATGAGGGGTTTAGACTCTCTCAGGAAAAAAAATGCACAATCACTGCACATTTGCTTATTCAGTCATGTGTCGCTTAACAACAGGGATACGCTCTGAGAAATGTGTTGTTAGGCAGTTTTGTCATCGTGTGAACATCGTGGAGTATACTCACGCAAACCTAGATGGGGTAGCCCTGCTACACACCTAGGCTGTATGGTATGGCCTTTTGCTCCTAGGCTATAAACCTGTACAGTGTGTTATTGTACTGAATACTGTAGGCAATTGTAACACAATGGTAAGTATTTTAAGTATTTGTGTGTCCAAACATACTAAATTTAGAGAAGGTACAATAAAACTAAGGTGTAAAAAATAAAAAATGGTACAACTATTAGGGCACTTACCATGAATGGAAGTTACAGGACTGGAAGTTGCTCTGGGTGAGTCAGTGAGTGATGGTGAGTGAGTGTGAAGGCCTGGGATATTACTAAACATGAGGTAGGCTTTATACATACTTTATGCTTAGGGCTATACTAAATTAATAAATTTTTTTTTCAATAAGAAATTAACCTTAGCTTACTCTAACTTTATTTTACAAACTATTTGGTTTTTTTTCAAACTTTTGGACTCTTTTGTGATAACGCTTAGCTTAAAATTCACACTGCCTAGCTGTACAAAAATATTTTTCTTTATTTTCTTATTTTATAAGCTTTTTCTCTATTTAAAAATTTTTTATTTTCATTTCTTTTCTTTTAAAACCCTTTTTTTAAAATTACAAATGAAGACACAACCACACACGTTAGCCTGAGCCCACACAGGGTCAGGAACCTCAAGAAGTCACTGGGCAATAGGAATTTTTTAGCTCTGTTATAATCTTATGGGACCACAATTGTGTATGTTGTGTTGCTGATGGAAACGTCATTATGCAGAGCATGACTGTACTTTCAGTGGGTTTCTGTATCTGTTAAACACATCCAGCCAATGCTAAGCTATTCTAGCATAGGAGATCTCTTCTAAACCTTCTCACTAACTGGCTTTGTCTGAGTCCTAAGTCGTTGAGCAATGGGTGACATATCTGGACCTAGAATCCAGCCAGTCCAGGCCCCTTTCATCATATCTGGTTTCCACATGTCCCCACAGTGGATTCTGCTTTCCTCAAGCACAAATTGCAAACTCGCTTGTAGCCAGCCTTGCAGCACACATGCTCCTACGAAGCTGTGTGCTTGTGTACCAGTTAGACCTGGACTGTGAGCAGTGGGAGGACTCACACCTTGGGTCTTCTCGCCAGTGAGGTGACCCCTCTGTCAGGCTCAGGACCGTGACCATGACCATCTCCTCCCTGGACTGGCCAATAGTGCCTCCCTCATGGTGTCTCTGATTTGGACTTTATACTTACCCATCTAGCTTTTTTTTTTTTTTAAGATGGATTTTTGCTCTTGTTGCCCAAGCTGGAGTGCAATGGTGTGATCTCGGCTCACTGCAACCTCCACCTCCCGGGTTCAAGCAATTCTCCTGCCTCAGCCTCCTGAGTAGCTGGGATTACAGGTGTGCCCCACCATGCCCGGCTAATTTTTTTTTATTTTTAGTAGAAACGGGTTTTCACCACGTTAGCCAGGCTGGTCTCAAGTTTCTGACCTCAGGTGATCTGCCCACCTTGGCCTTCCAAAGTGCTGAGATTACAGACATGAGCCACTGCACCCGGCCATCCGTCTAGCTTTGAGGTTACAAAATAGTGATCCTCGGCTTGAGTGTGGCCCAAAGATAGGTCTTGTTTGACCTGTAAAATGTATCTTAATTATTTTGGAATTAGTTGTCCATGTTTAAAGATGAGAGATCCATGTACAAATCTGGATGTCTGATTTGTCTTGGAAAATGGGATTATCTGACAATTTTGGTCTCAAATTCAGACACTTCAGCAGCCTGCTAGAGCTGAACACCGGCTGTCCCCTCTGGGCAGCCACAGCCTCTAGGATGTCCTGTTGTTCACCCCTGGCTCACAGAATTCATTTATGCTGCTTGCCCTGTGCAATAGGCATTGAGTTTTTGGTTTTTGATCTATACCTACTTACCCTCCCACCTACAAACCACATAGCCTACTCCTCACTGTTTATTTAAACACATGCCACTTTGTTGCACAAAGGACTTGAAGCTGATTATAGGAAATAAATATGAAATAAAAAGAGATAAAGTAATAAGAAAAACTGCCTCAGTATATGTTGATTAGATTAGGAGGTGAAGACCATGGAGAAAAAGAGAACACAGAAATCCAGGCCATTTGTTTGAAGCAATTACTACACTTGAGCTGCAAATGGGCTCTGAGTTTTTACAAATGTCTGTAAAAGGAAAACGTAACCATTTCTTACGGGGAGCAAAGCTTTTCCTGTAACTTGTCTCTAAAAGAACATTTCCAACTGTTTCTATATATGTGGGGCTTGTTAACAAAGGACACAGAAAGCTGGTGCATGAGAAGACTAATTACAAAACATGAGCTTGATTAAGAAGCTCTGCCTTTGCAAGTCATGTGACCAAAGTCAGGTTAGTTTAAACTGTTTTTTACCTCTCTGATACTGGTAATACCACCAGGCGATGTCTAGGAAAGAGTGAGAAAACATTTTACCAAATCGATTCATCGAAAAGCAAAACACACTTTTATTGTCAATGGAGAGAGGCCGCTCTGAGGGTGTCCACGTCGTCCAGCTTGACATATGCGAAGAGCCTCTCAGTAGCAGAGCTGGAGCTGAGCTCCCTGTCCTTTTCCCATGGTCAGAACAGGCAAGAGCAGTGGGTTGCCTCCCAGTGCCCATGGCTCCCACAGGGGCTCATTGAACATGCCCTCAGCCATGCAGTCATGCAGCCTGCAGAGATGGGATGGCACATGGCAGAGATGTGCAATGTTGGATGGGTCCTTGGAAACACTCGCATGTTTGACTGAGGAGAGGCTTATAAGATACCCTCCACAATCAGGAGGCCCCCATTCCCCCTCTCTGCTTCTTTGTGATTGGAAACTGCATATCTTGTAGGATTATTTGTTTGCTCACTCCACCCAATAACTGTCAATGAAGTATCTACTAGGTACAAGTCAGTGAATAAAACAGCTCTGTTCTCTGTTCTCTTGGAGCTTACAGTCTACAAGTTTTTGATTCTTTCTTCCCCCATTAAGCTTGATTAGTAACCAGATGCAGAAAAAGAAAAGGGTAGTTGCAGAAGAGGGTTAGCCCATTAGGATGTGTGGCAGAGTGGATGCCGGCCAAGTCCCCCATTATGCAGAATATAAAATACAAGACAAAATACCAGACCTGGAAAATTATCCATGGCACAGTGGAGCTGGGTGAGTCCAAGGTCCCAGGGAGCTCCACTAGATACTCTCCTGCTGGCCTTTGTGGGTCTATTTTGTGGTTGGCCTGGATTTCCTCTGTAGGCTCTTATTTGAACTTCCGCCTGTCTTGCAAGCACCCCTGGCCACGAGTGTGTAAGGCAGCTCAGCCACCATCTTGAGTGTGTATTAGTTTCTCTCCTGTCCCCCAATCTGCAACCCAGACAGCAGAGGCTTATTTTCCTGCTGCTCTTCAAAGTGATCGTATAGGTGGGCATCCATTGGAGTGTTTTCACTCATTTCCTGACCTGTATTCCACGTGAGACACTTACTTTGCTGGATTTAGTTGCCCCTTTGATCCTTCTGGTGAGGTGGCATTTGTATTTATTTATTTTTTATAAATATACTTTATTTTTAGAGCTGTTTCAGGTTACAGAAAAATTGCACAGAAAATATAGAGAGTTTGTGTATATTCCGCCCTCACAGTTTCTCCTATTATTCACATCTTGCACTGGTGTGGTATATCTGTTCCAGTTGATGAACCGGTATTGATATGTAGATATTAACTAAAGCCCATAGTTTACATTAGAGTTCATGCTTTGTGTTGTACAGTTCTGTGGGTTTTGACAAATGCATGACGTCATGTATCCACTGTTACAGCATTACGCAGAATAGTTTCACTACCCTGAATGCTTTGGTAGCATTTTAATATAGATATGTTTAGAAGCATTGACATGCTCTGGTGTGCCAGGAATGTCTTAGGTATTAGGAGAGAGATGAAAAGACATAATACCTGTTTACATGAGTTCTCACACTGGTGAGGAGGCATACACATAGACCATGGATTAGAAACTCAAATGCCAGTAGTCATTGGCAGGTAATTCAGATGAGGACAGATGATGAGTGTACAACTATAGAGAGTGGTAGGAACTGAGAACTGGAGAGTAACTGCTCCATGAAAGGGAAACAGTTGTTACTCAACCAGTTGTTATCATGCAGTCATTTAAGCCCAGTGAGTCCAGATCTTTAGATTTTTCAAGAGATGCCATAATTAACGATGGTTTGTTTCCTGGTTCTTAGCTGTTATCAATGAATTTGGTGTTTAGCACATACAGCATGTACCATATATAACACACCTTTGGGAAGGATGTTGTTGGTTGCTGGTCTAGAATTTTTCATTGGCAAATCATTTCAAAACAGTGTTGACATGTTTAAGAACTGGGAGCTGAGGGGAGGAAGCTCTTAGTGCCTCCTGGGTGGCATGGGACTAGAAGGGATGTCAGAGAAGGCTTCAAGGGAGGTGATAATTCAGTTGAGTGTTGAAGAATGAGGGAACAAGGGAAGAGCATATGCAAAGGCATAGAAGCTGAAGATCCCAGGAATGGTGAGCTCTCCTATGCAGGGGTGGAATCCCTTGAGAACAACTGGATAAAAAGGATTTAAAAAAAAATCTCATCATTTTTGAAGGCTTTGGAGAGCTACCAAGGCAGCCTGCATGAAAACAGCTCAGTCCCTGTTTGGATTTATCTGCCTTTGCTCTATTACCTTTCTGAAGCTGAAGACTCAACCAGATAGGTAACACATTTTTTATTCCAATGTGCACCCTTCAGTAAAAATCTGTCAGGCATATTAAGAGACAAGACTAAGAGAAAAAATAGAATACAGTAATAGATCCACAGCTGATCTAGATAATTGGATTAATCATATCTGGGCTTTAAAATAATGGTGAACATTTGTTCAAGAAAATATACAAAAAGCTAGATAATTCCACCAGAGAACCAGAATATATACAAAAAGTCAATCAAAAATTGTAGAATTGAAAAATATGTTATCCAAATTAACAATTAAACAGACCAATTTAAAAGTGGGTTTGACACAGATTAAGAGATAATAAGTGACTTGGTAGATAAGTCAATAGAAAAATGCACAGACAGATGCACAAGAGAGAAAAGAATGAAATCACAGTCCAGGCACAGTGGCTCATGCCTGTAATCCCAGCACTTTGGGAGGCCTAGGCGGGGGATCACTTGAGGTCAGGAGTTCGAGACCAACCTGGCCAACATGGGGAAATCCCGTCTCTACTAAAAATATGAAAATTAGCTGGGCATGGTGGTGCGCGCCTGTAGTCCCAGCTGCTTGGGAGGCTGAGGCAGGAGAATCACTTGAGCCCAAGGGGTGGAGGCTGCAGTGAGCCGAGATTGTGCTACTGCACTCCAGGCTGGGCAACAAAGTGAGATTCCATCTCAAAAAAAGAAAAAAAAAGAATGGAATCACAGATAAGCTTGCATAAGAGACATATGAGACGCGATGAAAAGTTTGAACATATGTATAATTGGAGTCTCAGAAAAGAAAGAGATAAATAATGATAATGAAGCGATATTTAAAGAGCTAATAAATGAACATTTTAAAAAAATGAGTGAAATATATCAAGTCACAGAGTGAAGGAGCACTACAAACCCCAAGCAAGATAAACACAAAGAAAACCACTTATAAGAACATCAGAGTAAAACCACTGAAAAATTAAAAAATAGAAAATCTACAATACAAGATAGAAATCATCAGATATAAACCAAACCCTGATTAAATGCTGCTTGTAAGCATAAGGGCACAGAAAATAAAAGTAAAATGATGGAAAAGGATATACCATGCAAACACAAATCAAGAAACACTGGCACAGCTATGTTTACATCAGCTAAAGTAGATGTTAAGGCAAGTAACTTTGCTAGAGATAGAGAATTCTTATGTAAAAGGGCCCATCTGCTAGGAAGATAAAACAATTCTAAATTAATATGTACTAATAATGTAGCTTCAAAATACAAATAAAGCAAAGACTGATAGAATTAAAAGGAAAAATAATAAATTCACAGTCATAATTGGAGTAATTTAAAAATACCTCTTTCAGCAGCTGATAAACAGACAAAAAAATCAATAGGGGTATAGAAGATCTGAGCAACATAATTAAGAAACTTGTCTCATTGAGACGTATGGAGCTCTGTACTCAGCAATCATAAAATACTATAAATTTTTTCAAGTGCACATAGAATATTTACCAAAAGTGACCATTTCCTGGGCCATAAAGTCAATCTCAAAAAACTTTAAAGAATTGAAGTTATAGACTGTTTTTGTCCAGAGTTGAATTAAGCAACATATCAATAGCCAAAAGAAAATTAGAAAATCCTCAAAAACATTTGGAAATCAAGCAATATAGTTCAATTTCTTTTTTTCTTTTTTTGAGACAGGGTCTCGCTATGTCATCCAGGATGAAGTGCACTGGTGTGATCTCCACTCACTGCAACCTCTGCCTCCCAGGCTCAAGCAATCCTCCCACCTCAGCCTCTTGAGTAGCTGGAACTATAGGCATGTGTCACCATGCCTGGCTAGTTTTTTTGTACTTTTTTGTGGAGATGAGGTCTCACTATATTGCCTAGACTGGCCTCAAACTCAAGCAATCCTCCTGCCTTGGCCTTCCAAAGTGCTAGGATTATAGGTGGGAGCCACCATGCCTAGCCTAATTCAATTTCTAAGTAACTCATGTATCAAAAAAGCAACCTCATGGTAATTAAATCATGGTAATTTTGAACTAAATGATAATGAGAATATGACATATCAACACTTGTAGGAAGTTGTTCAAGCTGTACCCAGGGGAAAATTTAAAAGAACATGACATACTTGAGCTGCAAATAATTTACAGGACTGTGTGCATAGAAACACAGAATGTTGTGCTTCCTCTTGAAATTGTATTCCTAGTATTTGCAGTGGTTCATTTTCAATGTTGCCTGAACTATATTGACTACATTAGACATTGTATTAATGATGGCATGCTGGCATTTGAAGATGTAATCTTTTCTTCCCCTTAAACATGGTTTGGTTTGTTCTGGATGAGTTTAACATCATCTTTTTGATTGACAGCGTTCCCTAATATAATTAGGGGCAAAAATCCACGTTGGTGCTTGCATGGAGCAGAGAGGGGATGGGACGGAAAGTCCCATTTGGTCCTTCAGCTTTAAGTCTTAGATTCTTACAGCCAGGCTTGGAGGGGAGTCATAAGCCCACTCAGACCCACACAGTGCACACAACTCATCAGCTCTGAGTTTTATAAACTTAACAATGAGCCCCAGGAGTGCTCAGCTGAGCCTTGATAAAGATTTTCTGAGTGTTCCACGTATTTTTTTCAGTCTTCTCGGTTCAATAAAACTCAAATCATGTTTTGCTTCAAGCATTTGTTCTCTTAATCTTGAAACCCCTCCTGCTCCTTTTAAGTGAAATTGAATTTATACATTTCTCATTCATTTATATACCTCAGTCCTGAAAGTGTCCTGAAAAAGGGAGTCCAAAAAAAAAAACCTTTGAGTGTTTCTGCTTCCATTAGATGGAGTTTTCAAGATCAAATGACTTGGAAATTCTTCAATATTTAGTGTATTTCAGTAGACAGATCTTTCTCTCCAAATGGGTATGTTTTTAATGTGACCTTCAGGTCAGCACAAATGTTGAGGTGGGTGGGGAGAGGAGTGTCAAATGTCCCTTACAGATTCTCAGGAGCAGGGCGATGGTGGAAATTAATGGTCACAAATGTAATGCAATTATTAAAAGTCCACAAAATCACGACATAGAATGTGACGTAAGTCATAATTCTGTTTGTGTGTGACAGTGTTACATTCATCCAGATATTTTCCAAGATTGAAGAAACAAACGGCTGGGAAAGGAATTATCTAGATTCCAGCACTAGAGAAAGCAGCAGCCCTAAAAGATGTGTCAGGACAAGGAGCAAGGCCATGTACATTAGGGACTCTCACGTGCCCTCACCACTGCAGCAGCATTTTAGTCCAGCTAAGCCCATGGCCAGGCTGCAAGGCAGAAATGTCAGTTTCATTGCAGCAGCTCAGCTTCAGGCACAGATCTCTAGAGGATGTTTTAAGTGGACCTTTTTGTCTGGAAAAAGTGCCCTGGGATGATTTTTTTTTTTTTTTTTTTTGATGATTTACTTAGGTAGTTCCAGCAGTCTCTGCAGCTCTAGGAGGCAATTAGTCAAATGACGTCCCAATCCTGCCACCAGCTAGTGTATTTCAGTAGACAACTCTTTCTCATCTAATTCAGGTGGCAGTGGAGAAACTTCCCACTGTTTCTCCTTTGAACCCAGCTGGACACCACCCTGAAGTTCCAGTACATGGAGATAGCCAGTAAATGAACAATTGATGACCTGTGTTGAAGAGAGAGGGCATGTTGCCTAGGGTGAGTGGGTCTACAATATTTCTGCGGGATATAAGAGGATTAACACGGGTGGGATTTCATTACTCCTCTTGACTGAGGAGCTGAAATGACAATTCATTGCAAATGAGGAGTGTCCAGGGAGAAAGGGCACTTTTAGTTTTAAGACGGAAAAATGAAGGGGCAGAGAGAGGTTGAAGGAATCGCTCAAAGGAAAAGTAAAATTGCCACAAGAATAGTATTATCTCAAGTTAGCACAGAATTTTCTCACTGATGGAAACTCACTGGGTCCAGGTCAGGCTAAGATGTGAACAGTGTATCTTTCAGCCTGCTTTCTGAAGAAGAGGAGTTCATTGCTCTGCAGATAATTTGGGAACTTGCTAAGTGATGGTTTCTGATTAGAGAGCTAGCGTTGGTAGGCTGGTAGATATCTGACAACTGGCTCTTGGGGAGGGTGGAAAAGCCTGATTGATACAGTTTTCCAGTTTCCTTGGTCTAAATATTCCCTTCACAGCCCAGTTCAGGCTGTTAGTGTGAAGTTGTTGAAATGAAGTGATCATACTTTGGGAAGCACGGTATGACCCAGCTCTATCACATTACTGCTACTGTTTTAGAATAGCTGGCACATGTTTAACTGTCCCAAACAAGCGTGCTAAAGACTCCAAAACCAGTTTCAGAGGGTAGGCTTAGGCCCTGTAATCCACACTAATAAACCCCTTCTTTGTTGTTCGTGTGAACATACATTTCTGTGCTTGATACAGAATAATCACAAATAGGAACATAATGGAAGCTGGCCATGTGAGCTTTTGCTGGATTCGGTATTAATGTATCCTTGTATTAACTGCCTGTCTTGGTGAGCTCAGAGAGCATGGTAATAGTTTTAGAATTGATCTAATCATCTCACTGCCCCTAGGAGGTATATGGTTATTAGACTAATTCAAGCTAGAATCATACCCACCTTGCAGCTGTAAATCTAAGTGAGATAAGGTATGTAAGATGCTCTACATGCATAGTAGGTGCTCAAAAATGTTATTTCCATCTTGTCGTATATTTTGACTGTGATTTTAAGGGTCATTCTCAACAACAGAATCCAATAGTCACATCTGTTAAACACTGTCTCAATCATGATTGTACCTTTCCTGATGGATCTAGTTAATTAATTGTGTTTCTCTTCAGTATAGGAAGATTTCCTTTTTCTGCTATTTATTGTCAGAGACACAACTCAATTGTCAGTTGAGGTTGGACATGAATAGGATAAAGTAAATATGATCGTTTTATGTTAAAGGTAATGGCCACCAGCAAACACAACCCTCTGGATGAAAGACTGTTGATCATCTCAGTCCGTGGAACAGAACAGGGGGTCTGTGGGTGGTGGACACCAGAAGCATAGGGCCTGGAACATTAGTGAACAGACATAACAACTGATGGCCACTAAGGACATTTCCTGGCTCTGGCTCCTCTGCCCTTAAGAATCCGGACAGTCCATGAGCACTGTTACGGGCCATCTCTTAGCTGAAGAAGTCAACTGGGCATTACCCTCCACTGGAACATGAACTTCCAGATGCAAGGAGTGCAGTCAGTTCATCTGAGAATGTATATCCGCCTGCCCAGAGGCAGGGAGAAGATGGCAAGGTGCTATCCTCTCCAGGATTCAGCTCTGAAGCCTCTTAACTGTGCACTTAATAAATGAAGCCTTGGCAGACACACCTTGAATTATTAATGAAGTTATTCAGCTTTGATTGTTTCCTTCTTTTGGGGAAAGGTTATTCACTCAAATGCCTTTGATTAGACTACACAATACATCACAATTGGGCATATTTTATGTGCAACTTTATGGCGATAATAGTTCTGTCTCATTTAGAAGCAAATCAGACATTATGAACTTCGTGATTTATTAATGTATTGATTTCTATAAATGTCAGCGCATCTCACATCCTGCCAGAGAGCCCGGGAGCAATCAGTGAAAGGCCAATAAAAATGTAAAATGAAACCATCATAAAAAGAGGAAATACTGCCTGTTTCCAAGCCCTGCTGCCTCTCTATATTGTCTCAGGGTCTACATCATTACCATGAAGGCATCCCCCCACCTACAAGGAAACAGCCTTGATGGTGGGGGAGGGGGCTCTATCCTGCTTAAATCTATTTTAAATAAAAAGAAGGTTGTATGGCAGGAGAAATAAAAAACAAGAGGTGAAGAGTGGGACCTGGAGGGGCCCCAGGGCTAGTGCCTAGATTCCTCACCCTGGAGAAAGCAGGAGGAGGAGGAGGAATCCCTTTCCATCAGATTCACCCCACAACAACCCCCCACCTTCCTGCTGAGGAACCTTCAAGACAGAGCCTAGATTTTCCTGCTGGCGCTGAAGAGTCCACGCTAGGGCCCTGGTCTACCTTTCCAGACGATTCCCCAATTCTGAGCCCAGTACATTTCAGCCTTATACTTTACAGAGTACTTTCACATTGCTTAACCCCTGTGAGGTATGCATAATATTATTCTCATTTTACCGAAGAGAAGACGGAGGCTCAGAGAAGAAAGAGAAAAGGTGACACTTCTGAGCACTGCCTATTTGCAGAGCACTGTGACATGTACTTTGCTTACATGATCTCACTTAATTCTCTCATAGCTTTAATTGTTGATTTCTTATTAGCTAATTATTGTTCCTATTTTATTAGGAGAAATTGAATCAGCAATTTCAGGAGGCATCCTTGGGGTCACAGAGACTAATCCCTGTCATGAGTCCTCTGCAATAGCCCCAGAATCTACTGGTGCACAGACCCCTGTCTACCAGAGCATGTGATCATCTGGCACTAATCCTATCCACCCTTAAAACATGGCGTAAGTGCCATCTCCTCTGGGCAGCTCTCTCAGACCACTGCAAAAAAAAGCTCTCTCTGTCCAAATTCCCAAAGCACTTATTATCTCTAGCAATCACCCAGCAGGTATCAAAATCTACCTTTGGGTGTCACAGTTTTCATATTCAAGGGTGGGGTAGGCGGAGATTGTGTCTTGTGCTTATTTTTGTTTTATTTTTGTTTTCGGTATCTCACTCCCTCTGTGATGTCTAATATCTGCTTTGCACATAGAAAGTGACTAGTAAGTGCTCATTATTTGCTAAAAGTGTGTATGTAGCACTAAAAGGAACTAATTGGAAAATATATTAAGAGTCCCGAGACAGTGGCCCAGGGAATATCTGGAAAGTATTTGGCTAATTTAGCGGGTAACTTTGTAATCTGACAGTTTAGTTCAGAAATCACAATCTGGCAGCCCACAGGGTACTGTTGTTTCACTTCTTTTATTTTTTAAATTAATTTTTTTTTGGTAGAGATGGGGTCTCACTGTGTTGCCCAGACTAGCCTTGAACTCCTGGCCTCAAGTGATCCTCCTGCCTCGGCCTCTTAAAGCACTGGAATTACAGGTATAAACCACCAGCCCTGGTCTGTTTCACTTCATTTAAGTGTGAACTTTATCAACATTTATTTCACATAAAAATATGAACTTTTGGCTTTCCTTTAGAAATCTGAAATTATGGCCATGCCAGGCCCACATTCCCACACGGCAACAATTAAACCGCAGTCCCCACTACTCCCTATTACATTTCCAACACTAAGACCAAGAGCTGTTGTTAGAGTCATCATCACTCGTTTATATACCTGAATCTGCAATCCCTGTTCAACAATTCCTTTCCTCTGCCTCCTACCATGTTTTCCTAAGTGACTTTTATGTGTTTGGTGGTGGTCTAGAGACATGACAGAACTTCATTTTTTGGGGTCCCAAGCAATGTGGAGAAGACAGGATGCCCTGTGATTAAAGAATCAAGCCGTGTCCTTAAATGTACCGTGCTGCTAATATCACGTGTGTCGAGAATGGAACAGACCTATAGGTTCTGAGCCCAGTACATTTCAGCCTTATACTTTACAGAGTACTTTCACATTGCTTAACCCCTGTGAGGTATGCATAATATTATTCTCATTTTACCGAAGAGAAGACGGAGGCTCAGAGAAGAAAGAGAAAAGGTGACACTTCTGAGCACTGCCTATTTGCAGAGCACTGTGACATGTACTTTGCTTACATGATCTCACTTAATTCTCTCATAGCTTTAATTGTTGATTTCTTATTAGCTAATTATTGTTCCTATTTTATTAGGAGAAATTGAATCAGCAATTTCAGGAGGCATCCTTGGGGTCACAGAGACTAATCACATCATCTGCTTGATGGGCAGATGCTTTGGAACCTCAAGGGACCACCCTAAGGGTCTCTGCTGGGCCCACTCTTGTGTCTTTGTAATTGTGTCTCTATAACAAGTCAGGGACCAAATTCCACTAATACAAGTCTCCTTCACTTTCTGTACTTGACAATTGGTACTGAGGGGGCAGGAGGGAAGACACCAAACAGTTTCAAGAGTACCCTCCCCATCTCCTTCCTCCCTCAAGCTCTCTGCCACCCATTTAGCATTTCCATGTTTGTTTCTTTTTTCTGAGCATCAAAGCAGCCTCCACTCTGGGCAACAAGTTGTATAAGTCACAGAGCGTGTGGCTTTTCTCCTGCCCTCTAAATGTACAGATGTGGCTACTGGGGCCCAGGGAGGGAACTGGCTTCATCCAAGGCCGCACACTGGATTCCCAGCATAGCAGAATTAAACTCAGATGAATCCTTCCAGTAATCTAACGTTCTTTTCACAACCTTATTAACTCATTCGACAAATACTTACTGAGTGTCTACTAGGTGCCAAGCACTCTTCTAGGCACTGGGGATAAAGCAGTGAACAAAAGACATAAAGGTGGGGATGGAGCTGTGAATGGAAATAGAGCAGAGTTATGGGACTGGAGAGACATGGGTCATGGGAGGCACTGTTTTTATTTTTAATTTTTATTTCCATAGGTTTTTAGGGGAACCGCTGGTGTTTGGTTACATGAATAAGTTCTTTAGTGGTGATTTCGGGAGGCGCTGTTTTAGGATAGCGAAGGAAGGCTCAGGAAAGGCGAGGTGATAGCCCACTTGAGCATCAGTGAGAGAGGAGTGATGGTGAGCTTTGAAGTCAAACAAAGGCTCCTGTCGCAGCTCCACAGCTGAAGAGGTGGTGGACCTGAGCAAGTCACTTCCATCCTCTGAGTCTCAGTTGCCAACAACAGGAAAAAGGGGACAGTAACATCATCTCTCAGTCTGCTGCTATCAAAAGAACCCCTGCAGATAGAGCGCTGGCATATAGAAGGCACTCATGAGTTTCCTCCCCACTCATGGGGGAGCCCTGGGGCTCAGCTTCTTAATGAGTGCCTTTGCTTGGCTGCGAGTAAGGTGCAACCTACAGAGAGTCCACGTAACACTCCATTAGCCAGGGCAGCAAGCCGGAGGGCCAGCTGGAAGACTTGCATAGTTTGAGAGGATGAATGAGCTGGGATTAATTAGCTGAGTTAGTTTGTGAATACATTAGCAGGTCACAGGGCTCTGAGGCTGTTTAGTCTGACGAGTGGTGGGTGGCAACCGCTAAGCCTGGAGTGACGCTTTGATGGAACTTTCCAGATCAGAGCTCTGACTTGGAACTCCCAGCCCTTCTGAATTTCTCACTGTGAGATAGCAGTGCTTCTCATCATTTAAGTCCCAAGGTGATTTACCATAAAGCTTAAGTTGGATCAGAGGAGTCTTTGAAAATTAAATCTCACATACAAGAAAGAGTTTGAAGTCATGTCTTCTATAGGAAGTCTTCTCAGACCTCCCAGCCTGCATCTCAAATCCTGAAACCCTTTTCGCCTATAAGGATAATATCTTGCGATTGTGGGGTAGGGAAGTTGGGAGGAGGAGGCACACTTTTCCTTTTATTACTGGTTGGAACATTTTTTAAGCTATGGGTTTGAATTGCTTTTAAAATTTTAATGTTTTGGGTAAAAACATGACATTTTGAGTGGGATAATGGTTGTGCTGTGCAGATAGGTCTGGAAAGTTGGTTCTACTGCAACCAGTGTTTTGTTGTTGTGTTTATTGTAATGTTGTTTTTGTGGAATAAAATGCCTTCCAAACAAAATATTATATTGGGGTGGTCATTTGTGCTTGTCACCAACAATTTCTGGTCCTCCTCCTTCCTGATGCGTGTTGGGTGTACCTTTTACCCTTTTGAAATTAGGTAGGACTATGTGACTGGCATTGCCTAGTAAAATGTGAACATTTCTATTGTGTGCGTGTCCCAGGTGTCCCAGGAGTGAAGTGTGCCACAGGTGTCCCGCAGGGCACAGCTGGCTCCGTGCTCAGGCAACCTGGCTCCAGAGCCAGTGCTTATAAATCACAATTCCATGCATGAACAATCTCTGCCCTCACAGAGGGATCAGTCCTGTGGTGGCAACAGATATTAAATGAATAATATTTTTTTTGAGACAGGGTCTCACTCTGTTGCCTAGAATGGAGTGCAATGGGGCAATCACGGCTTACCACAGCCCCAACCTCCCAGGCTCAAGTGATCCTTTCATCTCAGCCTCCTGAGTAGCAGGGACCACGGGCAGATGCCACAATGCCAAGCTAATTTTTATTTTTTATTTTGTAGAGATGGGTTTCTCACTGTTTCCCAGGCTGGAATGATTTTTTAAAAATAATGTTTGATTACAGTTGAGCAAATTATGATGGAGGAAAGGTATGGGTTACCATGCGAACTTAGGCAGGAAGAACTAAACATAACCGCAAGGCTTCTCTGTGGTGGCCTTGACACAGAGCCTGGAAGGAGGAGAAGGGGACCAACAGGTGATGAGTGAGGGAGAGCGTTCTGGGCAGAGGGAACATCCTCTACAAGGAGCCCACAGGAGAACAAGATAAGCCTGCTCTAGAGATGACAGGAGGCAGGTGTGTCTGGAGGCTGGGATGAAGGGAACAAGGCCCAGAGGGGTGGGAGGCAGGTATGTGGGAGGCAGGCATGGACCACATTGTGCCAGGCTGGGAACCCATGTTAACAGTTTTAGGGACAGCCAACAGCAAAGAAAATACAGTCTTGTTATTTTTAGGAAAACTGAAACAAACTTGGTCCCTCCCGTTTGCTGGGGCTTCACGGAGGATGGCTCTGTGGGGCCAGCTCTCTGCCTGCTGGCTTCGTGTCCTTCCTCTCCTTGCTGACTCATGGCAATCGAGGGCCTGTGACATAGGCCTGAGACCCTAGACTCCCTACAAGTCATGGGAAGGGGAAGGAAGTGTGTTTCTCCTTATTAGTTAATAGAGCCTACAATTTAGGATGTTTGAGGTTTCAGCTGGAATACCAGGGGACCTGGCAATTCCCCTTTAGAAAGCTTAGGGCTGAGTTGGGCTCAGCTTCAGAACTGACCCTATGGTATCAACAATATGATAAGGCTGGAGAAAATCTCCTGGGACTGTAAAACTTTTTTTTTTTTTTTTTTTTTTCACAGAGCAATTTAATTCTTATTTTAGTTACCTCATGACCCTGCACTAGGAAACAGGTCTTGGTAGTTGTCATTAAAAGGGGGAAGATTAAACATGCAAAGGAGGTGTGATAATTATTGAAGCAAAGTTCAAGAAGGTGGGAGGCAATGGGATGAGGATCCGAGACGTGGGGACCCTGTGCAGATTTCAGATTAGTTCTCAGAAAAATTCCTAGAAGTGCAAGAAAAAGCAAGGGTTATAAAACAGAAAATATCTATCATGTACCCATCTTCTCTGTGTCAATCTGTCTCATCTTTGTCTATATCATCTCTCTCTTAGATAATAAACATTTTAATAGTGGTGATCTCTGAGAGTTAGGGTTATGGATGGCTGTTACGTTCTTTTTTGCTTATGTGTATTTTCTAAATTTGCTGCAATGAGTAAGTACAAATTTTGTATATGAAGAAATTCATAAAGATTATTTTTAAGTCACTTTAAAGGGCAAACGTGGAGAACTCTTCAGTCCTCAGCGGCCCTGGGATGGATGTGGAAGGGGTGGAGCCCAGAGGCCAGGGCTGTCTTGGGGGTCAGTCCCTTTTCTGCAGAGAGGTCTGGGAAGCTAGGCAGGTGAGGGTGGAGATCCTCCGGCTTGGAGATCTTCATGTAGCCATGGCAACATGTCGTGTTTATCAATTTCAGTTTCAACATCTGGGAAATGGTGGGAATAATCCCTACTTTACAAGGCTCTTGTCAGATTTAAATGAGATAATGAATGGCAGTGCAATTGGTGTGGCGGTATATACTCAATAAAGATTAAACAATGACTAACAATCTTTTTCTACCTTCTGAAGAAAGACAGCTTGGCTAGAAGCAGTGGGTTAGACAGGATGCCTTCCTTCTGGAGGAGGCATTTCTGAGACACTGGTGAGTGGGGTGGGGTGGTACAATTGGGAGTATTGGGGGTGGGGGTCTTGCAGTGATCAGAATGGCAGCTGACATTTTAGAAGAATTTTCCCATGCCTAGGGCTTCATGTGCACTATCTCATGTGACCTTCCTAAAACCAGTGAGGTACATTCTGCCACCCTTTTAAAGACAAAGAACTAGAGACTTAAGGATGTAAGGTCATCTGCCCAGGGCCACAGTTAATAAACAGCAGAGGTGGGGCTCAAATACAGGTCTGCTTGATGCCAAAGCCCATGTTCTTAACTGCAGCATTCTATTCCATGAACTTTATAGCCACATAGAACTGGGTTAAGATCCCAACTTTGCCACTTGATACCTGGTGGCCTTGGGTAAGTCACTAACCCTCTCTAAGCCTCAGTTTGCTCATTTAGACAGTGGCTGTGATCTAACCCCTGTCTCATTGTCCCCATGAGGATTGAATGTGGCAAGGCCTGTGATACCCGGGTACCCGGCAGTGCTTACCACATGGCGGTTTTCTGGCCCCCTCTTCTAGGTCCTGGAGAGGGCATTCCCACAGCTCTTGGGTCTTCTGAGGCAGCATCTCAAAGCTGCACTGCTGAAAATGCAATTTTTCGCTCTTGCTTGTATGGATAGATTTTTAATATTTAATTAGGAAGACCTTCTGCTTGGAGAAAGGGCAGGACTTGTTATTAAATCCCTGCTGCTTGGTCTCCCTCACTTGCCCATGGGATTATTCATTCATTTCCAGTCACACAATTTAATATTGCAACAGCTAATGGGGAGATGTTGATAATTTCCCAAGGCCATTGGGGAAGGTCCACACCCAGACCTGCTGTGGGGGCCAAAGCAGATTCTCAGGAGATGAGGGTTCCTGAGAGCTTTATGTTCATTATCTGCAAACATTCATCTTGCACTTCTGAGTGTGGATGCTGTGCTGGGAGCCATGAGGGTCAGAAAGAAGTTCACGGCACAGTGGCATCCTCGAGGAGCTAGGACCCCTGAATGCATTAGAGGGCTAGGCTCTGCAGCCAGACAGATGGGGTTCAAATTGCCTCCTTGGACGTTTCCTAGCTGGGGCACTGGGCATTAACCTCTGGGGGACTCAATTTCATGTACTCACCATCTCTTCCTGAGACTAGTGCAAAGTATCAGCCTGTAGGTTCAACCTTACCAATGGGTTCTTTGCAAGAACAGCTAGAAGATCTCTTAAAGAGTCATTCATGGAACACATAACTACTAAGTATCTAATATGTGCAAGGCACTTTGGCAGGCAGTGTGATGATTACAGTGATGAACAGGACAGGTGTGGTCCTTGTTCCCAGATCTTATGATTTGGTGCATGAGGGACTTAACCTAAGAATCACAGACACAAACATAAAATGACAGCTGTGAGAAGTGCTGCAAGGGAAAGCTATTTGGTGCTCTGGGATGGGGGCAGGGGAAAGGGGCCCTGGTGTAGTGCAGGCATTCAGGGCAGGCTTCCCTGAGGAGTGACGGTGGGCCTGAAATCCCAAGGAGTGGAATCTGACTAGATAGGAAGGAAGGAGTGTGTGTGTATGTGTGTGTGAGACAGCGAGAGAGAGGGAGAGGAGGAGGAGGAGGAGATGGAGGAGGAGGAGGAGAGAGAAAGAGAGACAGAGGCAGATTCTACGTGTACAGGGAGGATGGGGAGAGCTTTTAGGAGCCTCCTGTGCAGAAGTTCTGGAGCAGAAGGAAATGTGCATTCTAGGGAAGTACATCTGACTGTCCTTATGCTAAAGCCTTCAATGGCTCCTCACTGCTTGCAGGAAAAAGGCCATGCTCTTTATGAAGGTCTTTTATGATCTTCTCCTTGATTAGCTCACAGGTTTTATCTCTCCTATACAAAGTCACCCTCCTACACAGACACACACAGTCACTTTCTGTAAATACTTGCTGTTCCCCCAACATGACTTCCTGGTTGACACTTCCACATCTTTGCATGTCAGATGCCTGAAGGGGTTATTTCCTGGGTTTCTCTGAGTCTATCCCATGCCTCACATATCTCCAAGGGGCTCTGTTTATCTGGACTACAATGTGCATGGTGCCCATGGAGTTGTACAATGTGCTGCCCTCTCTCAAATCTCGTTTCAAGGGCTACCTCCTCTGAAACTGAAGTTTTTCTGTCTTCCCCAGACAGTATCAATGTGACAAGACCCCTCCCTGCAGCTTCCATCCCACTGCAAGACAAAAAGACAAAGATTCTTCTGTCTCTCCTAGACTGTGGGTCCTTTGAGAGTATGGCCATTCAGCCACTCATTTAACAAATTTGTTGAGCTCCTACTCTGTGCCAGGCTTAGGTCCAGGCATCAGCAACATGGTCCCAAATAAGTCAGGCCCATCCTCTGTTCAGCAGGAATGACACAATAAACAAATACTGGCATCAATGACTATGCAATTAGAAATCATCTTTAGTGCAGTGAAGGAAAAGAGTGAGGGAAGTGTATGAAGGAAAAACCAGAAGGAGCCTCTTTTAAGTTAGGAAGGAAGGAGAGTCTATGAACACTACGAGGTGAAGCATAAAGGTGAGAAGTGGTAGGAAAGCAGTTTCAGGAAGAGGGAACAGCATGCGCAAAGATTATGAGATGAGAAAAAGCCTGGCTTTTTTTTTTTTTTTTGAGACAGAGTCTTGCTCTGTCCCAGGCTGGAGTGTAGTGGTGCAATCTCGGCTCACTGCAACCTTCGAATCCCTGGTTCGAACAATTCTCCTGCCTCAGCCTTCCAAGTAGCTGGGATTACAGGCGCATGCCACCACACCTGGCTAATTTTTGTATTTTTAGTAGAGACGGGGTTTCATCATGTTGGCCAGGATGGTCTCGATCTCCTGACCTCATGATCCACCCGCCTTGGCCTCCCAAAGTGCTGGGATTACAGGCGTGAGCTACCGCGCCCAGCCTAGGATGCTAACTGTGTGGACCATTCACCTGTCTGACAAGGACTTGGGCTCTTATCTTTAAAGCAATGGGAAGCAGAAGTGTCAAGTTTATAATAGCCTCAAAGCAGAAGTTTACCCAAGTGTTCAACAGTAAAATGGATGTTAAAATAGTCACACAATGAAATGTTACACAGCAATGTGAATGAATCAAGTATGACAGTGTCCAACAGCACGGATGAATATACAGTGCAAAATCAACGGAAATTAACCAGTGTTGCTAGAAGTCAGGATAGCAGTTACCTTTGGGGAGTAATGAATCAAATGGGGCAAATAGGGAGCTTCTGGGATGCCCTAATCTTCTTTCCCCCTTCTCGTTCTTTTTTAATCTGGGTTCTGGAGCAGATTCTATTTAGAGGAATGTTTTTATCTTTAAAAATTTAATTAAAAAATAGATGCAGAAGGACCTGCTAGGAGAGTGTTGCAACTGTCTGGATGAGAGATGATGTTAACTTTGAAACAGACAGATGAGGGGAAGATCTTGAATCTCTGTGACAGAGAGAAACCACCAGACTTGCTGATGTTGGGTGGCCGGGGGATGGGTGTTAGAGAAGGGGATCGGGAGGTGACAAGGAAGACTATCCAGGCTTTAGCAATTGGGTGGATGGTGGAACCATGCTGTGAAGTGGGGAAGCTGGAGAGAGCTGTGTCACACTTCTCTGCCCTGGCCCCAGTGATGATGAGGTTTTTCTAGAGAATGGGTTTGATTAATACTGACTTATCTTTGGCTATTGTAAGTCAATAAAGCTATGACAAGTCCTTGGAAAGCAGCTAGTTTACTGCCCTTGAGTTCTACAAATTTCATCTCCTGGAAGATTTTTCAGAATTATTTGTTCTTTAAACTCAACAGCTTTTTGCGGACAGAGCTCATGGACCTTTGTCACATGGGTAACACCTATTTATTTCCTTTGCATGTGCAATGCCATGTTATGGTCACAGACATATATGTGTGACGCTTTCAGGCATGCTTTGTGATTCTGGGTGTCGAGAGGAAAGAAAAGAGCAATTAAAAAGAACCTCTCTGTGGATGGTGCTGTGTTGAGTGCATTTCATAACCAATCTCAGGAAGATTATTTTTTAAATTTACATTTTCTGCATTATTAGTGCTTGGCTATTAGTCATTGAGTGGCAGAGTTGAAATATGAACTGTAATCATGCCACACTGCTTCCATCTGATCAGGGATGAAGGTCTGGGGCTCACTGGTGAGTGAGGGGGTGACAGAGACCATCTCCTCATTTCAGTCTCTGTGATGACAGAAGGGGGTCCTGATGCTTAGAAAGTGCTTAGAGATCTTCAAAAGAGAGCTGCTCTAAGGTTCTGTTTTACCATTTTAAAAAACACTTGCCCATAATGTCTCTTTATAGGATAATAAAAATGAACCATCTGTGGTTCATTGGAAAACATGTCTCAGGCTTATTAAAAATATATGAATTTTTACTTTAAGATGGGATGGCTATATTATTCAAAATTGTAAGCCAAAATGTATTATCTATTATTAATTTATTTTTAATAGTCATCTTTCTTATAGATTAGCATTCTAATTACTTCTGAAAAAGTGGGCAGTGGTGAGGCAAGGTTTCCAGTGAAAATTGTCCTGAAGATAAATTGGGGTCTTTGGCTGGAGCACTTCAGCCTTTTCCCCATTCTTGGGCAATGGCACCTGTCATCCCGGAGGGGCCAGGCCAAGATTCTACCTAGGCTAGATCTGCCTGAAGAGTTTGAGGCTCTCCTCTGGAGTGAATGGGGCTGCTCTCCACCACATTCCTGCTAAGGTGCTGTCCAAAGGCCACACCCATGAAGGCCGGCAGCACAGAACTGCCTCCAGCCTGCTTCTTGCTGCTGTCCTCCTCTAGGCTGCCAGCCCTTCCTCAGACCCCCTCCACTTTCTTCTTGCTAATCCTTCCTCCAAGCCCGAGATAAAAAGTGTCTGCTGCAGTAAATGCAGCTCACGTGATATGACAGGGGAATTTATGGGATCTTTCAAATACTTTCTATAATTGAAAAATTTCAGCATTTATAGTTTGATTGAAGCTTGTTCATGTCAATTCAAAGCAGTTCATGTTGATGGAGGGTCTTCCGTGCTCAGGTGTTTGATTCGGTAAAGGCAGAGACGTGGGAAGAGCTGGGTCCTATACCCAGGGAGTTTGAATGGCTTGGCTCTCATACCTGTCACCTGTGCACTCTGTAGCTTCTGTACGTTCTTCACCTGCCTTCTGGTGTTGCCTAGTCTGTGAAGAACACTCACTTCTCAGGGTCTTCACGAGGATTAGATGGGTACCCAGAGCATGGCACACAGAGGATGCACAGCAGATGGCAGCTTATTTCATTTCCCTCCCATCTATTCCTGTGTGAGGAGGGAGGACTGGTAGACTGAGTGGGGGCTTCCAGGTCATTCTACGTGGTGTCAGCCTGGCTCCATCTTGAAGGGACAATGTGTGTGTGTCGGGGGGATGGGGGCTGGCCCGTCCCCAGGGATGCCAGCAGAGGACAAAGAACACTGACCAGCGGGAGGGGGTGAGAGGGCGAGGGAGTGGGATGGGAGACCTGGGTTCCCAGACCACATCCCCAATTCTGGGCTGGGCATTTCCATTCCCTGAATGTCAATTCCCTCTGCAATAAAAAGGAGTGGTGGGGACACCAAATTTCTACTCGTGTAACCTTGGGCAGTTCTCTCTATATTTTTAGTTTATTAACCAGTGATGGATCTATTCTCCAGAAACTCCGCTAAAGTCATCTCAAACCTATGCTATTTTAAATTTATATTAATTTCCTCTGGAGATAGCAAGTTTCATTAAGTTTATGAGTTTTGGGGAAGGCAAACTTCTTTTAATCGGTCCTAGTTTACTCCTTTTAGTCTTCTAATTTTAGTATTTTCTGATTTGCTCAACATTCATGCATTTGTTTAACCAACATATAAGCATATCCATGCTCCCCATATTCAGATTTTCAGAAAGAGAAGATATATAGAAGAGTTTATTGAATACCTACTATGTAAAGACATACTAAGTGTGTTCACATTTGTCAATCTCCATTTACCTTCCCAACAATCCTGGGAGGTGATATTAGTATCCCCAGTTTGTCATTAGACAAGCTAAGTCTCAGACAGCTTAAGTGATTCCCAGGGTCACACAGGGAGTAAGTGCATGAACTGGCATCTGAAGCTAGATCTTGCTTTCTGTAATTCTTTAATGTAATGTTGCAATGTATTGTTGCAATCTCATAATATCATGCCCCTTCTTTCTGCCTTCCTTATCCTCTTTATATATCAGAGAGATGGAAGCTATTATTTCCGGAGCTGCTTAGCATTGATTCTTTGCTTCTCCAAGCCTGGGGGATTTATTTTCAAAACTCCCCGCTTTGCCTGAAAAGGCCTGGGAAAAGCTTGCAGTGGAAATTACAGAGGAGGGGATCTTCCAGGGGTCCCACCCAGCAGCCTGCTTCTTTCCTGTTGCATTTGGCCGTGGTGGTACCTTAGGATAAAATGCCATGCCTGCTGCTGCTTGATGACAACCTGGCTGTAGTAGCCTGTATATTTAATCCCACGCATGTTAAATTGCATCTGGCCAATGAATGTGTTGCATGTCTGGGGCTCTTTACTTAGGTGGTTCTTGGGGAAAATTGAGGGCATGTATATCAAGCAATTTTTGAATTATGTCTCTATTAGCATCTGTGAATGTCTCCCTGGGGAAGCCAGGAAAACTCTATTAGTTGAGCAGTTTAAAAGAGGATTGGAGGAAGCAGTGGGGAATATCCCATAGGGAACAATAATTATAAACAGCAGTTCCATGTAAACAGGTCTTAATGTGTTTTCTATATTGAATTCCTGAGAGTGAGGATCTCGAGTGGTGTTTCGGCGCCCCCTCCAGGACCTTGCCCTGCATACTGGTGCCTGGAGGGAAGTGTTGGGAGCTGAGGAGGAACGCTCAGGGGACCCTGCTGGTTCCCTGGGCACCAGAAGCCTCTTGGACCATGGCAATGCTGAACCAGTGTGGTTGTGCCCACCAGCTGCCTGTGGGCCACATGATACTAGTGGAATTGTTGTGTGATTTCCAGGAGGAGATCCTAGGCAAGTCATTCCCTCTCTGTGCCCTTGTGGAGTATTTATATAGGCTTAGCACTGAGCCAAATGTTCTCCTACAATTTATTTCAACTAATCCTACCAGTATCCTGCAAGGTGGGTTATATTACCCCACTTTATAGATGAGGAAACTAACTCTCAGGAAAGTTAAGTATTTTGCCCAAAGTCATTAGTCAGCAAATGGCAGAACTGGGGTCTAAATTCTGGTCTTTGACCAGAATGATACCAGATCGTTTCCATGCTCTTCAAGCTCTCGTCCAACTAAACATTCTGTGAAATACACCTTTTTGATACCAGAGGCTCAGTGATCTCATCTTGGGTTTTACAATACCCCCTCAACTTATTTAGCCTGTGGCAGCTATGGGAACAGAGATCTCACTCATTATTAATTCAGTGTTTTGTGTTTGCTGCTGGCTCTAGAGTCCTAGGGGTTATGGCTTGGGGCCAGTGCATAACCCATAGGATGCACCCATAAGGCATTCAAACTGATGGTTGTCATGGCAGTGGTGCCATAGAGAAATGCTGTAGCCTTGGCTAGGTCGCATCCCTTCTATCCACCTTGAAAGTAAGTCTATCATTTGTCTTCCTACATCAATAAAGTGGAATTATGAAGCATAAAGGCTTTAAGTTTGGTAAAACCTTAGCTAACACCCAGTATTTTACATCATCCTTAGATATCATCCACTACTATAAAGGCAAGGAACTCTTTAATCAAAGGAAGTTGTGCACAGAAGCTAAGTATGTAAAACAGATGAAAGCAATCAGATGCTTGGGTTAAAGAGGGAGATTGGGAGAGTGTAGTTTTCCTCCCTCAAATCCCACAGGTGGTCTTTAAAGGAATTCTGCAGATCACCATCTGGAAACAACTGATGTAATTCAATTCTAAAGTTGGTGAGAGAGAGCCTAGAGAGGGCACTGATGTGCCTGAGGGCTGGGGTTGAGGCTTAGTCTATGTCTACTGAATGCCACCTGGGCCCTTTTCCTAATCATGTGACGTGGAAGTGAGGGTGCCCCAGAGTTGGACTTGAAAAAATTATCATATCCCTTGCCATGAACAGCATGATAATTAGTTTTTGCATTAATCCATTCACTCACCAGATTTTACTGAGCATCTATTTGTCAGATGGAACTTTATCTATTCTTGGGATATTCTCTGAAATATCAGGAGATTTCCCTATTCTTGGAAATTCTTTGAAATATCAGGAGAACTCTAGGCCAGCTCTGAGGAGAATAACAAGCTTCTGTAAATATTTAGAATGTATATTTGGAAGGGAATAGAGAGATTTTGAGAAGGAGTCAGGCTGTGGAGAAAGACAGAAACCCACTGGAAATGAGCAAGAAGTAACTCTACATTGTGTGGGAGGTGGAGTTTTTGCTGTTGAAGTTGGAAACCTTTGTGTTGGGCCCCCAAATGCATTCCAAGGTGTGAGGAAGCTTTGGAGAAAAATCCCTGCTTAGGGCCGTCATTCATCAGTGATTTGTTCATTCATTCAACACCCTACTGAGGACCTACTATGTGCTGGGCACCGTGCGGGGCAGTAGGGATGTGTGTGAGTAGAGCAGACATAACCACTGTCTTTGTGAGTTAGCTCCTCCTCCCATCTCCCCTTTGTCTACAGGATAAAGGCAGGCTGTTCAGGCCTTGCATACAAAAGAAGGGTTTTAGGTTTTAAGTAGAACAGAAAACCTTTGAAATGTTTAATAAGAGGGGGGCCTGATTTGATGAACATTTTAAAAAGATCATTCTACACAAGAGTGGAAGCAGCGAATCCAGAAAGGGGGCTCCTGGCCTGATGGGCATTATTGTCCAATCTTCGTCTTTGACATCATCTCCAGCCTTCCCGAGGGCATATCTCAGCTCCCAGGGCCACAAATGTCTTGTCTTTTCCTGAACATGCTTTTCTCTCCTCTCAATTCACCTTTGAATGCACAACCTGTTCTTTCTGTTTGAAATGACTTTTTTCCTCTTCTCTGCCTCTATAGCTGCTATACATCCTTCAAAACCCATTTAAAATGCTGCCTTCTTTGGAAGCCTTCTCTGGTTCCTTTGAGGCAGATGTAGTCCTGGTTTCTTCTGTTGTACAGCTTTCTGCATGAATCTCTGTTTTGTGGTTCAGCTACTTACTAGTTGTTTTACTTGGGCAAGTTATTTGACCTCCCTAAGCCTCAGTTTCCTTATCTGTCAAATGGAGACTATAGTAGTATCTTCCTCATAAAGTTGTTTCAAGGGACATATGACCATGCATACAGAGTATTTTGTGCAGGCTGAACACAGAGGTATTATTACTCCATATTGTATTCCAAATGCAAGGCTCTCTTTCTGATTAGACTGTGAATGACTGTTGAGGATGGGGGCAAGTCTCATGCATCTTTGTATCTCCAGCATCTGTTCTAGAGTCAATTCATGTAAAAATGAGCAAGTGAATGAATGAACGAATGAATGAATGAAAGAATGTCTCCTCTGACTTCCTAAATTTCCACATCTCTGTTGGCTCTCCTGTGTTAATTCTCCTGGAAGCAAAGCTTGATTCCCCTAATCTTCAGGGACATTGAACACTGACTCATATCATGTATTATCTTTAGCTCTGATTCCCTCCTTCCTTCCAAAACTACCACTCTTCCCTCCCTCCCACCCTTTCTTCCTTCCTTCTTTCCACCCTTCCCTTCTTTCTATCCTCTTGTTCTTGGGTGTCCCATTTCCATGCTAACTGGTTAGCCCTGGAGAAGCCAGGTGATGATCTATATGACCACAACACAGGTAGTGTGCTTCCATAGGATCAGCCCATTTTGTAGTAAATGGTGCAGGGTGGACATGGCCCAGATAGTCCCAGAATTTAGATCTTTGTTCCCATGGAAAAATCTTAGGGCTCTCCCTCTGGGCCACAATTGAGGCCAGGAATAATCTAATGATTTTGGGACTTCACCTGCTGTTTAGGGAGGCCTCCAAAAGGTCACTATTAATATGACTGTGTTATCTGGAGGGGTGACATGGCTTAGTCCATCCTTTGAGAATTGCAGCTGTGAACCCAAGTTGGAACTCCCTGGATTCCCTCTGTTCATCTTCTTGGGTCAGTTTGGCTTTGCTTCTACTTGGTGGTTGAGAAGCATGGCTGCGCTGGCATCCCTGCTGCAATGGGAGAAAAATATGACTTTCCCATAAAGCATTTGGAAAACTTGAAACTGAACTCAACCATTGAGTGGAATGGAGATTGATATACTTAAAACAACCTAAATGTACCAAAATACATTCCAACAACTCAACTCTGGCTCAATCTTTCATTCTGATTAGTGACCTCTGTGTCACAGTCTTGCCCTTAGTTGGGACTCAGGCTTTGGTTAAACCAATCTCTATTTAGGTACTTCTCATAATAGAGCCTGAGGTCTGGAATCCAGCCTCTTGGATTTGAATCCCAGCTTCTTAACTAGGACTGCCCTTCCTAGGTAAGTGGCTTAACTTCTCTGTGCCTCATCTGTAAAATGGGAAAATAATGGTGCTCACCTGGTAGCCATGAGGACTAAATGAAATAATGTATATGAAGTATATCATGTATATAAAGAACTTTGCTTGGCACATGGTAAGAGCTTAATAAATATACCTATTATAATACAGTCATATTTCTTTTTCTCTTGGAAATCCTAAGATGAACTTCCTTTTCCAGTCTTGGCATTGTTATTTTGTATCTCCCTTTGATTAGGCCACCAGCTGTTCTCTGTCTGTAGTTGGATAACTCAGTCTTTGGCGAAAGTGGTTACTATATGCCAGGGACACACATTCTTACATTTCATCTCATGACATCCATGTGAGGTAGTCACAATTTACCCATTTTGCAAATGTAAAAAGTGAGTTAAGGAGATAAAATCTATTTCCTAAGGTAACAGTTTGCAAAAGACAGTGTTGGGGTTCAAACCTTGCCTTCTGAGGCAAGGGCTGGTGCATCGTAGAGTGTATAACATAGCAATGCCTCCCCTAAAGCAAACTTCCTCAGGAGGCATGGCTCAGAGTGAATACTGAAGGAGACAAGATCACCTCAACCATCTTCTCTCTAGCTTTTAAAGTAAGCAAACTTAAAAGCAACCAACAGTCTAAAGCCTGTATGCTATGTTAGTAGTATAATTTTAAAACATTTACTTAGGTTTGGCCAGGCACGGTGGCTCACTTCTGTAATCCCAGCAGTGATTACTTTGGGAGGCCGAAGTGCGTGGATCACAAGGTCAGGAGTTTGAGACCAGCCTGGCCAGTATGATGAAACCCTGTCTCTACCAAAAATACAAAAATTAGCCAGGCATGGTGGTGGGCACCTGTAGTCCCAGCTACTCAAGAGGCTGAGGCAGGAGAATCGCTTGAACCCGGGAGGCGGAGGTTGCAGTGAGCAGAAATCATGCCACTGTACTCTAGCCTGGGCAACAGAGCAAGACTCCATCTCAAAAAAAAAAAAAATTTACTCAGGTTTTTTTACACATAAAATCAAAACAAAATGATTGCCTAAGGAGAAACCGGATTTTTAAGAGTGATTGACGAGCAGCCAGAGTCCAGAGGGCATGGGACATAGGCTAGGTTAATTTTGCTGGAGACAGATTAACAGCAGGGAACTCAGGGGGAGAATGGGGGAGGATCAGCCCCAGTGGACATCCCAGGAGGAGTACCGTGGATCAGGAGAGAGGTTTGGGGCTGGAGAGGGGGAAGAGGAAGGGCACAAAAAGTGCAGGGCAAGGTAGAGAGGAGGAATCTGCAGACGGCTCTGACTTTTTAATCCTTGGATATTGCCTTGAGGGAAATAAAGGAGGATGGCTGCAGTGCTTGCTCATTTCAAGGGCACTGGCTCAGTGGAGTGCTGCATGGAATATACTAAGCACATGGCTGTGTGAGACACCAAACACTTCCTTTCAGAAAACCTCCAGTGCCCAGCCCCAGAGTTTACTGAGGAAGTAACTAGACAGAATGTTCTTTACAGCCAGTTTTCAGACACTCACAGGCCGGGGTCAGCTGTGGGGCTGGCTTTGTCTGGTGGGGATGGTGCTTTGGCCACAACTCAAGTGTAAGGTGGGCTGCTGTGGTCTGCCTTTGCAGTGTAAAGTCTCTGGAGAATGCGGGACAAAAAACAATTGGCAATTTGCAAACTGTTAATTAGCTAAGCAGACTCCTAAAGGCCAATGATTATAGGAAATAACTTACTTGGATACCCAAATGAACCACGGAGAATCAAGTGCTTGCCTCAGAACTGAGTGACTCTCCTTGTTCGCATCTTCCTCTGTTCCTCCCTCCCCCTCTCTCTCATTCTCACCTCTTTCCCTCTTTCTGCCCTGCTATTTCTGACAGTTTCTCTCTTCTCTCATTTATTGTAGCTCTCATCTTCCTATCTTATGTGTGCTCTCCTCCTTTCTCTCTGGAGAGAGAAATATTATGTACCTACAAAGCAGGTTCATTTCATTCCTCTAATAGACTTTGTGTTCATTTTTTAAAATTTAAAAATTAGATGGTGATCCTCCTTATGTCAGTACTAGGAATCTGCTCACTCTGAATGCTAGTATCCTGATAGTACTTTGTCCTGGGGACAAAAGTGGGGATGGGAAGTACAGGCCAGCAACAAGTACTTTCACCTGATCTGTAGAATAAGGGATGGTTTAAAAAAGGGAGAATCTGTTCATGTATTACTTGTGTAATTGAATATAAATAAAAAGGAAATGTCATTAAAAAATCAGATGAGCTGAATATTTTATGTTGTTCTTTCTCTGAAGAAGTTCAAGCCAGCTAAATGCAGTTGCTTTTACTCAAATTGGGCCTTGTTTCCTCCCAGAATCTATGATATGGAATAGAAAAAGTAATTTTAAAGTTTATCGGCTGGGCAGTGGCTCACACCTGTAATCCCAGCACTTTGGGAGGCCGAGGTGGGTGGATCACCTGAGGTCAGGAGTTCGAGGCTAGCCTGGTCAACATGGGGAAGCCATGTCTCAACTAAAAATACAAAAATTAGCCAGGCACGGTGGCACATGCCTGTAATCCCAGCTACTCAGGAGGCTGAGGCAGTAGAATCGCTTAAACCCGGGAGGCAGAGGTTTCAGTGAGCTGAGATCGTGCCACTGTACTTCAGCCTGGGCGACAGAGTGAGACTCGGTCTCAAACAAATAAGTTTATTATGCTTGCTATAATAGACTACAAAATACAAGATATTCTGGTCCTCACATCTAGTGTGCCTTTTGGGCTGGATTTTAGAAGAGACTCTCTCAGCTGCAAGAGTCTGGGTATTAGGTAGGCAGTTGGCAGAGTGGGATCTGGAGTCAGTCTTATTTGTTGATCATAGTTGGGATCTTCAGGCTGTGGCTAAATGGAAGGGTGGTTGGCCTGGGTTTGGGCAACTCTGGATGTCCCTTTGAGATCAGAAGTAATGAGAAGGCTTCTGACCACAGAATGTGTTCTGCTCATTGGAGGATGGAAAGTATTTGATGTCCTTTTGCTGATCATACAAACAGAAAAGTCTTAGGGCCAAATTGGGAACCCACGCAGAGCAGGAGACTGGGTTGTCCTTATGGGCAAGGAGAGGCCAAAGGTTACCATTCCCATTTACCTTGAAGGAGGTATGTTCTGGGAGCATTATAAACCTTGATGGTGTAAAAATGAGAATATGATAAACAGATTAAGTAGACAGAGAGAAGGATGGGAGAAGGAGGAGGAAGTAAAAGTGTTCTTGTCTTCTGATATTTCCAAGAAGGTGAGCAACAGACATTGCTTCAAGTCAACATGTAAGTAATTAAAGGCTGTGTGTCATTTAAAGTGTAACTATATCTGCAGAAGAACTAAAAATAGCCAACCAAATATGAAGGTAGAAAGAGGAAAGAGATAAAAGAGAGAGAGGTTTGTGGCTCAGGTTGCAGAGGAACACATTTACTGGGAGATGCCAGGTCCTTGTGTGGCCAGTGACCAGGGATGAAGGAGGGAAACTCCCGCTGGTGGGAGGTCAAGGCTGCTATTTCTCATCCTCCTTGGAACTGCAGAGAGAAGTTGACCTAAGCCTTTACATTCACTAGCATTCCAAATCAATGGGTGTATCCATACCTGAACTTTTAAGTGGATGTATTTTATTTGATATCATATTGTGGCAAATGAAGAAACATTTCCAAATACTGATGTATTATTTTCCTAAGACTGTCATAATACATTACCACAAACTAGAGGCTGAGATTGGAGTGATGCTGCCACAAGCCAAAGAACACTGGAGCTACCAAAAGCTGGAAGAGGCAAGGAGGAATCCTTCTCTAGAGACTTTAGACTCTAGGGGAGTTTGTCAAGAACTTGATTTCAAACTGCTAGCCTCCTGAACTATGTGAGAATAAATGTTTGTTGTTTTAAGCCACCCAGTTTGTAGTAATTTGTTCTGGCAGTCCTCAGAAATTAATACAACTATCATTCTCATTTCTTTATTTTATAAATGAGGAAAGAGAAAGCTAGGGAGAAAAAGAGACTTGTCCCACCTCACACAACTGATAAATGGCACAACCAGAATTGCAACCCAGCTCTTTTGACTCTTGGCTCAATATCTGTATACTGTTCTAAAATTATCCCTAAAAGATTGGCCAGGCGCTGTGGCTCATGCCTGTAATCCCAGCACTTTGGGAGGCCTCGGCAGGTGGATCGCCTGAGCTCTGGAGTTCAAGACCACCCTGGGCAACATGGTGAAACCCTGTCTCTACTAACACACACACACACACACACACACACACACACACACACACATACACTAGCTGGGCATAGTGGTGTATGCCTGTAGTCCCAGATACTTGGGATGCTGAGTGAGGAGAATCGCTTGAGTCCGGGAGGCAGAGGTTGCAATGAACTGATATCATGCCACTGCACTCCAGCTTGGGTGATAGAGTGAGATTTAGTCTCGAAGAAAAAAAAAAAAACCTTAAAAATAAAATAGGAATAAGATCAAGGGCCGAAGGAAGACTACAGATGGGTTCTTTGGAGATGTTCCACTGCTCTCCTTAGAATGACAGCATTACATTGGTCCTGGTGTATCTACTAGGAGGTGGTATTCTCTCTTTAGTACTCAAATTGTGAACAGAGTCTCCATATCAAATACACATTAAAAATGGCATTTTGGACCATATGGTAAGGGCTCTAGCATAAGAGCCTATGTGTGGTAAAGACTTAATGGCAGACTGCAGATCCCATCTGGAACTGGATTACTTGCTGAGGTACTTGGTGTACAGAACAGAGGGTGAAATTTTAGAGACAAATACCTCCACCTTGCTATTGCTGCATTTTTGGAAATTTTATTTAACTTCTCTAAATCTGTCTTCTTCCTTATATAAAAGGAATCATGATATTTAACTTCAGCATTATTTAAAATGTTTTCCTTAGAGCATTATTTTGAGGTTTATATTAACTCATGTATATAAAGGCACTTAGCACTGTACCTGGCACATTGTAGGTGTTGAATAAATGTTAATTCCCTTCTTTTTCTTCACCTAGAGTTTCCAGAAACAGTTCTCAACATATGTTCTCTACCTTTCACCTTAAATCCCCTCATTGCTATAACATTAGATGAATGATTGATATCCTTTATTGTAATAAAACAAAAACTGCAATCATGAGAAGTTAAAGCAGGGGAAGGAAGATGGATACTTATGATATGGAAAGGAAGAGCAGGGGAATATTTCTACTGCAACTTTAGCCTTATAAGAAAGTAGGAAGCTTGGCCAGATGCGGTGGCTCACGCCTGTAATCCCAGCACTTTGGGAGGCCAAGGCAGGTGGATGACCTGAGGTCAGGAGTTTGAGACCAGCCTGGCCAACATGGTGAAACCCTGTCTCATCAAAAAAAAAAAAAAAAAAAAAAAAAGAAACAAAGAAAATAGGACGCTGTTGCATTAATGTGCAATCTTAGCGGAAGCTGCTCTGAAGCTCTGAACAGGAATGGAACATGTTCTCTTGAAATCTGGTGGAGAACAGGGGCTCTGCTCAGTTGGTATATTGACTGGCAGGTTGAGTTTGGATCTTCAGAAAAGCACATCTAAGGGACCAAGGGCTGGAGCAGACAGAACTAGTCTTCCAGATTGTCAGATTTCAGGTGATTTTTAAGGAAGAAAAAGTTTTCCGAATGTGCTTCAGCTTTCAAAATCTCAGGGAAGCAGGGCCTTAGGGTCATAGAGTCACTAAATTTTAGCTAAAGCTAAAAAACATCCTTACATACAGGGCTAACATGCTGAACAGTAAAGTGGAGCTGTTCTGGTTGAAGCAGAGCTGAGGGACTCACAGTCTGGCTGCCCGTCTCAACCCACAAAACTGAATTCAAAGAAACCTTTGGATCACTCTAGAATTCCAAGGAACAGAGATCTAAAGTCATCATAAGGAAACCAAGACCTAGAATTTTTTAAAAAATGACTTGACCAACATTAAACCGAGACAGATTATGGATAGAAAGTGGATTTCTTGACTCTTACTCCAGGGCTTACCTCATCTTACACTTCAGTTTCTGGTCTTCCCACTTTCAGTTGGTATTTTAGCTAGTCCTTTGTCTACAAATGCATTTCATTATTATGTACGGTTTTGTCATGTGGTGCCCCTTGGAAGAGAAATTCTGTCTACACCATGCAGTGGTGGAAGAATATACACCGAATACACATTATACATACTTTGGATATACACTATTGGAGTTTGATCTTGTTTTATGAGCCCAATTGCTCATGAAATTTGGAATCTTTCCTGGAGCCTAATTTTAAGTGACAAAAATCATCTAGACAAACTGTGTTCTATTTGGAACAATATCTCATAAGGAGGAAAAATAAAACTCTTTGTTTCTTGAACTCCTTCAACGTTGGAAACCAAATCACTTTCTAATCCTAAACAATCGGGTTAACCTGGATTTATAACCCCATTCTCACTAAGGAATGGAGCTGAAGTCAGAGCTGAGGAGGTGGCTTTGGAATAAGGGTTCTTATAAGGGTTGAGCAAAGAAACTGACATTTATTAAATGTGTTCTAATTGTCAGACACTGTGATTAGCATTTTACAAAGGTTTTTACCTCCATATAATCTCCTAAACTTCTTTAAAAAAGTTAATCAACATAATGGCTTTTAAAAGTCACTGGCTTCCATCAACAATATACGTAGTTACCAGACAGCTTCAGAGAGAATTGTGATGTGTTGTGCTGGCCTCACCCATAGCTAATAATCCATCAAGACTCACATGCTCATAGGGCCGGAGCAGGAGACCCTAACTTCCTGGCTCCCGCACTCCCCAGGCGCACCACATTTCAGCACGACGGACAGCGCAGCACTGGGGCGCGACTGGGGAGGCGGGGACCAATACCACGCTGTTTCAGCCCGGCTTTTTCAAATCTCTCGGGTCTCCGCCCTCATTTCCGTGCATTTTCGAAACGACTGTCACAGCAACCGAAGCCACAAAAACACATTCACAGAAAACGGGGAAGCTCCAGGGTTCGCTTACCGTCTGACAAGTCAATCAGTCCGAGGTAGTGCAAAAGTTTCAGGGAGGAGCACACGACCACCACTATTCCCAGTGTCTGGAGCCCTTCGGACTCGCCCTCTGCCCACATCCTCACAGCACCCTGGCGCACCGGCAAGCGCTAGGCGGTCATTCAAAGCCAGAAAACCAGGCTTCCAAGCCTCCCTTCCTGCTGTTCTAAAGTGCACGGTTTATTTTCCACCAGTCTGCCTTCCTCTTTCTGCCTCCCTCCCTTCCTTCCACTCCTACCCCTCCCTCCACCTCTCTCCTCCTCCTACCTGGTAATCTCTATGTTTCATAGTAATATTTGCTTTTATTTCCTCTTTTCCCAAGGCAATTTCTCCAAAGGTTTAACCAGTCCCTAATCTTCTGCTAGCTGAGTGTAACCATCACTGGCAACATCTCATGGCATATTCTCTCGGCAGCTCAGAGAAAACGTGTGTCAGTGTAGACCATTTGAAAGACATACAGAAAGAGCCCCATTGCTTTAGATCGCAGATAGATGGAGAGATGAAAGATGCTTTTTCAAAGGGACAACAATTTGTCTTCACTTCCCAGTGAAAAACCCAACAAGCTGGTCTGGAACATATGTGGTCCCTGCTTTGACACAGTGAAATGTCCCTGGAAACTGTACCACCAGGAAAGCTATGGTAAGCTGGAGTGCGTCTCAGTTATATTTGTCTTTGGGAAGGTTTTATATTAGTATCAGAAATTATTAGATGGGTAATCAGGCTGGCTAAGTATCACTGGGCAGCACTGAGTGAGCAAATGTTCTGGAAATGAAAGAGAGAATGAGGAGGCAAAAGAGTGATGCTGTCGGCATGTCCTAAACTTTTGGGCTCTGTGGGGGTAATTTCCCTTCTTCGTACACTGGATTGTCAGCAGTGAGCCTGGTGGGGAAAGGTGCTTGACATGGGGAAAAGGGAAGATTGCACTCTTAGAGTCACAGAGACCTGTCCTTGGGCAAGTTCCTAGATCTCCATGAGGCCCAGTTTCCTCTTCTTAAATAAACTTAACGCAAATAAGAGAACCTGTGTAAAGTGTGGGAACAGAGCAGGCACTTCACACATATTGGTGTCAGATTTTGAGAATACACTATATTGACAACACTGTGGAGCAAAGACACTCTCTTGAATCACTTGTAGGAAGGTAAATTCATAAATAAATTGTATATATCCATTTATTCAGAAATTCCACTTGTAAGGATACCTACATATGCGCACAAATATATATGTACAAGGATATTCATTGCATCATTCGTTTATAACAGTAAAAGACTGAAAGAACTTACATGCTCATCGGTGAGAAAACTGGTTCCATAAATTATAGTGCATACATAAAAGGAGTACCATGTGAGCCATTAAAAATAATGTGGCACATCCATGTATCTTTTCCTGGAAAGATACTAAAAATATACTATTAAATGAAAAAAAAAACACCCTAAGTTGTTTAGTACCACTATTACCAATGTTAATATTATTTTAATATTGGAAAGGAACACACACACACACACACACACACACACACACACACTGTCATATACATAAAATATTTCCAAAAGGATACACTAATAATTGAGCATTTTAGTTGCCTCTGGAGAGAACTGAGGAACTGGGTTCAGAGGGTGACTGTTGCTGAAATTTTCTCCTATGTATGTGCGTAATGGATTTAAAACAACAATAACTGAATGTGAATGCTGGTCTCTCCTCCCCTTCCTTCTTTGTGAAAAGGGAGACATAGTCTACATATTGGATTGAGACTCGGGAAAATCTTGTCTTCCCTGCTCTGTGTCTCTCCACTCTGTTCTTTGTGTCAATCTCCATTCTCATTGGCGTGTAGGCAGTGATGTCCTGGGGTCAGCCCACTGCATCTCATGAAAACTAATTGTTAAATTTTCAGGAAATCAGCAAGGCAGTTGCTAAACCTTTGTCAGCTTGAAATCAGCCATGGTAGGGTGTTGACACCACAGAAATGCTACACATCAGTGTTTCTTCACCCTCCCCACTGTCTCTGAATTACCAGGATGCCACGCTACCATTCCAGATCCCATCTGCCCAGAAGAAAACCTGAGAAATTCACCTGCCCAGAGGTTTTTCTGACTTACTGTGTTTCCTCTCCTCTGGGGCCCTAGCAAGTGTAATAATTAACCCACTGGGCTTAATGGGATTTTAGGCATTCACATATCCAGATATGCGGAACTAAATTAGAAGCAGGAAGACTTCCATGTTTCTGGTAAGTCAATACTTTGTTCTCTTGGCTTATCTTAGCTGTATCTCTTCTAGGTTTCTACTTACTCCTTCCCCTCTCCCTGCTGCTTCCTTCCCAACAACTCTCTGCCTTATAAAACTCATGCTGTTGCTGATCTTCCCTCCCGTGTATTCTCCCTTTTTGCAAGCTCATGCATAAGCTAGGCATAAGCTCTCCTCTCAGCCATTTTCCTGGGCTCCCGTCCCAAAGTTTCATCTATTGCCCTTTTGTACTGCACACAAAACATTCCCAGTGAGGTCCCATCAACAGGTAATACTGAGCATCTGTTAGATATAAGGTCAGGTGCCAGGAATTAGACTTAATCCCTCACTGCTTTCTGGTATTTCTAGGAAAGAATGATGCAAGAAGGCAGAGTAGTGGTTCCCACTGTCTGCTTTGCTGTTACTGTGTAAAGACTTACATTCTTCCAAGAATTCTGACTTCACAGACAGCTCCCCTTCTGGATTGTCTCCTAACCTTGAACTTTAGGAGCAACTGTGTCTCAGGTGAGTCACCTCAGTGGCAACCAGAAAGACTTACCTACTATTTCCTAGAAATGGTGAGGTGCCACTTCTTATCCCCAATAACGTCAGAAGGAAATCCAGGTCTCATAGTAGTGGGTGTCTGCGTGACAACCCAAAATCTACCTGCCTCCAAAGTCTGTGCTGTCCTCATATGTCCCAAGCTGAGTCTGTGATTTGGCATTTGTGAAAGATACAGGAATTGTTTATCAGAAAACCTGCCTTCTTCTCACATCCCAGTTCCATCAGAGCTACAAGGTTTCTTCACAAATCTCTCTACATGTAACCAGCTTTGAAATCTTTATTGAAGTTCCATCCTTCATTTGATGAGAAATGTTTGCCCTAATTGGGGCACTCATGGAATCTATTTCACAAATTGCTCTTTACTATTTCCATATAGAGTGTAAGGTGAATATGTTTGTATTGGAGATGTGAGCCTGCATAGATTCTGATATTTCTCTTACTAAATTTGTCCCAAATTACTATTTTATTTTTTTGGCCAAGAATCTTCACATTGTTGGTCCTCTTCAATTCCTTATCAATACTGACAGGCATTTTTTTTTCCCCTTAGGTCCATTTGCCTTAAAGAAACAAAGGTTTGATTATTTGTGAAAAGGTTTCTCTAGGTGAGGATGATGTGTGTCAGGGGGATGTGGGGTTGTGGGGGGATTAGCTGGCCTCATGGAGCAGATACCTGACTTTTGTTATGATCCAGACATCATAAAAGACTGGATTCCAGTTTAGGTCCTTGCATCTTGACAAATGAATACTGGCCATGGTCTGCAGAGTCCCCCAGGCGTCTTGGAAACCAAGATGGTCACAATCACAAATGCCAAGTTTTTGCCAAACAATTTTAGCTCTGGGTTTCAATTTTATCTCTGCCACTTACTAGATGTGTGACCACGATAAGTCACTCAAGCTCCAAAAGGAGCCAGTTTCCTTACCTGGGAATAATACTGATACCCATAGCATAGGGTTGTTACAATAACAAAATGAGATGATGCCATAAACTGCTCAGCACAGTCCCTGATACCCAGTAAGTGGGAGTGTGGCACAGAGGTCCAGAGCACAATCTCTGGGTCAGAAGCCTACATTGACTCTTAACTCTGCCTCCTACTTAGCTCTGTGACTATGATGAGTTACTTAACTTCTCTGTGCCTAAGTTTTCTCACCTGTAAAACAGAGACATTCACAGTATGTACTTCATAGAGTTGTGAGATTAAGATGAATTAGTAATTATGCATAGAAAGAATAATATTAGTATAATTATTACTGTTATTATTAACCATAAGCTAGAGGCAATAATGCTCAGCTGGGCCCCATGGACAAGTCATATATTGAGTACGTATAGTCTGGAGATCTGGATCTGGGGAGAGGAAGGAGTGTTACTTCAGGTAGGGGAATCAGACTTCCTCTGGAAATTGCTGGGTGCATGAACTCCAATTCTCCAGCCACAGATCTTTCTTCCAGGCAAATGTTTTCAGCTGAGTATGATTTGTTTTTGCTTAAACTTCACTTGAGTATTGGCCTCTAGCAGTCACAAAATCAAATGCAATTTTAGCTAGCTACTTCTGCTGCTCTCAGCTTGCTTGTTGCTGTGTAACCTGAAGTAAATGGAGAGGCCCCGTGGTGCAATGACCCACAAGATCGGAGCAGTTCACTTAGTTATCTGAAAACACATGTGCAGTGTGACATCCATGTGCCCTTGACTCAACAGGGCTTGCTGCTGCCATGGGGGCTTTCTGAGTGGTTCTCCTGGTAAGGTACTGTCTAAACCTCATTTGGAAAAACTAATTTGATAGGGGCCTCATTTTCCAGAATGTTCTGCTGCAGTCGGTATTAAAATAATGCCAATAATTGCACTTGAAGTTTTCTTTTCTTTAAAAGGTGCGAAAGAAATGAAAGAACTCCTCAGAGCACCATCTCAGAGCTCCTGATTCTATCAGAAAGCAATTATTTAACTGCAAGATGGTTATGGTTCAGAGAGAAAATCATTACCATTCCCATCACTGACGAAAATGGGAAAATGATTCGTGTGTTCTTTATCTTAGCCTTTATCTTGGTGCCCTTTTGTGGGCACAGGATGGGTTTGTTTAAATTAGTTATATAATGATAACAATTGCACAATAATAATGATATCTCCCTTCCTCCCTCCCTCCCACCTGTAATCCTTTCCTTTCCTTTCCTTTCCTTTCCTTTCCTTTCCTTTCCTTTCCTTCCTTCTTTCCCTCCCTACCTCCCCCTTCTCTCCCTCCCCCGCCTCCCTCGCTCCCTCCCTCCCTTCTTCCTCCCTTCCTTCTTTCATCTTCCTCCCTTCCTTCTTTCATCTTCCTCCCTCCTTTCTGCTCTCTCTCTTTTCTTAGATATTCACAGTCCGCCCAAGCTCTTGCACCTGTTGGACACTGCAGATAGATTAAAAAGTCTTACCTATTAGGAAGTTCATAAGGTCTAAAATGTCCTTTAGGATTTTTAATTTGCAAAGTTCTGTTCAACCTTTTACATCTATTTGCGTGTTGCAGTTTCTCAATAAATATTTGTTGAAACAATACTATGCCACTCTCCATAATCAACTTTTGAGTTAGGATACAGCATTATTTCTGTTTTATAGATAAGAAAATGGGGGCAAAGAGAGGGAAACTAAATGTCATTAGGATTTTCCATGGAGCAGGCACTGTGCTGGGCTCTGCACAGTTTTCTCCTTTATCTTAATTATTACAACTACTAATGATGTTTTTAGTGGTGTCAACTTACAGAGCAATTTATTTTATTTTAGAGATGGGGGCTTGCTCTGTTGCCAGGCTGGAGTGCAGTGGCACAATCTCGGCTCACTGCAACCTCCGCCTCCTGGGTTCAAGTGATTCCCCTGCCTCAGCCTCCTGAGTAGCTGGGACTACAGGTGCGTGCCACCATGCCCGGCTAATATTTTTGTATTTTTTAGGAGAGACAGGGTTTCACCGTGTTGGCCAGGGTGGTCTTGATCTCCTGACCTCGTGATCCGCCTGCCTTGGCCTCCCAAAGTGCCAGGATTACAGGCATGAACTACTGCACCTGGCCATTTATTTTTATTTATTTATTTATATATATATATTTTTTGAGACAGGGTCTCACTCTGTTGCCCAGGCTGGAGTTCAGTGGTGTAATCATGGTTCACTGCAGCCTCAGCCCCCTGGGCTCGAGTGATCCCCCCACCTTAGCCTCCCAAGTAGCTGGAATTACAGGTGCAGGCAGCAAGCCCAGCTAATTAAAAAACATTCTAGACATAGAGATCTCACTATATTGCCCAGGCTGGTCTAGAACGCCTGGGCTCAAGCGATCCTCCTGCCTCAGCTCTCAAAGTGTTGGGATTACAGGTGGGAGCCACTGTACCCAGCCCAGAGCAATTTTAGACAGATGCTGAAAGGTTAAAAAAAAAAAAACAAAACAAAACCCTCTGTGCATCTAGCTACAAGGCCTTCTTTCAGAACCTGTCATTGGGAAGAGGTGTTGTGCTTTAAGCAGCACCTTGTGGAATCCAGCAGGGCTGGCTCTCCATCCCAGGGTCTCTGTCCCTCAGGAGTTAATTCTCAAAGTCAGCTCCATGGAGACTGGAGAGGAAGGAGGCAAGACAACTGGAGAGAAGCTTCCTGGTTTTCCCCTGGCATTTTACAAAACCCTCGGAACAATCATTCCAAGCATCCTGGGAGATCAATTTTGGGAGGATCTTGAACCCTGCTTCCAGGATTCCATGTCCTTTGGGATAAATTTCAGAACCTACTCTCCCAAAATGTCAGCCTGCAGGGCCCATTCTTCATTCTCCATCACATCAGCATCCCCCTCCCCTACTAGGGTTCCAAGCTGACAGGTGCAGATGTAGGTCTGTCTGCTTAAAACAGGCTGGAGAACGGGAGTCGATGCCTCCCGGCAGGGAGGAATAATGAGCACATTCATTAATGACTGCACCATGTTCCTGTGGATTGTCAGCGCCAATCATTTGTTGCTTTGAACAAAATGTAACTGTTGTCAATGGAAAGCCATTTGCAAATAAAGCCAGTGAGTAATGATATTTAGATATCCATTGACATGTTTCAATTTTTACCTTCTTTGTCTAGAAGGGATCAGAATTTCAACAGAAATTCCAATTCAATACACACATTTATAATCAAACCTGTGGATGTAACTTAACTATTAAATATTTCCCTCCTTCCCTCCCTCCCTCCCTCCCTCCCTCCCTTCCTTCCTTCCTTCCTTCCTTCCTTCCTTCCTTCCTTCCTTCCTTCCTTCCTCATTGCTTTCCTCTTGGGAATAAATTGCCAGGTATGCTGCTAAATCCCCTACAATGCCCAGAACAGCCCCCATCACAATGAAATATCTGTCCCAGGATGTCAGTAGTGCAGAGATGGAGACAACCTGCTTTAGCATTTATCCCAGGAATAAAACTGCTGTGTCACAGGATCTATGCACCTTTTACTAAGTCTTGCCAAATTGTTTCCCAAAGTTGTTTTACTAATTTACCCCCAACCTAGTAGTATGTGTAAGAGCGCTCACTCCCCACCTCCGCCCACCACCATTTTACAGATTAAAAACTTGAGGCTTTGGAGGGTGTGGAGTAACTTGGACAAGGGTATAGAGTGACAGGGACATTAATAAAGCGTTGAGAGTGACATAGATGTTATATCTCCCTGCGAGGACACAGCCCAGGAAGATACATTCAGTCCTTCCATATAAGAGATATTTATAAAGTCCTAATTACATACCAGGAACTATACCTTACACATGTCTTCTCAAATCTTCCCCCAACTGTACAAGATAGTATCAGAGCCCACTTAACAGCATAGGCTTTGAAACCAGCTAGAACAGATACTAGGTCCCAGAGTGGTTATTCACTAGCCCTGTGCCTCAGGAAAGTTACTTGAGCTCGCTAAGCTTCAAGTTTCCTCATCTGTGAAACAGGAACCATGGTAGACCTACGTCACTGTATCGTTGTGTTGGAGATAACACAATAGGCGATCCATAAATATTAGCTGTCATGGTCGTCATCATCACCACTCTCACTTAACAGATCGGGAATAGAGCCTCAGTGTTTAAGCTGCAAAAGGTCACAGCTAGTAAGTGGTAGAACTAGAATTTGAACTCAGGTCTGTCTGACTCCAAAGTTTGTCTCACTTTAACTGTGTCAAGTCTGTTACCCAAGAGGGGAGGACTCCTAGCCCCATCTCACCAGTTTAGACTAATCGGGGTTGGGCGGGGACAGCACATATGAATTACTAAAACTCAGAATTCATCGAACACTTTTAAATAACACATTTTCATGGTATCATGAATATTTAGTAACTCAACTAAGTAAAACAAATGTTGTCAAGATATCAGTTGCCTGGGGACCTGCTATAATAGATAGTCCAGGATGATCTGTAATTAGAATATGGACTGCATGAAAATGGTGATTCTATAGATTCTGAAAACAACCTCTTCTCTTACAAATTATAAATATCTCCTTTACCATATTATTGCTATCCATCTGTTTCACCCTTGAAGACAAACCAACTAAAACCTATTGCCTAGGCAAAGATCACAGATTTTGAATTAGTGGTGTCAGAATGAACAATGCTTGCCTTCCTACACCCTGTTTGCAATCAAATCCTCCAATTTCTCCTCTATTTTCTGCCCCCCTCCCTCCTGGGAAGACATTTGTCTTCAGAGGCTGGCAATGAGGCATTTGCCATTAGACACACTATGACATATTTTAAATATGCTCTAAGAAGCCGAGGCTAAATTACACTGGTGAGTTATTAAAAACAGCTCTCAATGCTATTATTATTTATTGCATTTGCAACTCTCAGCAGCAGCTGATTACACTGCTTAATCTTATATTTTTTTAAAATTCTCCACCCTGAAATTAATTCTCCCCACAATGAATAAGCAAGGTCAGCCACACTGAACATCCTTTGGAAGCGTTTGGATTCTGGGAAGGAGTCTGATGGACAGCCCTGGGGCAGAGCCTCAGTTTCTCCAGGGGAGGAAGTCCTTCACTTGAAATATGGACATCTCTTTTCTGAACCCCTTCGAGAGGGAGTTCTCCATATCACAGGTCTCACCATGCCAGTCCCTTCCATGCTGTCTCTGCAGCTGCCATATGTTGCTGTCATTGAAAGGCCTCTGTGATCTGGCCCCTGTCTCCCTCCCCAGCCTCATCTCTCATAGCCCCATGTCCTCATCCAGGTCTCAGTCCACGAAGTGACTTGCATTTTGTTTCCAGTGCCAGGCTCTGCCCTCTGAGCCTTTGCATATGCTGGTCCTTTCACCTGAAATTCTGCCTCCACCCTTATTTTCTTGGCCAATACCTTTTCCTTCCAGAAGCAGCTTAGGGAATATCTCCTTAGTGAAGCCTCCAGTGAGGAATAGAAGGATTTCTTCTCCACATCCATAAAACTGCACCCCTCCATCTATTGTAGCACTCGACACACTGTATTGTCACTGTGTATTTGTGTCTCTTTTTTGTTACATTGTGAACTGCTTGAGAGCAACTGTAGTTTACCATCTAAGCTTTACTGTCTAAGCTCCCAGCATAAGCCCAGCACAAAGAAAGTGCTTTGAGAATTAAGAGCTAAAAAATAGAAGTAATGTAGTAGTACAGAAAGAGCCAAAGCTCTTGAATGAGGCATTTATTCATTCACTCATTCATTTATTCAACAAATATTTATTAAGCATCTATTATGAGCCAGGCTCTGTGCTAAGCACTAGGGATACAATGATTAAAAATCAATGATTCTAATACTAGTGGCATACTGGGGGAGACAGACATAACTCAAATAATAGCATAAGTATATCATATAAGCCGTGATTGGTGCCATAAAGGAAGAATACTCAGGGCCATGACAGCATAAAGATAAGGCCCAACCCAGGCTGGAGTTTGCATAATGAGTTTCATCAGGGCTGCCCTCCTTGAGGAAGTGATGCTTCAACTAAGAGCTGAAGGAGGAAAAGGCATTAACTAGGTGGTAGGTGGGGCAAGAACATTTAAAGCAAAAGAGACAGCAAGTGTAAAGGTTCTGAGGGCTGTGGGGGCCTAAGTGCTGAAAAGGTGTCTAGGAATGAACCAAAGGTTAGTGCTAGGGCCCAGGGAACAGGCAAAGGTGGAGGTGGTGTGTGACAGATCAGGTTGGGAGGCACCCAGGGGCCATGCCATGCAGAATATTGTAGACCGTGTTAAGGATTTGTCTAGCCTGGCCACAATGGGTTTTAAGAAAAGGAACAACATTTTGCGCGTGTATGTGTGTGTGTTTTAAACCATCTGCAATGCAGAGAACAGAATGGGGGACAAGGTACACAGAGATTGTGGGGTATGAACTTCCAGACTGCCTCAGAAGACACAGTGACAAGGTGGTGTTAATGCCTAAAGGACCACAGAGAGGTGGGGAGACTTCCAGAAGTCCTCAGGGAGACACCTGGACCATGTGTCAGGTTCACAGGCCTGCTCCAGATGTCCTCTTCTTTTTTTTTTATTTTTTTTTTTGTTTTTTGAGACAGAGTCTCACTCTGTCGCCCAGGCTGGAGTGCAGTGGTGTGATCTCAGCTCACTGCAACCTCCACCTCCCAGGCTCAAGCAATTCTCCTGCCTCAGTCTCCTGAGTAGCTGGGACTGCAGGTGTGCTGCATCACCACACCTGGCTAAATTTTTGTATTTTAGTAGAGATGGGGTTTCACCATGTTGCCCAGGGTGGTCTTGAACTCCTGAGCTCAGGCGGTCCACCCGCTTCAGCCTCCCAAAGTGCTGGGATTACAGGCGTGAGCCACTGCGCCTGGCCCAGGATGTTCTCTTCCAAAGCAGGAGCTCCTGCTGGGGGAAGCTCAGCCTTACTCGGGTTAACCAAATTGGTGCAGGGTCAAGGGGCTCTGCTTTAGAGCAGAGCTCCCAGGGAAACTGAGCTCAGGCCAACTCTATAATTTATAGTTTATGCCTCTAGGGTAGTGAGGTCAGAGAACTGAACCCTTCCCTGTAAGTTCTTGCCCTGACTTCTAAGTCCTTGGAAGGGTTAGGTCAGCCCATCCTAGGCTTAATTTGCTACCTTAGGAAGAATCAGACCATGGGAGGTCATCTACCTTCATCTTTCAACTTCATCCAACAATCCATTCATCCATCTCTCTCTCCGTCCATCTGTCCATCCATCCATCTATTCATCCACCCATCCATGCATTCATCCAACAAATATTCACTAAGAAAATATTAGAGGACGGTCTGGAACCTGGCCTTTCGATCCTCAATATAGTATGTGTTCTGCGCTGGTCCACATCTGCCCAATTTGACTTACTGTTTGTCAGCTATAGGTAAGGGATGAAGTCTGGCCCAGACTCCGTCAAAAAATTTTGTTCTTTCAGTTCTCTGGTTGCTGAATTGGATCCCCAGGCAAACCCTGCATTCTTCTCTCCTGGTTTAATTGGTCCATTATTTTAAACTTTTGTAGATAAGGGAATAAAAAAGTCAGTGGAATATTGTATTCATCACATTCAAATTAATATGCTTCATTACCACAAAGACAAGGAGTATGGTTGTAATATTTTCTCAAAACTTTTAATTGAACAGAGCATGGGAGGGGGAAAAGCGAAAATGGAAACCACCAAGCTCAGATGTTGTTTTTCACTTTCTCAAAATGTGTGCTCTTTGTAATCCACTCATCTCATTAGTGTTAATTATGACCTAAAATAAAATGGCATTTAACACTGTGCTGAGACTTTAATTAAAGCCAAACCTTCATACCCAGGAACTCTCCGAAGTCCGAGATAGTTACTCTAAAATGGTATAACCTTCTGCTGATCCAGCGGTATCCACACACTCACTCCATCCCCTGCTGCTGGAAGCCTGCTACTTCCATCAACCATCCATCCATCTGTCCTTTCAACAAATTAATTTAAGGTAGTTCTGGGGAAAGAAAATGAATATTTATTAAATACCACTCTATTACTTTAAATACATTCTATGTAGCCTAATGTAGCACCAAGGACCTAGGAATATTCAAGTAAGGACAGTGAGTAGTAGTGTATACATTATCTCATTTAATCTTCAAAATAGTCTCATGAAGTAAGGACAAATTATTATATTTATTTTTCAAGAGGTAAAACTGAGGTCCAGAGAGATTTGAAAACTTGCCCTAAATCATATTGACAGCATGTCTTCCTGCTTTACACTGCTGAGCTAGAAAGAGTAATCTGAATTATCTAAATGTATTCATTCATTCATTCATTCATCGTTCATTCAATAGAGATCACCCACTATGTATCAGATCTATGCTAGGTGCTAGAGAGACCCAGTCCCTTTATTCACACCATCAGTGGGGCAGGCCTACAGTTGGTAGAGATAACAAGACTGTGATGAGAAAGAGAAGCAGGAGGGCTGTGGGGCTAGGCTGCAGGGACACCCAGCCCAGCCTGGGAATCCAGGAAGGGTTCCCCAAGAAGGTAAGACTAGTGGAACAATTTTATCCATAATTCCTACAGAAGGACCCACTCAGAGGGTGGCCTAGTGATTCTTTCAGAGATTGTGGCAACCCCAAAACCAGCTTCCCAGAAGCAAGTGTGGTGCAGGGCCCATCCAGCCAGACTGCAGGTAGCCTGCACCTGGGAACCACCTCCAGGAAGCATGCTAATAACTGACCCCAGTCATCTGGGCTGCCTGGCATCAGAATCTGTGGATAATACTGAAACATTAGTGTCTCGAAGAGATTAGGCACTAGTAAGGAGTGGCACACCCTCCTCCACCATCATGGTTTCCCAACTCTTGTCTGGTTTCTGGGTTCTGGAACCTGAGCCAAGCATGCCGTCTGTACTGGGCTCCTCCCCTGTATGCCAATCTCTTTATTTGAAGGAAAAGTAAACGCAAGAGAGCAATTACTGATCTGGTCAAGAATTCAGAGATTTCTAGGGCTGACATGGTGCTGGAACAACCAACATGCTCATCAACAGGGGAGGAGGCTGTGGCCCAGACCAGGCAAGCCACCTGTCCTGTGTCATACAGCAGAACCAGCCCAGGACTCCTGACTCTAGTCTGGTGGTAATTCCTTTGTCCTAGCAGGGACCAGTGGAGAACATTTTAGGAGAGGTCAGGATGCTGAAGAAAATGATTCTTGCCCATAGATTAGCTTCCTGTTTACCAAACTTTGCCTCCCCTCCTTATCTGCCCTCCCTGGCCAGGAGCCTGGCTGCACAGCTACTCTTTCTGCCTGTGGCTTGCCCATCAGCTCCATGCTTAACCTCTTAGAGTTCTTTCAAGCTTCATCTTCAGGGAAAAGGGATGCAGTTTCAAGGAAAAGTGCATGTTGCATTTCTGCAGCCCCACATCTATTACCTGTGATTTCCTTTAGGGATAAAACCTGTGAAAGTGGCCAGTGTGATCCTTGGATAATCCCTCAGTCACTGTGATTGGTTTGGGGATGGACGTATGAGCCCATTGGAGCCAATGAGATTCTGTAAAATGTTGAAGTTCAGTTACATGAGCCAATAAATTCCCTTTTGTTTAAGTGATTCTGGGTTGGCTTTCCTTGTACTTGCAACCGGAAGAGTCCCGAATGATGAAGTAATAAAAACAGTAACTCGAGTAATATTAATTGGCTGCTTACTCTGTGCTAGGTACTGTGTAAAGTTCTTCCATTTGTGAACTTATTTGGCATCCCCAGCAACCTTATGGGATAGTCAATATTGTTATCCTTACATTGTGCCTAGTGAGGTTTAAATAACTCAGGCTGCTGCCCAGCAGGTAAGTGATGGAGCTGGGCATTGAACCTGAGCAGCCTGGCTCTAGAGCCCATGTTCTCAACCACAATGCAATACTGCCCCTCAGTACACACTCTTCAGCTAGAGCCCCAGGAAACTTCTCTTCCATTTGCTGGTCTGGTGGAGACACAGTTCCCAACTCAGTCAAACTCTCAAGAAGGACCGGATGAATTTCATTAGGTCTCCATGGAGAAGGCAGTTTGCTTGTGCAAATTCATCCCTCCCAGGGGCCTGCCTGCCACACTATGCCTGAACTTCTATCATTAGATATGTGTTTCTTCAGATTGCTAATAGTAATTATGGTTATAATAATGACAGTTTTTACTTTTTTTTTTTTTTGAGACGGAGTTTCACTCTTGTTGCTCAGGCTGGAGTGCAATGGCACGATCTTGGCTCACTGCAACTTCTGCCTCCCAGGTTCAAGCAATTCTCCTGCCTCAGCCTCCCGGGTAGCTGGGATTACAGGTGCCTGCCACCCCGCCCAGCTTATTTTATATTTTTAATAGAGAAGGGGTTTCTCCAACATTGGTCAGGCCGGTTTCAAACTCCTGACCTCGTGATCCGCCCACCTCGGCCTCTCAAAGTGTTGGGATTATAGGCGTGAGCCACCACGCCCAGCCGACAGTTTTTACTTTTTAAAATACCTGTTTCTTACCAGGCCTTTCTCTGAGCACTTTGTATATATTATCGCATTTACTTCGTAAAGAAGAGGAAAATGAGGCCAACTATCACGTTGGAAGTCACAGAACAGTGATGTATTCACTTCCTCAGAGTCTGCTGGAGGACACACCCTGGCTCCTGGCCTCTTGGCCTGCGGTCTGCTGGAGGGAGAAGTGGGCAGGGGCCCAGCGAGCAGACCACCTGAGGATGGCCAAATGGAAGCTGCTCCAACCACAGATGCTGGGACAGGGAGGTAAACCAGGGCCCATGATATCCCTTGGTCTGGCAGAGATCAAGAATGAAAGCACAGACTTCTTAAGAGCCAGCAACTAGCAAAAAGACCAGATGAAAATACCCCAAAATGTTAACGCTGGATTTCTTTGCTGCTTGGATTATTTGGGATACTTATTTTCATTCTTATTCTTTTATATCTTTGCTATATTTTATGCAATGAGCTGACTTACCCTTATAATTATAAACAAAACCAGACAAAACAAAATGACAGCCCATTATGAAAATTATAATAGGAGCCAGTAATAAAAGGAATCAGGCGTTCTTGGAGGTTCCTTGGAGTGGCTCCAGGGCCAGGGCAGGAGATGCTCAAAGCAAGCCTAAGCATCTTTTGGTGCCAACAGTAAAGAAGTGCTCAAACACACACACACGCAAACACACACAAAACCCAAACCCCTCAATGACGGGGACATAGGAGCCAACTGCAAGAGCCCCAGTACCCAAAGGTGGAGTAATTTGAGCAAGAAAAGAAGTAAAATACTATTGGATTATAACCCAAAGTGTCAACATAAATATCCATGAGCTCATATTAATATAAACAAATCTCTTATGCAGAATAATTCCCAATAATTCATGAAGATGGCCCACGCTCAAGGAGGATCTCTAACTTCCCACTCCTTCAGTGTGAGTTGCACACAGTGACTTCCTTCCAAAGAGCCCAGTGTGTAAGAGGGGAGGGAGGAAAATGACTTCACAGCAGAGAAACCTGACAAACACAATCTTAGCCAGGTGATCGAGGTCACCATCAGCAGTGATAGGTCGTGTTGATAACATGCACTCTTCAAATGATGTGATGTGAATGGTACTTTACCTCTGTGCTCTTCCTCCCCAAACCCCAGTGCAATCATCAGAAAAACTTCAGATAAGACCCAGTTGAGGGACATTCTACAGTCATCTGCCCAATATCTCCTTAATATTGTCAAGGTTATCAAAACAGAGGGAAGCCTAAGAAACTGTCACAGCCAAGAAGAGTCTAAGGAGACATGCCTACGAAATGGAATGTGGGATCCTGAACTAGAAAAAGGACTTCAGGTAAAAACTAAGGAAGTCTGAGTTAAGTATGGACTTGAGCAAATAATAATATTGCAACATTTGTCCATTAGTGGTGACAGTGTTAACCTAAGCTGTTACCAATGGGGCTCACCAGGTGTGCAGGATATGGGAACTCTCTTACTATCTTTGAAGTTTTTCTCTAACTATAATTTAAAACTATTCTAAAATGAAGAGTTTGTTTTGAAAAGCTAGATAGGAACAGAGCATGGCAGGAGAGACAGGCGTATTACAAAGGCTTGGGATGATCTCTCAGATCAGCTGGAGAAATGGCTTAACCCCCAGTGACTCTTTGACTTTTTTTCCAGAAAAAAAAAATCCAGATTTCTGTAAATAAATCTGTCTGCTGGACTGGAAGGGGACAAAGTTATTGTATCTAACTGGCCTTCCCAAATCCCACAGGGGCCTCATGGCAGTTAGATTCATTAAGTCAGCATTTTCTAATGATTAACACTGATCAATAAGCCACTGGGTCTGTTCTTTAAATCAATTGCCCCATTAATGAGAATGAAAGCCCCATTTTATTACCCAAGCCCTGGTCCTTTTGCAGAAAAGGCTTCTGGGGGTTCGGGCTTCCATTCCCCGCGCTGTGTATTAGGTTAATTACTCTCCCACACAGGTCTTCCAAGCCTGATGCTTGTGACTTGGAACAAAATGAGCTACAGGGAAAGACTTCTAGCAAAATGGATTAGAGGCTTTCACTGAGTGAGACACTCAGTTAGTTCGGGAGTCAACTAAATTTTACCATGGACCTACTGAGTGCTCGGGCTGCTGCTGAAATACCACCTCTGTAGAGAGACCTCCCTTTACCACCTTGTCTAAAACATCAATGCCCCCATGCTCTCTGGCCCCTGCTTTAGTTTTCTTTGGAGTATTTATCACTACTAGATGTTATATTTAACTGTTTGTTTGTCTTTTTGCTTTGCTCCCCACTAAACTGAAAACCCCTTGAGGGCAGGGCGCCTTGTCTGCCTTTTTCATCCCCGAAATCTAGCCAATAGTAGATCTCAATAAATAGTTTTAAATAGAAGAATGCAGAGGGCCGGGAGTGGTGGCTCATGCCTGTAATCCTAGCACTTTGAAAGGCTGAAGCGGGTGGATTGCCTGAGCTCTGGAGTTCGAGACCAGCCTGGGCAACATGGTGAAACCCCATCTCTACTAAATACTGAGGGTACAGAAACGAATGGGACCCAGACTCTACCCTCCTAGATCTTATAGTGCAGTGGGGAGATGAGCACTTGCACAGGGAGGAATTATAATGCAGAGAGGGAAATGCTAGGGAGGAGGCTCAGTGAGAATTGAAGAGGGGAACTGAGCCTGTTTTGGAGGTTAGGAAAGCCTTCCTAGGAGAAGTGACATCTAAGATGACCTGCAGGTAGAGCAGACATGTGCCAGAAGAAAAGAAGAGAAACCGAGCTGTTCAGACATAGAGTGCAGGATGTGCAAGAGTGGATGGGGGTGCAGGAAGAGGAGCCCATTGGTTTGATGGCCAGAACACAGAGTGTAGGGGGAGTTGCAGGATGAGGCTGGAGACATAGGCAGGGCAGATCACAAGGCCTTGGGAGTGTCTGGCTAACACTGAGGATGGGATCCTGGAGGTGGTGGAGAGCTGTGGGAGAAAGTGGCATGGTCAAATTTGTCTTGGAAATATGACTTTGTTTGGAGTGTGTGGACAGGATTGGAGGAGAGTACAGACAGGGTTGAAGGAGGGTGCAGATAGGATTGAGGAGAGTATAGAAAGGATGGTGGAAGGGAGTGTACACAGGGCTGGAGGAGGGGGCAGGAGTGAACGCACAGGCCAGTTGGGAGCGGTGCAGAGATCCGTGAGACATGATGGTAAAGCTGCTGGGCCATGGTAGGTGGGAAGGAGAGGAGAGAGATTTCGGTGCAGACTCTCAGAGGGCAGGATAAACAGGATTTGATTGATTAGGGGTGTAGGGGAGGAAATGTCAAGGGTGACTCCCAGGCCTCTGGTTTGGGGACCAGGATGTGGGTGGAGCAGTTCCCTGAGTGGGGAACACTGGGGCAGGACAGATTGTAAGATGACCTAAGGGTGAATTTAGTTATATTTCTCAGGCTAGGGGCATTTGATGAGAAATCCAGAACATTTTCTTTCTGTTCTTCTAATTCTGGCAGTGCCCAAACTCCTTGTCTTCTGTAGGAGAAACCCTGGATTCGGGCTAAAATCCCCCTCAGCTGGCCTGGTGCAGCTGCTGGGGGAGAGGCACCTGGGTGGAGACGAAGCCCAGGCACCCTCCTTTCTCTTACTGAAACATGGCATGCACCAGCTTCAGCACGGTGGGAGAGTAGCCTCTGTCTATGGGACTCCGGCAAGTCCAAGTTGGAATAAGCAAGTGTGGGATGATTTAAAGGCTGGGACTTTAAAGTCAAATACCCCAGAGTTTCACTCTGGCTCAGATGTTTAGCAACTGTGTGACCATGGACAAGTCATTCCGAGACTCGGGTTTCAGTCTGCAAAATGGAGCTGACATATTCCCTTGGGAGTCGTTGAGAGGATCAGAACCAACACCTGAGGCAGGATGATCTGAAGTACCACTCAGAGCTTTTCCCCAGTGTCTTCTTCCCCATCCCCCATGCCTGGTTCAAGAAGTGGTGAGGTGGCCTCTCCTAGGTGTCCTCAGGGTGGCTTTTAGGCAAATGCCAAGAAAAAGAGAAGAGCACCTATGAGCCCAGTTTTTGAGTTTTAAGGAAGACTTTGCAACTCAGATTCTTGGCTTTCCAAAGTCCAGTCCTTGAAATGCTTAAGCAATAAGTTGGATGCCTTAACCAATAGATCTTGAAGAATATGTGAGGGTGTGTGGGATAGGTTTTTCTCCAGGGAGTGGAGGAAGATTCTCTGGGCCAGAGGGAAAGGAGGATAGACAGAGGAGGAGAAAGAGACTCAAATGCTGAGAGTGTTTCTGACCCCACTCTCTCTAGAACCAGGCGAGGGCTTGTGCCCATGATCTTGTGACAACAGAACCTAAGCTCTTAAGTAGGCTTTGAGATTCAGGACAAGTGGGCTTGGTGCCTCTTCCTGGATGTAGCCTGGGGAGGTGGCAAGGCTTCTGGCTCTCCTCCACTCCAGGCCTGTTTGGTGGCAGGAAGGCAGGAAAGGCCCCAGTCCTCAGATTGGAGAGGAGATTCTCCGAGAGATTAGCATCTCCTGGAGAAGGATGAGCGGAGACCTGGGCAGTCTTGGAAAGGCCTTGTGGTTAAACCTGGAAGAAATGGATGCTTTGGTGGACTCAGGGCTGGAGACAGAGGAAATGTGATTCCAGCACAGCCTTCAGTGACGGAGGGTCATTCCTCCCCCGGGTAGCTCCTCCCTCAACAGTGCCAGGGCACCTTATAAATTCTCTAGTGGGAAGAGAAGGGAAAGAACACCCTACCTAGACTGCAAACTCTTTGCACTGGCTGAGCTTACCCCAAATAAACTAAAACTAAAATATCCATGCCCAGCAGAATGAGGACCCAAGAAAGAAGTCAAGTTCAGTTATAGAAAAATAGAAGCTACCTTCCTGCAATACCTGGATTGGGTGCCTGAAATCTGCTACCTACAGTGTGTCTACATTCAGTAAATGCTGGCTATGGTCATTTGGTAGTGGATTGGTGTCCTCCCCTGACTGGAGTGCAGATGGCAAGGAGGAGCCTCCATTGTGTCTACAGCCAGGCCTGGAGACAAGGAGTGACTGCTGCGTTGTGCTCGAGCCTTGCAAGGAAAGCTCTATGTTGTACACATTGAGAGGGGACCCAAGAAGTAGAAATTGGTTTTGGAAAGATGTGTGAGCTCCTCCGGGACAGGTTGGCGTCTGATTCCTGTTGCAATCTGTGGCATTCAGCACAGCATCGATATCTAATATATATTTGCCGGTTCAAAAATGAGCATGTGCTGAATGAATGCATGAGTGGGTAGGTGTGAATGATATGATTTTATGTTGAATTGCAGCGATGAAAAGGGTATAATATGGGGCTGGGTGAGCAGTAGCCCATGTGTCTTTTTGGCCTCAGCTCCTTTGCTATCCTGGAGATCAGGCAAGTCCTCTGCTGGGCCAAGAATGCAGCTGCTGAAGGCCCCAGGGGAGGTGCAGAACTCGCATCTAACCTCACTGCTTGTGGTCTTAAGACTTCTCTGTTCCTGTTCACCCAAACAAACCAGGGATGGCAGCATCTTTGGGATTCCCCAACTCCTAGAATTGTGGAGTTGGCAAGGGTCTCAGATGCCATCTAATATCACCCCCTCATTTTACAGGCCATTAAAACTCAGACATACCTCAGCCAAGGTCAGACAGGAAATTGTGATGGATGTGACATTCTGAGTCATGCATGTCAATGTACACGCAGAAACACATACTCACGTGTCCCCACACACACCACAGGGGAACACACAGACCCCTGTGTGGGCCCCCCCATGTGCTTCACATCATGGATGCCCTCAAATGTGTAACTCAAGCCTCACCCAGCCTCTCCTTTGAGCTCCAGACCCATGCCATCAGCCATCTCCTCAACCTCTCCACCTGGGTGGCTGACAGGGTGATCAAACATATCAGGTCCCAAGCCAAACCCTTGATTTCTGTCTCACCAAATGCCCCTGAACAGATCTTCCAGAAAATGCCCATTCTATCACATCAGCCACCTAGGTGTCATCTGAGAGCATTCTCCTTCCTCACCCTTCCAGTCCCCAGGGAAATCCTCTGCAGGCCCCATTGGCTCCATCTCTAAGATATATCCCAAACCTCGACTTGTTAATCTCACTGGTTCTTTTGCCACGTGAGCTTTCTCTGTGATCAGCAAGCCCACGCTGGCTCCTGTCCAGGACACACAGCAGTGAAGGCACAAGAGTGGCCAAGGGCAAGTCTGCTGAGCTCTGCTGGGCGTGGAAGGAGGGATAGACTGGGCACAGCAGGAGGGTTGGGGAGCCCCGCTGGTCAGGAGCCTGGAGCTCCACCTTGGTGGGACTCTGGGGGCCATTTGACAAGAAGAAGGAGAGGACCCATCCCTCTCTTCCCATGTCGCTAGAGGCAGACACTAAGCCCAGGGTTGAAATCCACATATGGGTGAGACAGGAACATGGGACAGGCCTGGAGTTCTGGTCTCCCCTCACCCTAGCTCTTTAGCTGCCACCCAGCTAGTCAGAGAAGGACATAGGAACAAATATCATTAGCTGGGTGTCTCCTGGCAGAAACCATAAATCAAAAAAAGTGTTATGCTCCAAACCCAGACTGGCACTGCACTGTGATTTACTTTAAGTAGACAAATGAATGTTTTTTTTTTTTTTTATAAAAATCATTCTCCTTTAAATATTAAGGGGGAAAAGTTTTCCATTTTCTTTGGTATGGTTTTTATTATATCTTGAGGGCAAAGACTTCCAATTTCAAAATGGAAATCAATGAGAAACATGATTGAATTTAGGAAACATGGTTTTACAGCCAACAGTTTTGGGCTGTGCCAGAAGTTCTGAAGGCTATAACTATATCTATAATTCATACTAATATTTTGAGGATTTGAAAAGCAGCTGGGTCTTAGTTTCCTGAGAAGCTAACTTCAAGTTGGTAATGTCCTATGTTCTTTGGGAGCCAGAGATACCTTGAGATGAGCTTATTTCCTTGCATTTTTCTTCATGCTCCTCCCACCTCTGTGGGCCATGGAAACGGTTAGATGGGCTAATGTGCCTAAGGAAATAGGCCAGAATAAGCAATACATGGCAGCTCTTGTGATCATTCTACTCCTGGAAGGAGCTCCAAGGGGCCAGGAAATTTTCAGGGACTTATCAGGAGATGAACGATGGAGATCTGAGGACACAGAAGCAGTTCTATTAAAAATAATGCCAAAAACTACAATTACTTTTGCACCCGCCTAATAATAGTCAAAGATCTTATCTCAAAGTTAGGGTTCTGAGAGAAGATGAAAACACAGGACAGAAAAGCAAGGAGTCTTGTTCCGAGCCTGGTTCCAGATAAAAAGCAGAATATTCCCTGAGCTGTGCATGTTAACTCCTCACTGCCTCTGCAAATTCTTAAGATTTTGGATCTGCAAGATTCTGGGAAGTCCTCAGGAAAGACCTCTCTATACAAAGAAGGAGAAAGGGAGAAAGGAAGAAGAGACTCCTCCAAAAGGTGTTTATGATGCTTCTCTCCATGCAGTAGGAATTCAGGCAATGTGGTTTTTCTTCTTTCTAGTTTGCTTTTTTCCCCAAATTTTCCATAGTGGACATACATTGCATTTATAATAAAGGCCAAGATTCTTGAAGTCTCCCTTGTATTCCCCTCTACTCCCACCCATGCCTTTGTCATTAGTCCCTCTGAAGTATGTCCCTAATTTGGGTGTCCCTCTGTTTCTTGTGGGGATCCTGACATACACCCACCACGAATGGAAGGTAATTTTAACCACAAAGAGAGCAAAGCAAAATGATGCTGTGAAGTCCTAGTGAGAGGCAGCTGCTTTCCAAAGGCTCTTGGGACAATGCCCACCTACTTTGGATTAAAAAAAAAAGTGATCAGAGAAGACTAGCTCATATTAGGCAAGCATTAAAGGAACGCAGGCAAGAAGTACCACTTGGTCCTTGAGCAGTCAGGACTGAGAGGCTAGGAAAAGAGTCCCTCAGTACGTGTCTCAATGCTTTTGATGCTGGGCCCGGGGACAACCTAAATAAGCTCACAAACCATAGGCCCCATGACTTTGGAAACGTCGACTTAGATGGCTGCTCGTGATCTGTCAGCTGTGAGGCTGTCTCAGTTTCTAGGCTCCCAAACCCCCAACAGGAACCTGAGAATGGTTACATGTTCAGACCCATCGTGGAAAACATTGCTGTCTTGGGAATTTGGGACTGGTGCAGTCTTGCAGTGACCGTCTCAAATGCAAATCTGGTGGAGTCATTTGGCTCCATTGATTTCTTCTTCCATTCTCTTGCTCACTCACCAAGTATGTCTCATGCTTTTGCTGTGGCCTGGATGCTGTGCTAGACTCTGCAGCCTTAATGGTTCATGAGACAGACCCTTCCTCAGCTGCCCACCACCGGCAGGAAGGGCAGGTTTGTACACACTATGAGATCTGTGTGATCTGCCCCTCTCCCTCTACCTCCAAAATTCATCTGCCATCTCTAGGAAAAGCGATCTCTGTGAGCTATAGTTTGAATACTTTTCCCCTCAAAAACTCATGTTGAAACTCAATCTCCAATGTGGCAGTATTGCGAGGTAGGACCTTTAAGAGGTTAATAAATTTGTGGGTGAATGAATTAATGGATTATTTGGGGAGTGGGACTGGTGGGTTTTTAGGAGAAACCTGAGCTAGTGCACTCAGCCCCCTCACCATATGATGCCTTATGCTGCTTTGGGACTATGCAGGGAGTACCTGCCCCCAGCAAGAAGGGCTCACCAGATGTGCTCCCTCAACCTGGGACTTCCAAGCCTCCATAACCATAAGAAATAAATTCCTTTTCTTTATAAATTGCCTAGTTTCAGTGTTCTAAGCAACAGAAAAGGGACTGAGACACCATGTAGCACCCTATTCTCTTTTACTTCTTTGGTGGAGTCCCCCATGCCATTGTTTTTGGTCTGAGTATTTGCTTATACTGATCCCTCTGCCTGCAATGCCTTTCCATTAGGTTCAACTCAGGTAATACCTCCTCCCTCTAGGTCCCTGCTTAGATACCTCTTAGAGAGCCTCATGAGGACTGTATCCCAGCAGGTATCACATCTGTGTCCCTGTCTGTGTCCTGCCCTGGGTTTTGAAGGTTTTGAGGCCATAGCCTGGGTATTATATTCATTTCTCAACATGCCTGGAGTCCAGCAGCAGGTCTGGCATGGGTTGCTGTGCAGTCAAAGTTTGCTGAGTGGCTGAGTGACTGTGAGGACATCCAGTGCTGTGCAGCCTGGTGGGAAGGTCATCTGATTGCACCAGTCTGCAGGTACACACATGCACTCTTACAGCAGCAGCTTGTTTTGCACTAGCGCCAAAGTCTGTCTCACTCTTTTTAACCAAAAACTTACCCTCAACAGTTGCAGATCTTAGGGGATGGGATAGGTTATTTCCGTAGGAGCTGGGGAAGTGTGAGGGATCTAGAATGATGGGGGAAGCTGTCTATCCTTGGGAAAGGGTTAATCTCAAGGGTGGTCAGGGGCATTTGACATGGAGCCACAGAGCTGGAGGGCCCATAGAGGCCCATCAAGGCAGCCAGCACCTTCCAGATGGAAACTGAGGCCTGAGCCAAGGCGGTGGTGGGTGCCTGCCCTAAGGAATGGGTGGCAGGGCTGGGACTTGAAATCAGAGCTCTTGGCCCCCTCCTCACCCTCATTTCCCAGGTCTTGGAAATGCTGAGTGGGGGCCTCCGCTCACATTCAAAAGACTTACTGAGTTGGCTGGGCATGGTGACTCACACCTGTAATCCCAGGACTTTGGGAGATCGAGGTGCTCAGATCACCTGAGGTCAGGAGTTCAAGACCAGCGTGGCCAACATGGTGAAACCCCATCTCTACTAAAAATACAAAAATTAGCCAGGCATGGTGGCTCATGCCTGTAGTTCCAGCTACTCAGGAGGCTGAGGCAGGAGAATTGCTTGAACCCGGGAGGTGGAGGTTGCAGTGAGCTGAGATCATGCCACTGCACTCCAGCCTGGGCAACAGAGTGAGGCTCAGTCTCAAAAAAAAAAAAAAAAAGAAAGAAAGAAAAAAGAAAAGAAAAGACAGACTTACTGAGTCATGTCTGTGCACATGGTCAGCCAGAGTGAAGCTGATGTGCTGAGCATGGGGACGGGTGGGGATGGGCATGGGTGAGGGCCACAGCGGGAGCCAAGGGCCTTGCTGACCTGTGGCTCCCTCCCATGTGCGCTGTTAAAGGGACAGTGGGAAGCAGCCATGCAGTTGTTGGGATGATGCTCCACAGTCCGGCTGGAACCCTACTGGCTACTCGAGGTAGGAGGTGGAGGAAAATGTCTATGAGATGGTGACTGTGCTGGACGGTCCCCATTTGCCCCTCCATGTCCACTCTGCTCTCTGCCCCTGGAAGCTGATCTTCATGGGTGGCCTCTCCCAGGCTCCCATGACCTCTAGATTCTAACAGGATGCAGCCAATGGGAAGTTGTGGGTGCTCACAGGGTCTTTATTGTCCAGCTCTCTCCTGTTGAGTTGGGGACTGGCAGCGGCAGCTGAGGCTCACACTGGGGGGCCCTGACCTACAGCACAGGTCTGTCTCTCTGGGTTCTGTCCTTCAGGCTCAGGGATGGTAGTAGCTTCCTGCTACTAGTTCTGGGGCATTTCACACTCTCTTGTCTTTCTCTTAACCCCTCCCGCAATTCTATAAACAGCCTTCATAAAACTCCCTGCAGATGCAGGCCTGGGATTGTCACAAGGACTTAAAATTGCAATTAATTCTTGTGTGTTTCTTGCACACTTAGTGTGTGCACTGAGCTTCATTCTGGGAAAACTGAGAGGAAGCTGTTCACAGGGCTGGGCCCATATAGGCACTCCATCAACTGAAGCTTTGCCTATTATTAGAACAGGGTTCCCAGTGACTTGGAGCACTTAGAGGTCACATCCTCCCTGGCCATGCCCCTCAGAGCCGTGCTACTCTCGCTGCTTGCGGAAGGCAGGTTGGCAAGAGGTCAGAGTTCTGAGCCATGGAGTACGAGGAAGGTCAGTACCCAGCCTGTTTTGTCCTCTCTTGCTCTCCCCCACCTCAACCTCATACTAGCCCTTTGGGGCCCAAGGCCTTTCCAGGGCTGTTGGAAAGCTTTCTCCTATGCATAGATTTTTCTAATTTCTTGCCGGGTGGCCGAACCATTGGTCAATGAGCAAGATGACTGATTGATTTGAGAGAGGCTGGTTTCTTGAATAGGATTTCCCCCCACAGCGGGAACATGGTAATTAAACTTTGCTACGGTTGGGGGAACAAAATTTCCCCAAGCAGAATGTCAATTCTCAGCCCACAGTGCAAGTCAGAAGTGGAGTGGAAACAGGGTTATGGTCCCAGCACTGAAAGTCATTTCTCCTCTACTCTGACACACCAAGGAGAGGCAAGAACAGCCTGAACCACCTGAAACTGGGGAAGAAGTCAGCTTTGCAGATCTCAGTAAACTCCAAATGCCTAGCAACACATCTAGGACCTGCCTTGGTGAAGGTGGGCCTAGAAATTGCTATTGGCCAACGGTGGCGGGAACCACATCATAAACTCTTTGGTCTTGGTTTGGTGCATGCGAATTCAACCAGAGCAAAATGGGATCCGGGGAGAAACTGAGCTTTGCCAGCTAAAGAAGTTCTCCAGAGTGAATTATGCCTTCCTTGGCCTTGGCTTCCACGTGCCTCCTCTAGGCAAGCATCTCACTGGGCCGAGTGTGACCTGCATATTAGCATACATTGAAAATCTGTCATTTTTATACAACAGGGCCCCGAATATTAATGCACTCTGACTTCCTCATCTAATGCACAACTAAAGAAAGAGAAATTTCTTCCAACAAATTGGGAAAAATATTAGTTTTGTTGGATGTATTTTGAGTTGGCATATTTACATGTATTTTAAGAATGACTTAAGATATTTTGAAGGTAATTTTGAGTATACCCAATTTTTATCTTTTGTGCTGGCTCCAGAGCCACTTAAGTCATTATTTTGTAATATATTTTATCCAGCCAACTTACAGATCCTTATTTTTATAAGTGGTAATGATGCAAACTAGATTCTGGCTCATTTTTGAATTGTTCTGAATTTAAGATTGGCAAACTCCAAAGTAATGGTTTTATGATACACCTTATAAATACAGTTCAGAACCAGGTACTGTTAACAGACTTACGTTAGCTTAACATTATCTTACTGTATTCCAAAAACCATAAAGAAAATCTCTGTTCACACCATTAACCAGATGATGTGAATGCAAGTCATGTACCTAAGTATGAAACTACTGACTGCAAGCATACCCTGGAAATTAGTTAACACTGTAATTTTTGCCAACAAATGGCTAACCTAATTTACCCACAGGTGGATTTGAGCTACTTCCAGATGCTTGATATGCAGGTAAATCACAGGTAATATCTGCATGGGAAACAGTAATGAACAAATCCAACAGTAGCTGGAACGAATACTTTGCTTTAAGTAATATCTTTTACCCTCATTAAATACATTAATATTCATGAGTAAATGATTATATATATGCATTTCCTACTGTAATGACCCAGATTCAGCCGATGCCCCCCGTTTTAAAATGGATACCCAGCATTACAGTACGACACAATTTTATTGTGACTAGAATAGTACATACAATTTATGGATTTATTACCTCTTTGTGGACATGACTAGAATGTGAGCTCCTTCGGGGCTTTGGTTGCATTTTACCGCTTGGAGCATCCCCCATGGCCCTGAAGCACAGTGCCTGGCACAGAATAGGTGCTCAGCAATGCTCAATATGTGGAAAACGGGTGCCTAGGTCAATGGCATGGATCCTCCACAGCAGAAGAGCTCAGAAAAGGCAGCTCATAGCGGTTGCAGGGACCAGGGCAGCCTTCTCAGAGAAGGTGGGACAAAGTTGAACCCTGAAGAAGGGCAAGGCTTGGCACTGGTGAATGGAGTGCAGAGGATGTTTCAGAATGAGAGGAGGGAGTGACAGACTTGGGCACTGGTGCAGAGGTTGGAAAGCGAAAAGGATGGTGTGACCTTTGCAGAAGATGAATTGCCAGATGAAGGGGACCACTGTGGGCTTGTCAGACTAGCACCCTTTTTTCTAGGAAATGTCCTCCTCGATTCAAATGATTTTAGTGAAAATTTCAATATTCCTGCAATATGAGCTCCTCCTGGCCACCAGTTGCTTGGCCCAGGGTGGGAGTGGAAGGCTGGAGCTAAGGGCATCAAGTCACCCTCTCCTGGGAGGCCAGGCTTCTGTTATACACCTGGAGTTACTGGTGGCCACATTCTGCCATGGATATTGGAAAAATGATAGCATGTCTACAGGTAAAGGGAAACAAGCAGAGATGAGAGAGAGAGAGAGAAGGAGACTGAGCTTCCTGAATGCTGTGCCGCTCCAGGCCCTGGTTCCACGTGAGGCCCTCTTGCCATCCTCCATTAGTATGCCTCTGAGAAGTCCCTCTTTTTGGCTTAAGATAAGTAGAGCTGTTTTCTGTTACTTGGCACTAAATTAGAGATTTTTACATTCATTTGTAGCCTGAGGCTGGATTGGGCAGAGAGAACATCACAAATTTTGCCCAAAACCAAGTTTCAACCCCAGAGGTAGCCTCACAGATCCATATTTGATGATGATGATGATGATGATGATGAAGAGTGAGGAGAAGGAAGCAAAGGAGAAGATATGTTCGTGATACCACTTTCTGCTCTTTTCCAAGGACACTGAGCTGATCACCACTGGGCAGCAACAATGCTTGCTGAAGCCTCAGTCCAGCCAGGGGGAGAGTTTCCCCAATTCCTCATGGACACTTGGCAAGATGCAAAATCCCAAATCCAGCAACTCTGACAGATGCCATCCCTCTTGGCTCATACTGAAAGGAATGGGGTTCATAGCTGGGCTGACTTTTCTCCAATCGCTGTCTGCATGTCCAGCAGACTGGTCCCCTACTCCTTTCCTTTGGGGTGAGTGGATGCAGGCCTAGACCCTCGCTCCTTCCCCCGACCCAGCTGTGTGCTCTCTCATTCCAAACAAGAAAAATGAAGAGTGAAAATCTGGGCCTACTGACTTTCAGAATCAACCTAAATGTCAGCTCCAGGAAGGCAGGGCCTTCGTTTTTTTGTTGGTTTTGCAGGGGCAAGGTGGGGGTATGCACCCAGGGTTTGCTGAACCACTCAGAGCTTGGGTTTCCCCATCTGTAAAATGGGACAGCAGTGCCTATCTTTCTACAGGGATGTTTTAATGACAAAAACAGAGCTGATATATATAAAGGCACAAGTATATGCCTGACATACTATAGGCATGTAAGTAAATGTTAGTCCCTCTCTGTCCCTGCAGGGACCCTAGAGCCTGACATGGAACATCACTTGGGCAAGCACACATGAAAACCTGCAGCCTTCCACAATTCGGTGCTCTACTTTTTACCCTAAGTGGGCAATGCCCCCTTTCCTCTGTTTCTGGCTACCTCGAAGGAAATCCAGTGACTTCAGGTCATTTTTCTTTTCTTTTCTTTTCTTTTCTTTTTTCTTTTCTCCTTCCTTCCTTCCTTCCTTTTTTTTTTTTTTTTTTAATAGGGTCTCAATCTGTTGCCCAGGCTGGAGTGCAGTGGTTCAATCTGGGCTCACTGCAACCTCTGCCTCCTGGGCTCAAGCTATCCTCCCACCTCAGCCTCCCGAGTAGCTGAAACTATAAGCATGTGTCATCACACTTGGCTAACTTTTTGTATTTTTAGTAGAGACGGGGTTTTTCCATGTTGCCCAGGCTAGTCTTGAACTCCTGGGCTCAAGCGAATCATCCACCTTGGCCTCCCACAGTGCTGGGATTACAGGCACTAGCCACGCACTAGCCAACTTCAGGTCTTCTATTCTTGGCCATTAGAAGCTCCTTTCCCCCAACACAACTAACCTGGCAACCAGGCACTCACACTGCACTCTCCTCTTTGTCTTCCTCTCTCTGTCTCCCCCTCCCCCACAGCCAGCCAGCTCCTCATTGCTCAGCGTGACAGCCACAAACGCCTATTTATTTGCCGAGTAACTTCCTGGTGGTTTAATATCCCCTTGAATTACTGTACAATCTCTTTCAAGTTATATTTGATTATTTTTCACATTTAAAAACATGAACACAATTACCCAACAGTGGCACGTGCCCTTACAGTCAGAAATAAAATAGTATTGCAATACGATATATATCTTAGACAAGTAGTCAGTCACTGGAAATTATGTCTCCAGCATGGAGCGAGATCTGCAGTGATAGGTACCATATAAATGCATATGAGACAATAAATAGTTACAAAGGGAGAGGATGCTGAATAATTAATCCACCCGCCTCTCCAGGAATGTTCTTTATAAATCTGTCCGAGGCATTCATTTGTTTTTTTACGGAAGCAAATATTTAAAAGTAAAGAATAAGTAATGTCCAGGAAGGAGACATACAAAGAAAACAATCAGCTGGGGGGGTGGCGGTAGAAGATTATAGATGGCAAGGGCTCCAAGATGGCTGCACCATTGACTGATGGCATTTGCTAAGGAGACGCCCAGGGGACAGGACGGGGTTGTTCACTGTGGAGACAGTCTTGGTTTGAGGTCAGATATAAGCATTAAGCATTCCTGCTGGGTTAATGCCATAGACTTCTTATTAGGCCCAAGTTTGTGTGTAGCTGGAGAAGGAAAAACCCACAGGGACACATTTAGAAAGTTCTAGAACCCACCTGCCTTCCCCTGATACAGATAGGACTCTAAGAATCACAGGATAAGAAATGGATTTAATATGGTCCACTCCAAGCCTTGGCTTTGATTTGCACCCCTCCTGTGAGGGGTACCCACTGCCTCTCTTGGTGACTTGTCTAGTTTATCTCTGGGAGCCCTGACTGTTAGAAGGTTCTTCCAATGGAGTCCAGAGTTGTCGCCATGAGACCCACATTTCTCTAGCTGTCCCCTAAGAGCCAAGAATAGTCCACGCCCTCTGCCCTTCAGAGGCAGAGATCAAGCCCTACTCACCCCTTCTCCTGGCTTTGGGCCTAAATTTCCCCTTATCTGAAATTCCTTTGGGTTCAGAAGCTCCTAATTAGAATGTGGTCCTTGTACAGTCATTCATTCCTTAGTGGAAAATAGAGTTGTTATTCTCCTTGCATATTTTAGATCCACATGTTTTATCAGATGCTTTGCAAATATTTCCTCTCATATTGTGGCTTGCTTTTTCCCTTTGTTAAGAGTGTCTTTTGGAGCAGAAGTTTAAATTTTTGATGAAATCCAATTTATTAATGGAGAGCTGGTGGGTATAAAATGCTACATCTACTTTGGAAAATCCTAAATTCGCAATTTCTTAAAAAGTTAAGGTTTCATCCATCATGTGATCCAGCAATTCCACCCCTAGGTATTTGCCCAAGAGGAATGAAAGCATTTCCACGTAAAGATTTGTATGTGAATGGCATAGTAGCTTTATTTGTAATAGTCAAAAGTTGGAATTGTCTATAAATAGATGAATGAATAAGCCTACTGTGGTATATCCATACAAAGAAATACTACAATACTACTTAGCAATAAAAAGGAATGAAGTATTCAGTTACACAACGTGAATGAGTCCCAGAATAATGCAGAATAAAAGAAGCCAGACAAGAATGCATACTGCGTGGCTGATTTAGATAAAACTGTAGAAAATGCAAACTACTCTCTACTGACGGGAAGCAGATCAGTGTTACCTGAGGTGGGGGATGGCAGGGTGGGAGGGATGGAAGGTGGGATTAAAAAGGACATGAAGAAACTTTGGGGGGTGATAGTTATATTCATATCTTGATTGTGGTGATTTCATAGGTCTGGCTATATGTCCAGACTAATAAAATCAGATATGTTTAATATGTACAATTTTTTTGTATTTCAATTATATTTCAATATATCTTTTTTTATAAAAAGGAATTTGAATATTTACATTAAAGGGTATCTAATCTATAACGCTTAGCAATATTTCTTAAAATTCCCTTTTCTCTCCCCTCTGATGTTCTTCCTTCTCCCAACTGCACAGGAGCCACTCATGCTATAAAGCACAAGAGGGCTCCCCAGGGCACCCCTCCTTTGGGACTTTTCTGGCTCTCTTTCCTGGCTCTTTCTCTTACTTACCCCCAACTTCTTTTTGTTATGAAGAACAACCGAGCCTCTCTGGCTTATTTTCCAATCTTCTTTCACTCTATCTGTCCCTTTCCTGACCTTTTCATGACAAAGAAAAGACAAGACATCACCTTGCCTCCCTCCTGCCTCACTTCCTATTTCTCTGCTGCATTAAAAAGGCCTGGGTACCTGCTTGGTTACAACAGGATTGTACCAGGATGGATAGGCTGGGTGGTGAACAGGTCAGTGCTCCTACTAATCTAAAAAATGCCTTTGTGTGAGTTAGAAAATGATGCTCAGGCTGAGTAGATGAATTTGAAAAATACTTCCCACAGGGCAGATCCAGACTTGTAAGCACTGGATTTGGGGAATAGATGACATCAATATCTGAAGTAAAAGATGCCTCCTCTCTCTGGGTAGAGACAGAGCCTGCACCCAAATGCATGGCTTGGGGAGCAGAGCATGGCTGGATTTCAGCTCCCACTCACTCCTTCATCAAGAGCCTTTGTTCAGTGCAGAAACTAAACAATGGACCATGGATGCCCTGGAACAAAAGTTTTGATGGCAGGCAAAATAAAATATTCTTAAGAAGAGAGGAAAGTTGAGAAAACCACTTGATAGTAAATCTTGTTCCCATATCTATTTTTATTTTCATTTTGCATAAAATGAGTTTATTCATTCAACCACTGAGAGCTGTTTAAATTGATTCCAGTTTTTGCTGTTGAAATGATACTGCAACAAATGTTTTTGCATTTATCTCTTAAAAAATGCGTTCAACAATAATTTTTTAGGGTCAATACTTAATAGTGGCATTATTAGGTCATTTTGGGGTCATATTCAACTTTTCTAGGCATTTCCAAACTATTTACAAAGTAGGTATACCAATTTTCTTTTCCATCAGTAATGTGTAAGAGTTCCTGTTGCTCCATATTCTAATCAATTCTTTATTAAATTTCTTAATTCTTGTCAATCTACTGGTTATGAAGTTGCAGCTCACTGTGTTCTTTGTTGATTAATAAACTTTATTTTTTAGAGTAGTTTTAGGCTCACTGCAAAATTAAGTGGGAAGTAGAAGAGTTCCCATATACTCCCTACTCCCGCACATGCACAGCTTCCCCCACCATCAACATCCCACACCAGGATGATGCATTTGTAATAACTGAGGAATCTACAATGACACATCACTATCACCCAGAGTCCATAGTTTACATTAGGGTTCACTCCTGGTACATTCTCTGTGTTTTGACAAATGAATTACGACATATGTCTACCATTGTAGTAGCATACAGAACTGTTTCAATGCCCTAAAAATCCTTTGTGCTCCACCTAATCATCCCTTCCTCCCCACAACCCTGGAAACCAGCCATCTTTTTACTGTCCCCATAGTTTTGCTTTTTTCCATAATGTTACATGGTTGGAAGCATGATTGGCTTTTTTCACTTAGTAATGTGCACTTACGGTTCCTCCATGCCTTCTACTGGCTTGATAGCTCATTTCTTTTTAGTCTTGAGTAATATTCTACTGCCAGGATGCACCATCATTTATTTAACCATTCGCTCACTGAAGGACATCTTGGTGGCCTACAAGTTTTGTCAATTATGAATAAAGCTGCTGTAAACATCCACATGCAGTTTTTTGTGTGAACACAAGTTTTTGGTTCACTTGGGTGAATACCAAAGGGCATGACTGATGAATCTTATGGTAAGGGTCTGTTTAGTTTTGTAAGAAACTGCCAAACTGTCTTCCAAAGCAGCTGTACTGTTTTGCACAGTCCCACGAAGCACTGATGAGAGTTCCTGTTTCTCCACATTCTCACCTACATTTTGTGTTGTTAAGTGTTTTGGATATTGGCCATTCTATGAGTTCTGTAGTGGCATCTCATCATTGTTTTAATTAGCAATTCCCTAATGACATATGTGGAGCATTTTTTCACATGCTTACTTGCCATCTGTATATCTTCCTTGGTGAAATGTCTGTTCGGGTCTTCTGCTTATTTTTGAATCAGATTTTTAATTTTCTAATTATTGATTTTTAAGAGTTCTTTGTATGCTTTGAATAACAGTCCTTTATCAGATATATATTTTTTCAAATATTTTTTCCCAGTCTGTGGCTTATTTTCTCATTCTCTTAACATTGCCTTTTACAGGGCAGAGGTTTAAATTTTAATGAATTCCAACTTCTCAATTATTTCTTTCACAGATTGTGCCTTTGGTGTTATATCTAGAAAGTCACTGCCATACTCAGGATCTTCTAGATATGATTCCATGTTATATTCTAGGAGTTTTATAGTTTTGTGTCTTATATTTAGATCTATTACCCATTTTTAGTTAATTATTGTGAAGGGTGCAAGGTTTGTGTGTGGACTCTTTTTTTTTTTTAATGTGGATGGCCAGTTGTTCTAGCACTGTTTGTTGAAAAAACTGTCTTTGCTCCTCTGTATTGCCTCTGTTCCTTTGTCAAAGATCAGTCAACTCTATTCATGTGGGTCTATTTCTGGGCTTTCTGTTCTGTTCCATTGATCTACTTGTCTATTTTTCACCCATACCACAGTGTCTTTATTATCATGGCTTTAGAGTTAGTCTTGAATCAGGTTGTGTCAATCCTCCAACTTTTTTCTTCTTCTTCAGTATTAAATTGACTATTCTGAGTCTTTGCCTCTCTCTGTAAACTTTAAAATCACTTTGTTGATATCCATAAAATAATTTGTTAATAGTTGCTAATAACCAATAATTTTGGCTGGGATTGCATTTAATCTATAGATGAAGTTGGAAAGAACTGATAACCTGACAATACCAAGGTTTCCTATCCACAAACATGGAATACTCTTCATTTATTTGGCTCTTCTTCGATTTCTTTCATCAGAGTTTTGTAGTTTTCTTCATATAGATCTTGTACATATGTTATTTGATTTATACTTATTTAGATTATAAGTATTTCATTTTGGGATATACCTTACCAATGTAAATGGTAGTGTGTTTTAAATTTCATATTCTACTTGTTCATTGCTGGTATATAGGAAAGTGATCGACTTTTGTATATTAACCTTATCCTGCAACCTCAGTATAATAGCTTATTAGTTACATGAGGTTTTTGTTTTTGTTGTTGATTCTTTTCAATTTTCTATACAGATAATCATGTCATCTGGAAACAAAAACAGCTTTATTTTTCCCTTCCCTATGTGTATACCTTTTATTTCCTTTTGTTGTCTCATTGCATTACCTAGGACTTCCAATATGATGTTGAAAAGGAGGAGTGAGAGGGGACATCCTTGCCTTGTACCTTAGTAGGAAAGCTTCTAGTTTCTCACCATTAAGTATGATGTTAGCTGGAGGATTTTTGTAGATGTTCTTTATCAAGGTGAGAAAATTCCCCTCTATTCCTTGTTTTTTGAGAGTTTTAATCACAACTGGGGGTTAGATTTTGTCAAATGCTTTTTCCACATCTGTTTATATGATTATATGATTTTTCTTCTTTAGCCTGTTGATGTGATGGGTTACATTAACTGATTTTCAAATGTTGGACCAGCCTTGCATAACTGGGATAAATCTCACTTGGTCATGGCTTATAATTCTTTTTATACGTTGTTGGACTCAATTTGCAAATACTTTGTTGAGAATTTTTGCATCTATGTTCATGAGAGATATTAGTCTGTAGTTTTCTTTTCTGATGTCTTTGTCTGGTTTTGGTATTAGGGTAATATTGGCCTCATAGAATGAGTTAGGAAATATTTCCTTTGTTCCTATCTTCTAGAAGAGATTGTAGAGAATTGATACATTTTCTTCCTTAAATATTTGTTAGAATTCACCAATCAGCCTATCTGAGCCTGGTGCTTTCTGTTTCGAAAGGATGTTATTGATTCAATTTCTGTAATAGACATAGGGCTATTAAGATTATCTATTTCTTCTTGTGCGAATTTTGGCAGATTATTTACTTTAAAGAATTGGTTCATTTCATGTAAGTTGTCAAATTTGTGGGCATAGAGGTGTTCATAATATTCCTTTATTATTGTTTTGATGTTTGTGTGATCTGTAGTTGATTCAGAGTATTTTTTTTTAATTTCTCAAGATTTCTTTTTTGACCTATGTTATTTAGGAGTGTTGTTTAATCTCCAAGTATTTTGGGATTTTCTTGCTATCTCCTTGTTATTGATTTTTAGTTTGATTCCATTGTGCTTTGAGAGCAGACATTGTATGATTTTTATTATTTTGCTTTTGTTAAGTATGTTTAATGACTCAGAATGTGGCCTATCTTGGTGAACGTCCCATGTGGGTTTGAGAAAAATACGATATCTGCTCTTGTTGGATGAGTAGCCTACAGATGTCAATTACATCCAGTTAATTGATAGTGTCATTGAGTTCAGCTATGCCTTGACTGACTTTCTGCCTGCTGGATCTGTCCATTTCTGGTAGAGGGGTGTTAAGGCCTCCAAGTGTAACAGTTGACTGATGTATTCCTCCTTGCATTTATATCATTTTTTGTCTTCTGTATGTTGACCCTCGGTTGTTAGGTGCACACACATTAAGGATTGTTATGTTTTCTTGGAGTATTGACACCTTTGTTATTATGTAATATCCATCCTTATCCCTAACAATGTTCCTTAAGTCTGCTCTGTCTGAAATCAATGTAGCTACTCTCACTTTCTTTTGGTTCTTGTTAGCATGGTTTTTAAATGTTTAAATCCAATTTAAACCCTGTTCCCCATTTAAAGCCTGACTGAGGCGGATTTGTGACCCACCTAGACAAGCTTTAAAGAGACTAATCCTGGTAATCATAAGATTTATTTCTAACATAACTACAGAGTCTCTTTGTTAAGTAACCTCTACAGACAACCAGGGACCTAATTTTCTGAGAAGCACACACTTTGGGAAATGCTGATCTACACCTATCCTTCATTTTACCAACAAGGGTGCTTATGCTCAAATTAGCCACTGAGCCAGCACTAGAAGCCTTAGGTCACACATAAGGAAGGTGGTGGACCCTTGCGGCAAGAGAGGCCAGTATACACATCTTCCTGAAAGAGCTGAGCAGAAGAGGTTGGATGCCTGACTCAGATCTTCAGGCCAAGCTATGTTGGGGCCCAGGGATTCTCTGTCCCCACTGGAGGCCTGAGAGTTGCCCATCTCAGCTGTGGGCATCTGCTTCACCATAATCACTGTAGCAAAGAGGCTTTTGCTGAAATGCCTGTGACTTGAAGTCAAATGCCTATTCTGGGGGCCTTACAGAGCTGACTGGACTCTGGGCTTCCAGCCAGTGTCCCCTGCTGATGGCCCATTTGTTTCAAGGTCCTTCCATTTTTCTGGTAGCTGGAAACCTCAGTCATTTTGAGTTCTTCTCTCCCTCCCTTGTCCCCAGACACTGTTGAGTCACTCATCATTTTTGTCTTGAGCTTACTTGGTGACCTGCCTGGGTGCTGGGGCCATGGGGACAAATCAGCACCCAGTTGGAGTGAGATGCAGGTGCTCAGGCTGCTCCTCCGCCCAGCCCCTTCTCCCCTCAATCCAGGATCCAGTGGAGTCTGGACTTTGCCTCTGGCCTCCTCCACTCTGATATAGCTCACTCAGCAAAGCCAGGCTGATGCCTACAGATATCAACACACTCAATCTCTGCTCAAGAGTCTCCCGCACTCGGCTGCTGACTGCCTCGGGCATATGTCAGGCCACTCTATGAGGGCAGGGACCTTGTTTCTTCATGGACACCATTACATCCCCAGGACCTGACACAGAGCCTGAGGTCACGTAGGTGTGTGGTGAATATTTGCAGAAAGAATGGGATGAAGGTGGCACTTGAAGTCCCTCATCATCTGACCCTCTTGACTCTGTTGGCTTCATTTCCCAAGACCCTCTATGGGCTTCCTCTGCTGGCAGACTTACTGAGGGCAGAGGGGCACTGGTTCCTGCTTCGGGTCAGCACTATCTGGGAAAGGTTTGCACTGGTGGTTTACAGATGGAGAAGGAAACGCTGAGGGGAGTTCAGTGACCCACCCAGTGAGCACTGGTGAGTGACAGAACAGGAACGTGTATAACTCACTTGTATATGTCACCTTCTCACTTCATCCCCAGGACCACTTGAGAGGGGCTGTGAGTGCCCCATTCGTTACACAGGTGAAGGCACAGAGCCAGGGGGTGGCAGCCCTGACCCATGGTCCCCCAGCCAGCTGCAATTAGAGCCCTGATGGCTGCCTGCAGATCCCCTGCCTTCCTGATGACTTCTCGTCCCACTGTGGGGATGGAGGGCGAAGAAGACACAGAGGCCACATACTGGAGACAGGCAGGGACCCTGCCCTAGAAGCTGAGGTCTGATGAGAGGCTCACAGCAGCCGTGGATAGTTTGTCTTCTTTATTCTTAATCTGGGGAAGGCGAGTCTCACTTCCTGGGCACCTATTATGCATCTGGTCCCTGATTTCAGGAGTCCCTTAGCTTGGGGGGTGAGTGGGTAAAGTGTTGGACTAGATACTAACTCCCAGCAGCAGAGCCCTGTGAGCTCCAGCACACTGCAGAGCAGAGAGGAGGGAGGGCATCAGGATCCTTGGGGCATAATCCTGGTGTTTTGGTTTCTCATAGCGCTGTCATAAATTACTGCAAATTTGCTAGCTTAACAAAACACAAATGTATTCTCTTACAGTTCTGGAGCCAGAAATGTGGAGTCAGTTGCACTGGGCTAAAGTCAAGGTGTTGGCCAGGCTGGTTTCCTGGGGAAGCTCACAGAGAAAACCCATTTCCTGGCCTTTTTCTGGCTTCCAGCCACCTGGACGCCTTGGCTCATGGCCCCTTCCAGGTGTCACTCCAGCCTCTGACTCATCATCATGTTTCCCCCTCTTCTGTAGCAAAATCTCTGTCTTCCTCTTATGAAGACACTTCTGATGACATTTAGAACCCACCTGGATAATCTAGGATAATGTCTCCCAATCTCAGGATCCTGAATTTAATCACATCTGCAAAGGCCCTTTGTCATCTAAGGGAACACTCACAGGTTCCATTGTGAGGGCCATTATTCAGTCTACCACATCTGGACTCATCACTTCCTAACTGGGTGAATCATTTCACCTCTTAGAGCCTCAGTTTCCTCCAGTGTAAAATGGAGATAATAATCCCAATTGCAAAAGGGCTGTGGCTTTAAAGATTACATGGGACGATGTGAGCAAGTTACATTGCATTATGTGGAATATTGGTTTTAATCACAGCACTGGAATTCAACTCTCCCAGGTTTACCCTTAGCCCTCAGCCCTCCCTAGCTGGGTTTGATGCAGACACAAGCAGTTTTCACAGGAGCACAAGTTTAACAAATAGAGTGGGATGGTGCTTGAAGTGAATCTCCTTCCAGATTCCCCGCATCTGTCCTTTACTCCCGGCTATGGGGCATGGGAGCGCTGGCCTGCAGGTCTGAGGCTTTGCTTTGGCGATGGTGACGATGTTTCGAAAGCAGAACTGGGGGCTGATGGAGGCACCGTGCTGCTCCCACAGTTACTCAGTGAACTGAGACCCTCTAATGATTGTGTACTGGGAGAGGGCCCAGTCCATCGGCTTCCACAGCCACTGGGCAGCTGTGACGCTGGAGATGAGTGTGAAGCTCCTTGCTGGCACTGTGTGCACAGTCGGTGCTCACTACATGCCAACTCCCTCTCCTTTGCCTTCCAGGTCCCCCTGCTTCTGGTAGGCAGCTGCAGAAGGTGAAGATGCAGCACTGAGGAGGCAGGAGGAGGGCTGACCACCAGCTCCCGGCATGTCCCCAGCACCAAGTGGCCCAGAGAGAGCCCAGGATGCGCACGCAGGTGGATGCTCCGCGTGCTGCCCTAGCGGGTGCCTCAGGACCCTTTGACATTTCAGTACCAGAAATCAAATGTCGCTTCAGAAGCCCGGCCCTCCAAAGATGTCACAATCCAACCTCCCACACGCACAGGTAATTGGAGTCTAAACCTGGTTCCCGCTGGCTGAAACCTTGATGTGAGGTGATGGGTGGGAGAAAGGTGATGGGAAGGGCGACAGAGCCGGGGGTGGGTGACATGGCTGGGTGAGATGCCGTGAGTTTGGAAATGGCCGAGGCTGCATGCCACCGAGGACGAGGGCCTTCTGAGCATCCAGGCAGGACTAGCGAGGTCCCGGGAAGCTCCCTGCACTCCTCCATCCCATGCCAGTAGGTCTCAGCCATTCGAAGCTGCCAGGAGCAGCTCTTTGAAGCCAATGTCGTAGATCGTGGGGAGATGCCTCCCTTGGAGCAGGCAGCCCAGTGCAAGCTACATGCACAGACAATGGAGCCGGTTCCTGGCCAGATGGTACCTGGAAGCCGCCACCCCTTTGCCTCCCCCAACCAAGGCTAGGGCCCTTTCCAGACCCAGAGAAGCCTCTTTGGGGACAGAAGTCCACGCATGAAAGTCCACCCCAGCAGAGGGTTGAGAGGCAATGAATCAATTGTGTCTTACTGTGGCGGCTTTTGCTCCCAAACTGCCAAGTGTGTCATCACACAACCCTCCCGACTGCTGGAGCATGACTTACCTGCAAGAGAAAACACAGATGGGGATGACGGCCACCTTCCCCTGGGACCAGCATGGCCTCTGGGACTGGGCCCGAGCAGCCCCTCATGCTGAGGAAGAGGCAGGCTCTGAAAAGGCTTCCCCCAGCAGAGCAGAGCCAGGTAGGGCTGCTGCATGACTCTCTTCATACCTTAACCTTGAACAAGTCAATAGCCTGGGAGAAATGTGATGAGGCACAGAGGTGGGGTCTGGGAAAGAGGCTCTTCCCAAGGACCCAGAGTGATGGGGAAGCCATGCCCATAAGCCAGCGGGCAGAGGGTCCCAAAGTGCCACGAGCATGAAGGTGTGTCTAGAGGCAATCAGAGATGTTGCTTTCTGTGTTGAGAGGTGGGGACCGCCTCTGCTTGAATCTTTTCCTTGGGGAAGGGAACAGCAGCAGCCAAAACATATTCTTTCTACTTAGCAACCAGGGGATTTGTGATTCGTTGGATTTTTTAGCCCTCTGCATAACTGCAAGCCAAAAGGAATTAGCAGCTCTGGGGTGGAGTTTTGGTTCCTCTTTAAGCAACGATGCTTCCACCTGCCCATTCACTGTGCATCAGAAGGAAGCAGAGGAGTCGATTCTGTTTATCCCATGCCAAGCCTGCCTTCTGTGAGGTGTCCCCCCTTGCAAGATGTTTCCAAGATTTACAGTTCTCCAGACAAGAAGGCGTGTTGGGGACTCGGGCAAGGGCCGAGGATCTTAAATACTGACACTTCTTCCTGAATATACATGAACATGCCTGGCACACACTGAGAGATTTTAGTAAACATGGCTTGTCCACCCCTCCTTATGTTCCCTCCTGGCTAAGTGTATATCCTCAGTGTGTGTTTGGAGGGATGGACGCTGTTCTGTGCTCAAAAGCCTGAAGTACCGGTTAAACAAATTTCATTGCATTTTTTTCCTCGAAATGCTTCATTTTAACCCAGCTCTGGATATTGGCCTATGTAATTTGGGACCACCATCATCTGGGGCACACAGCCCAAACCAAAGGCTGATATTCACCTGCAATTCAAGATGGCGGCTCCAGGTGCAAACTTGTGAGATTTAATCAGGGCTTTTGCAGGCCCTGCTGATGTCTTTCTAGCACGGGGCTGGGTTGAACAGGTTTCTTCCCTGCGTGCCCTACTCACAATGTTGATATACTAATGTGCATTGTGACTCTCTACTGCCTACCACTTCCTAGCCACGGGACCACTGTCCCTGTCTCAGGAGTTGGGAACAATATTCACAGCAGCTCTGGTTCTCACATCAGCTCCTTGGGAGTCACCGTTGGACCTCCCTGTTCCCCAGCTCTGTGGCAAATCTGTCACCAAGTCCTGTTGATTCTACTTCCTAAGTCTCTCTGGAAGCCACTGCCACTCTCACAGAGCAGGCTGTTGTCACCTATGGGTCTGAAGGGTGGTGCTCCATGGTTCCACTTGGGCCATGAAGTGGCAGCCATGGGGTGATATTGGCAGAACAAGAAGGCAGAAGGAGCCCAGGTTCTTCCTGATTTCTTGAAGCTGCTGTACCAGCCCTTTAGGCACCACTTTTTGCCTTCTTTTATGTGTGAAAGAAATCAACTTCTCTGTGATGCAAAATAATGTTTTTGTCAGGGGGAGGGAGTTGATCATACACAGCTGAACCGCATCCAACTGAGTCACTACGTCAGAGCAGGCAATCTGACCTGTGAGCAGTGCTACACCTGGGAGAGCAATCATGACTTTTCAATTACAAAGTGATGGGGGCAGGGGGAGACAGGAGGAGAGGAAGGTTCCAAGGGCCACGGGGACGTGGGAGGGAAATTATCCTTGAAACCACAGGTGGTCCAGCAGTTGCTGGGTATGGATATTCACCTGTATTACAAGGAACAACCTTATGAATCTGGCCCTGTGGTCATCTCCATTCTATGAAGGAGAACAGCGCGTTTGGAGGGATGAAGTAACTCACCAAGGTCACGCAGTCCTGCAGAGCCAGGATCCCAACCCAGGAAGTCCTCAGAGCCGGCCCTCGCCACCGACTCCCTGGAGGTATGTCCATTTCACTCAAATACCCAACAGATTGAGGGTTTAAATGTAATATGCCCATTTTTTGAGACGTCCGTTCTGTTCAGAGTTTGATATCTTATTTTATAAAGTGGAGGTGATCGTGGAGCCAGTCTCAGGGCTGGGTGTTGTGGGGGCGTGGATGAGGTGAGGCGGGTGAACACGGTATTTGCGCTCAGTAATTGCTGGGCTGCCTGTAACTCTAAGCAGAGTCGAATGTCATTCTGGAGGGGAAATTAAAGATGATCTAAGCAGAAGGCATTTCGTTTATTATTATTATTATTGCTAATCATCATCAGCAGCTGTAGTGGCCAGACAGCCTTGGGTCAGTGTCATGGGGAAGCTTGTGAAGAAATAGAGCAAGGCTGCTGCAGGTGCGGCAGAGGTGTTCCGCCCCGGAGGACCCTTGCTCGCCCTCCTCTTTGTGTGTCTGCTCCTGCTGCGGAGGAATTGGGGCTCCTAGGGTGGAGACACCGGCCTCTCCCCTAGGCCTGGGCCTCTGGGTCTTCCCCAGGCTGCTGCTGCCCTCTGCTGGTCATAGCTGGAATTAATGGACATTGCCTCCCAGGGATGCAGGAAGCCCGGAGATTCGGGAGAGGAGGAGGGTTCCCCTGAGGCTTCCTCTGTCGTTGTAGTGTGGGCAATGGCCACATGACTTGTTAGGAGCTGAAGGAAGACACCACTTTATGTGGGGGACTGGCTGCCCCCAAGAGCAATGCAACACACAGGGTTGCCTTGGACGCTTGGCCCGGGTAGAGAGGAGGAGGGAGGTCTAACGAAGAGCAGGGAGGCTGAGGACAACCTCACTATCACCTGTAAGTGACACACCTATCCCCCTGAGAGGCATCAATTATTGCTGTAGTCTTCAGAGACTGCCACTCAGAATGGTAAAATAATTTCTTATTCCATTGCGGTCAAGACCTTAGACTATGGGGTCAAATTGTATGCATTTGAGACTCAGACCTTGTGTGACCTTGGGTAAGTTACTTAACTTTCAGAGCACACTCTTCTCACTGAGAACTGGGGATGCTGCAGGGCATACAGAGGTGACTGAGAGGACTCCATGAGCTACGATGCAGGCAGGAGGCCAGCACGTGCCTGGCAGGGGGCAAAGCTGAAGACCACCGAGCAAAGGCAACTGCTGCCCAAGACACACCTGGCAAGCGGTGGCAGGGACTGGAACCTGGCCTGGCTGCCTCCTCCTACTAAGGGTGGATCTCCTTGAGCAGGCTGTTGAGGCTTGGGCTAAGGTCAGAGGTGGGGTTGTCCTTCTCTGAAATGCAGACTATCAATCTGGCAATGCCAGGCCCTCTTGCTGGCATCTCAAACCTTGCTTAAAATCCAGGCCTTGGAGATCTTGGAACATCCCCACCCCCCACCCCCCAGACACACCCCTTTTTGGGCACCTCTCACTTCTCTGCTTTAAGCTGAACTGGGAGGGTGGAGAATGACAAATCTTTCCCCTGGAGTCCCCACACCACTTTATCTGACATTCATTTATTCAGCAAATATCGACTGCATGCCTCTTCTGGGCCCAGCACCATTCTAAGGGTGGAGAAGAAGCAGATAGTCTGCTTCTTCTAGTCGGCCTGCCCCAGCATCGCTCACATGTATTTCAGTAGGGGAGAGAAGGAAATACATAAACCAAGGCCCCACAGAGTCTGTTATGTAGCGCGAACAGGAGGAGCAGGAGGGCAGGGAAGGAGAGGAGAGTTGTTATCTGGAAGAGGCGGCCAGGAAAGCCTCACTAAAGGAAAATGAGCCTCGTGGGTGTCTGCAGGAAGAGTGCTCCAGGCAGTGGGAACAGCCTGAGCAAAGGCCTTGAGGCAGGTGTGTGTGTGCCACGTTTATGGGATGGAGCCGTCAGATCTGAGGGAATAGAGCAGAGGGACAGAGGGAGGAGCTGAGGTGTGGGTGGGAGTGTTTGGAGTGTGCTAGCTGCTGCCCTTTGCTCTGAGTTGAGACAGAAGGCATTGGAGGGGTTCTGTGCAGAGGCGTGTACAGCACCCCTTTGTCTGCTGGTTGAAGAATGGACTCAAAGAGTGGGGGCCAGGGCAGAAGCAGGGAAGCTGGTGAGGAGGGGTGCGGTGGTCATTTGGATGGAGTGGCCACTTCCCAGTGAGAAAGCCTGGCCAGACACTCGGGGTCTGAGGAGAAGGGGGAGCAGGGGTGGGTAGAGGGTGTCAAGGGCCGTGGTTCTGGGCCTGTGGGACTCTAAGGGGCTGGGAAGTGCTTGGAAAGGACAATCCACCATCCCCCTTGGTTCACATATGCAGGGTACGCCTGGAATCGATGCTGTTGTCATAAAGATGACATTTCTGATGGAAGGCTGCTGATTGGCTGTCTATTTTGAATGCACGCATGCTTTCATTCAGTGGACTCTGACCACCGTCCTGTTGGTGATGGGGATGGGTTGGGGGTGGGGCCAACCCACTGTGGACTTGGAGGTGGATTTTGGATTCAGACAGCCTGGTTTGCAGGCCTGGCTCCACCACTTAGAAGCCATGACCTTGAGGAGGTTGTTTCACACCCCTAAGCCTCTGCTTATCCATCTGCAAATTGGGAATTACAGGACCTGCCTTTATTGGGTGGTCAGTAATGTGGGTAGAGCACTTCGTATGTAGGAGATATTTACAGGAGGTGCTCAGTAAATGCTTGCTCTCACCTCATTTTCTGACCCCCACCTTGAGCCCCCTAAAAGCTGGTTTCTATGCTTGTTTTACACTGGCTTGCTGTGCGATCTTGGGGGAACTATTTGTCTCTTGGGTCCATCCCTCTCCTGAGAAACAGGGATAAGTCCAGGATGGAAAATACCTGCTCAGAGGGCTCGGATCAGGAAGCGTGGCCGTGTCATATTGATTGAGCCATTGATGAGGTCTCTGCATGCAGTAGGTGCTCAATCAATATTCTCCTTGAGGATAGATCACTGCTGCTGGCATGAGAAGGCAGGCCTGGGATAGTGCCTCCTGGTTCCAGCCTCGGGCCCCTCCTCGGCCACCCCCCTGTGATAGAGCACTGACCTTCAGAGCTGTTGGCCCGCCACCCTCTGCCTTCTGCCTCCTGCCTCCACTGTCCCTGTGTGCCTTTCTGCCCCCCTCAGGGCTCAGCTCTGCTCTGCTCTTCTCTTTCGACTCTCATTCCCCTGGTGAACCCATCTAGCGTCACAGCTTTAAACGCTGTCTCTACGCCAATGACGCCACAATTCCTGTCTCTGGCTAGGCTTTCCCCCCAACTCCAGACTCCTATTTCCAGCTGACTTCCTGACATTTCCGCTTCACTGTCTAATACAACAAACTCTCAGAATTAATAAAATGAGACTCCAGATATTTCCTCCCAACTGGTCTGTCTTCCCCAGGTGGGTGTTGAGGGAGTCTCCAAAATGTCACATCGGAGTCACATCTGGGAGAACTTGCCTGTCTCATGCCCATACCCAGCCCACTGGCAAGTCCTGTTGGCTTGACCTTCAAAATATACCCAGGGCCTGGCCACTGCCTGCCACTGCCACCTGCACCTCCCGGCCTGTGTCTGGGCACTGGCAGCCCCTGCCTGGCCTCCTGCCTGTTTTCTCTGCCTGCCATGGTCTAGCCCATCAGCGTGGCCCAGCATCCCTTTTATACATCCAAGGCAGAAGACTGTCCCCTTCCACTCCATACCCTCCAATAGCTCCTAATTTCCTTTCAGAATAAAAACAGAGCCTTGCAAAGATACTTATCTTGGCTGGAGACAAAACCTGAAACAAGACAGAAACTGGACCTGCCCCCTTGTCCCTTACAGTGCAGGGAGGCTGATAGAGACAGCAGTGATAAACCTTTAGCAATAAATGAAAGTTTAACTAAGCTATACTAACTCTAGGGTTAGTATACAGCTACATGCACAGGGCTTCAGGTTGTGATGTAAACAGGAAATAAACAGCAACATGCACAGGGCTTCAGGTTGTGATGGTTCTGTGATGACTGCTGACTTGGGTGGAGAGCTACCTTGGACAGGGGAGTGAGGGAAGGCATCTCTGAGGGGGTAACATGTAAGATAACAAAGAGATTCAGAACTGAAAGAGACTCTTAGAACATCTACTTTAAAAGGTCTTCTTGGCCGGGCGTGATGGCTCACTCCTGTAATCTCAACACTTTGGGAGGCCGAGGCAGGCAGATCACTTGAGGTCAGGTGTTTGAGACAAGCCTGGCCAACAAGATGAAACCCCGTCTCTACTAAAAATACAAAAATTAGCTGGGTGTGGTGGTGGGTGCCTGTAATTTCAGCTAGTCAGGAGGTTGAGGCACAAGAATTGCCTTAGCCCGGAAGGCGGAGATTGCGGTGAGTGGAGATCGCACCACTGCCCTCCAGCCTGGGTGACAAAGCGAGTCTCTGTCTCAAAAATAAATAAATAAATAATAAATAAAAGATTTTCTTATTACATTTATATATGGAAGCAAGAGAAGCCCAGAGAGGTGAAGTGACCTGGCTGAGGCCACACAGCATATTACTTACAGAGCTGGAATTCCAGGCAGTCCTCTTGACAATCTAGTTTGTGATTTAAGGGTTGCCAGCCTGGAGCTGCAATTCCTAACAGCAATGCCTGGGAATGCTATGAGCTATTAATCTCCTCTTACATATAAACAAATTGCAAAATGTATCATATTAATGATGACCTTTCTCTTTTTGGCTTTCAGGACACATCTGCCTGGCCTTCCTCTTGCTTCAGTGGTTTCCCATCCCAGTCTTTGCTGGTCCTTCCTAATCTGCCAACCTCTTACCATTGAAGAGCCTGGGGCTCGGGACTCAATGCTCTTTTCTTCCCTCTTTACACACACACACTCCCTGGGAGAGCTCATGTCGTTTTGTGGATTTCCGTGCCAATGACTCCAAAATTCTATCTCTTGCCAGGATCTCTCTTTTGAATGCCAGCCTCAAACATCCAGTTGCCTACTTTGGTGCTACTCGAAGTGTGGTTCTCAGTCTGGCAGCATTGGCATCACTTGGGAAGCTGTTGGAAATGTAGAACCTTGGGCCCCATGTTGGGCCTATTGAATCATTTTGGGCCTATTGCAACTCAGGGGTGCAGGGGTGGGCGTGGCACCCATCCATCCGGTTTAACAAGCTCTCCAGGGGACTGAATGGATGCTGGAGTTTAGGAAGCATTTTATTCCTTGCCCTCTCCACTTAGATATCTCCCAGCCATCTCAAACTTAACAAGTCCGAACATAAGTTCCCGATATTTCCTCACTCTACCAGCCTTCTCCATCTAAGTTAGTGGTGACTCCATCTGGTTATCTGCTCAGACCAATAACCCTGCTCAGACCAATAACCCTGCAGTCATTCCGGAGTCTCTGTCTCACCTCAACTTTGGTCTGTCAACAAATCCCGCTGGCTCCATTTTCACAACACCCGCAGAACCACATCCCTCTCACCACTGGCACTGCCACTAACCTGGCCAGAGCCGCAGCATCTCCCACTAGATTCTTGTAGAAGCCTCTTGGGCGCTTTTCACACTCTGCCCTTGGCCCTGACAGTCTACCCCAGCACAGCAGCCAGAGGGATTAAAATGTCATCAGCTCTTGTTTCTGCCCCAAGCTCTCCAATGGCTCTCCTTCTCGTGCAGCATAAAAGCCACAACCCTTATCCAGACGCACAGCCACACCCCGCCCCGCCCCATCCCCCCTCCGCCCCGCCCCCCGCCCCCCCCTCCGTCCCCCCCTCCGCCCCCCCGCCCCCTCGCCCCCTCCTCCGCCCCGCCCCCTCCTTCCGCCCACCGCCATCTCTCTGACCTCTCCTCTCCTCTTAGTTCTCTGTCCCTGGCCTTTTAGCTCATTCTGAAACATTCCTGGAACACATCCAGGCACATTCCTCTGCACTGGCTGATTCTTCATTTTCCATCCTGGAAAGCCTCTGCGTTTCTTTTGCCTCCTGCTTGGGTCTGCCATAGGCCTCTGCACTGGCTGATTCTTCTTCCTGAAAAGCTCTCCTCCCAGACATCTGCATATCCAGTCCCCAACTTCAGGTCTTACTCCAAGCCACTTCTCAGTGAGGCCCCCTGACTACCTCAGTCACTTAATTTTTAAAATTTGCTCCTATGACTAGCTGCCCTGCTCATTTTCCTCATCTTCTGTGTTGTCCATGTGTTTGGTAGAATGTCCGCTCTCGCTCTCGCGGTCCCCTCCTCCCCTGACCAGCGTCCTCCTCCCACTTCGGAGGGTCCCGCTCCGCCTGTCTTACCTCTTCTGGACGCCAGGTGGCGCCCCACACCGCCCAAGCCCCTGGCCGCCTCCATCCTTGCTGGAGAGACCCCGAGAATGCCTGGGGAAGGCGTGACCCTCGCAACCCCCTTCCCTCTGCTCTCCCCCTGCTCAAAGGAGGATGTCCTTTCTGACCACCAAAGCGGATGTTTCCTCTGAGACCCAGGAATTCACAATTATTCCTCGGGGAGAAGGGAGGGAAATGGCCTCTTCCAGGTTCAACCCGTGCTCAAGCCCCAACCCACCCCCACGCGAGGGAACGCTGTGCAGGACCTGCTGCCTGCTGGGTGCGTGCTGGGTGCTTTTACATGGTTGTCCCATGGAACCCTCAGCACAGCATTAGCGTTCCCACTTACAGATGAAGAAACTCAGGTTCAGAGAGGCCAGGTTGCTTGCCTGAGGTCACACAGCTGGTTAAGTGCAGAACTGGGATTCTAGCCTGACTCAGAGCCAGGGCTCTTCCACTTATTAAATGTCCCCCCAGAGAAGGCACAGCAGGAGGCTGGCCCATCTTTGGGCATCACATTTTAGGAATCGAGGAAGGGAGCTGACACTGGTTTGTGCTGGTCTCTTTCATTTACCGCCCACATCCCTGGCGGTAAGAATGTGCAAACGGCCCAGAGAGGTTGTGGTGCTTGCCCAGGGCCACGCAGCAGAGCCGCGCTGCTCCTCCTCATCTCCCGCCTCTGTTGGTTCGCCCTGGCCTAGGGAGGCAGAGTGCTCTGCAGCCCCTGCCAAAGGAGGCTGCTTCTCTGCAAAGGATTCTTCAAAAGCCTTGCAAGGAAGCGCCAGGGGGCAGTGGTGAAGGCTGGAGGAGAATCTTCTGGGGGAAAAAGATACAAGATTTGAGGCGAGAATCCTAATTACAGGAAGACTAATAGCCTGTCAATCCACGTGGCGTTGGTGGGACAGGGCTTGATTCCAGGGGCATCTGGGGTTTTCTGAGGGTCTCTCTTGCTCGCTCGCCTGGGTATTCATTTTCCCTCGCCTCTTGGAGGCAGAAGCAAAGGCTCCGAGAGCCTTGATTCAGATGCGTGTTTTTCTGCTCCCCAACTCCAGCTGAGCCTGGCCTGGGGACTGGGCAGGAGGACAGAGGACAGGCACGAAGGTCCTCTGTGGCCGGCGAGGACTCAGAGCTGAGCGGCCTCAAGCGTGGGCCCCTTTAGCTCCCCCTGTCTGTGGCAAATCGTCCTGGACACCAAAGACAGCCGGGAAGGGGAGGTCCACCCCTGACCAGTTGGGAATGTCCCTGTGAAGGGGCGGGATTTGGACCTATGGCTTGCTGTCATGAAGGCAGCTGCCAGTATGTGCCAGTGCACATACCATCTGGGGCTGTTGTCGGCGCTACTCTTTCCCCTGGTCAGGACTGGCCCAGGTCTCTAGTGGGGGCAGCACGTGGCCTTGGGGAGCCCAGAGGCCCCTGGGAGAGAAGCCCTAGGGGACCTGGGAGTCTCAGCTCCAGTGGATGGCATCTGGAGGGGAGGAGATTTGAGGGGTTGTGCCCCCATCACAAAGAGACTTTCCTGGCATCCATTCATGATGAGCAATGACAAATACATAAGCCAGCAGTCTGGGGCCTGGTGGCTCTGTGCTGTGGAAGACAGCTTCCCTTCTGTGCAGGAGACAATTCTGTGTGTTTCTAAAATTCCATTCGGGAAAGCCCCTGCGTTTCTTTTGCCTCCTGCTCTCCTGCTTGGGTCTGGAGCTGCTTTCAAAAAGCGTTTGAAATGGAGAATGGCAGAGTCCAGTCACCAGTGCTCAGAATTGCTCTTGGTTCCTGAAGCCCCTTCCTGGGGCAGTGGTACCATGTGTGTGGACAGCAGCTGCACCCTCAGCCTTTCCTGAGCACCTACTATGTGCCAGGCATGGTGCTTGGGCTCTCACACACATTCTTTGGTTTTCTGCCCACAGCTGTCCTGGGAGGTAGGAATTCTAACACCCATTTCACAGATGACATAACTACCTATCTAGGGGGCTGGGCAGTTAGGACAACAGCCCCTACACACTGGAAGTTCTCTCTCTTGTACCAGGCAATTTCGCAGCCATTGTTTTGTGAAGCTGAGTGATTGTCCCCATTCATAGAGGAGGGAACAGAAGCTCAGAGAAGGAAGTCATCTGGTTGGAGTCACCTGACCAAGTTCACACACTGAGTCATTGACAATCTGTACTCAAGCCTCGTACCCTTATTCCTAACCTAGTGTTCCCTCCACTGTCCCGTGCTGACAGCTGTTATCAGTTGCTTATGCCCTGGTGTGACTGGGGAAGGAGGTAGCTTTGGAGATGCTCTTATCTGCACGCTGCACTCATCAGAAAGTCTCCCTCTGAGCCTCAGTTTCTGGACCTGGAAGATAGGGGTGATGCTGTACTCTGGAATTAGACCTTCAAGACACAGTCATGCAATCTGTTTCTTTCCTCCCATTCCTCCCCACCAGGCATTTCCCTGTGGATGGAGAGGCTGTGATTGCTCCCTTGGGGTACAATTGTTTACCAGTAGATTCCCTGACCCCTGGTCTTGATGTTCTCACCTGTGCTGTGCCCATTCACATCCTCTGCCTAGAGTACCCTTTCTCTTTCCCAGGATCCTCTCTCTCCTTTGTTTTGAAACATACAGTGGCTCCAAGTTAGGCAGTAAGGCCCTTTCATCTGCCCTCCCCCAAGTCCTGATGGACGCCTCTGGGCTCCAGCGACATAACGACACACTCGACCCCCTACTCATCTGTACGTCCCAGCCCAAATGCTGCCTTTTTGGAGAGTCTTCCCTGGTTCCCTGGCCCACCCTGGGCAGAAGTCATTGAGTTCATTGCTCTTGTTCACTGGCACACAGTAGGAACAATGAATGCATGTTGCTGGAGTCGGAGCACTCAGTACATTAAGTCATCGGTGCTGCCCACTTGGCTGCCTAATGCATCCATCCATCCATCCGTCCATTTATTCACTAAGTAAATATTGATTGAGTTTTATAACATATCAGGTCCTGTATCTAACCTTTTTGTCTGACATGGTGGGGAAAGACTGTGCCTAGATCTTCTCTGTATCCCTCGAGTTGGCATCTGGCCCCTCAAAATTGTCAGGGACCTTTTACCTAATAGTCACCAGGGACTCAGTCCTGCTCTTTGCTGGAGGAGCCCAGCTACCCCGGCCCCCACCCCCTCACCCCAGGCCCAGCCTGGTGCAGGGAGACGGGATGGGCAATGTTGCCAACTGTTCAGCACTTGCCTGCCTTGCCCGCCTCAGCCCCAGCCCCATCAAGAGGAACAGGTCCAAGTCCCTGCCTTAGGATGGGCTGGATGGAGTAGGGTTAATTTCCTTCTGCACAATTCACATTGTTTCTAGAGAATCTTGTGTGGTGGTTGCCCTTTTTCAGGTTCAGGGTTAATTCATTTCACTCATATGTCTGGGCATGCATTTGGTGCCCTTACTAGATGCTGCGTGCTGGGGATGTGGTGGGGATGGGTGCTGGTGCCGGGGTTGTGGAGGTGAAGGTGGCCCAGAGAGGAGGGCGTCAGGGCCAGGCCTGAATGCTGATGCCACCCTGCAGGGGGAGGGGGCAGACTTTCTAGGGAGGGACCAGCAAAGGCCCAAGATGGGACCCAGCTCAATCTAACTGAGCACCTGGAGAAAGGACAGTGTGCTGGGGTGGGGTGGGGGACCCAGGCATCCCAGCTAGCACCTCTGGCCTGCCTGAGACCCCTCCTCTCTGCTTCTGCAGGCCTTGGCCCCAGGGCTGGTTGGTTGCTGACCAACTCCATCAGGGCTTGGCTGTCCGGGACCCCTCTAAGGGTGGAGCAGGTCCTGGGGGAGGAGTCCCTTGGCCTGCTGAGTTGCTGTCTTAGCCTATCCGATCATTTACTCTTTCCTTCTAACCTTGACGTAGGACCTTGGCCAGGAGGTCCCTGCATGAACAATGCCCCTGCCCATGGCTCACCTTGTCGGAATCCTCAGGCCCTACCTGCACCCCGTCCCTTACAGCCCCCTACATCTCTGTCTGATGAGGACTGAGAGTCTGTCTCCCAGAGTGGTGAGCTTAGGCAGCTGGGCTAGCATGAGATCGATGCGTATGTCAGGGGCGAAGGAGGGAACAGATGTTTTCTGAACAGCAAATCCATAGATGTGCGAGGTGGGAGTGGAGGGCGGGAGGACAGAATGATTTTGCATTTCAGGGTCAGCCTGTGGCATGATAGATGGAGAGGCTCAGTGGGGCTGACGAGGCACAGGGTGGGCTTGTGGCCAGCGCTGACCTCAGTGCTGCAGACTGCAGGCCTGGATGGAGGAAAGGAGATTTTCTGTCTGACCCTCATGCACGGCCAGAGCTCCCCTCAGGGGGCTGGGGGCCAAAGCTGCAACACTTGCTCAGAAACTCCAAACATGAACCCTGCAAATTAACCTTGAGCTGCCCTCGAGTGCAGCAGCTCCCCTGCCAGAAGCGCGTGCACTGCAGCGTTGTGTGTCAATATTCATGTATTGACGGGTGTCTTCGCAGGACAACCAGGCCTGCAGTGAGATCATTCAATCATGCCTTCAGAGCCCAGACCCCAGGCATAGTGAGTACCCCATGCTGCGGTTTATGACAGGTACCAAGGCCGCCTTCTGGATCACATATTTTATTACATTTTTTCCCCAAACCAGTGTTCCTAGCAGATTCCTCACTGGGGCTTGTAGGGCACAATATGATTATGGCCAGAAACGCACACACACACACACGCCCTTTGGAGTTAGAGAGATGAAGTTGAAATTCTGACTTTAACACTTATTGTTATGTGATTCTGAGAATTTCCACCACTCCGAGCCTCAGTGTCCCCAGTTGTCATAATGGCCAAGATTCACTGTGAGTGTGGGCTGTTGTGAGGATGAGATGCCATGATTTCTATAAAGCAAGTCAGGCTGGGGGTAGCCATGGGAGGTGGTTCGCCTGACCTTTGGTGATGGAGGTGGCTGTGTGTGCCTGGGAGAAGGGCGGGGAAAAGCTGGCTACCGGCTGTGGTTAATAGACTGCTTGAGAAGTTGCTAGGCCCAATAGTCTCAGCGCCCAGGCCACACGCTACCCTGAAGACCTCTTTGGCTGCATTCTTATCTTCCAATGCTGTCTCTGTCACTTCGTCTCTGAATTCCCAGAGGCGGGAATTCCCCACTCACTTCTCTGCAAAGCAGGAGCAGAAGGAAGAGGGGTCCAGGCTCCCAGTCCTGACACCTATGAGATTAGCTCAGGCCTGGCGCTGGGGGATGAAGGCATTTTGGTTAAAAGTTTTGACATTTACTAGAGAGAGAGGTCACCCGATATTCTCATGCTGCTGATACGTTTCTTTGGGGTCCCTGGAGCTTTGGGATCAAGGGGAGCCCCAAGCCCCTCTCCTCTTCAGCCCTGTCCCTCGAAGCAGGAGCAGTTCCCCAGTCTGGGCCCTGGTGGGCTGAGAGGGTGGGGGTAGATGGGGACTCCCACCTTGGCTCCTACAAGCCTCAGCCTTTTTATTTGTCACCCAGGGAGGGCTAAATGCCACAGGTTGGCTCAAAACAGATCTTGCAAGGGCTGTCTTCAAGCCAAACAGCCATTGTGACCTTTGCCAGATGCCTGGGGGTCACCCATGAGCCATCTCAGGCACTCCGCATCTGTGGGGTCAGCCAGGGTCCTGAGCAGTGGCCGGTGGCCCTGGAGCCTTGTTGTTTTCTTGGGACTGGCCCTGTCCTTAGCTCCATGCCAGCACAGCTGGGCACTGTGGGAAGCATCAGCTCTGGGAACCAGGGCAGCCTGGGACATTCTTGCCCCGGCATTGGCAGGTGTGGGGTCAGGCAAACCAGGGTGCTGGTCCTGGTGAGGGAAGCCCTTGGGGCTTGCTGCAGGCAGAGGACATCTCATTGAAAGAGCCCAAGATGCAGAGGGAACTCTCTCAGTTACCAGGTACATTATTTATTTATTTTTCCTCATGTTGTTTGGGGCCAAGAACAGCTTTGCCCCAGGTTCTATTTTTTGAGAGCCACTGAGTGAATGGTGAGGGGCTGCGGAGAATGGCCAGAGACCCAGCTCCTGTTCCCAAAAGCAGAGTGCTCCCTGCAAAGTCCAAGACAAGAAGAGAAAAAACGTGGGGGAGGGATGCATCGTCAGAGCCACGGCCCCCACTGGCCCCCAGGAAAGACACGGATGCTGGCCCCACTGAACACCGGCCAGGGCTACCGCTGCAGGCACAGTCCCATCTCCCTGTCCCTGTCTGTCTGTGTCACCAGCTGTCACACTTGCCAGGCCTCAGGTGCCTGCTCTCAGCTCAGCCGCAAGAGAGCCTGGGAAGTGAGCATCTGGCCTTCTGGGCTTCTTGAGAAGGCCTGCTGCCCACCCAGGCTCATAAGCTGAGGGGATTTCTCAGACCTAGTAGGGGTTTTTAAATGCTGAAGTAGCCCATCCCAATCCCCTCCAGAAGACAAATGTCACAACACGCAACTTGTGCGGCAGCCTCACTGCAGCATTCACCCAGCCTCGGCTGTGGCCCGGACAGCTCCAGCTTCTACTCCTTCTGGGGCAGCACTCGGGCAATGAGACCTGGGGGCCAGGTCCTGGGGCCCCGGAGTCAGCAGCCTCTTCTCCACACCTGGTCACCCTTGGAGTAATGTCTCTGCCCCTGGTCCAGCATAATTATTAGCTGGGATTATGCAACTCCTTGTCAACTTCAAAGAGTCAGCCCAGACCATCCCTCCTAGTAGCACATACTCCTTCCTAGTCGGTGTCCAGGCGTACTGGCTGGAGCAGTGACACCTGCTCACGGTGCCATGGGAGGGGGGCAGACTGCCTTCCCCACCCCCATTAGAAAGCTAGCACACTCTCGTTAGAAAAGCCAAGATACTGGAGTCTGCAAGTCCTGGATTGAATCCAGCCTTAGCACCTAACAGCTGGGGAGCCTTGGACAAGTGACTGAATATTCCTGAGCTTCAGTTTCCATTTGCTGGGTGCAGATGCTCCTACCTGCATGACAACGTTAGTGCAAGGGTTAAAGCCAGTAATGATTAGAGCATGCGTGGCACAGGCCTGGCATGCATACAGTTGTTCTACATAGCAGCTACAGGCATGATCATATCCCTCCTCTGCTTCAAACCTTCCAGCACCTTCCAAACTCCTTCCCATCACCTGCAAGGCCCTGCAGGGTCTGGTTCCAGCCTCCTCTCCAACCTTATCCCACGCCACTCACCTCATCGCTCAGTATACTTTGGGCCTCTTTAGTTTTGCTAAGCCCAGTGAGGTTGTTCCCACTTGGGGTTCTGCCTTGCCTGCAATGCCCATCCCCCAGGTCACTGCTCAGTGGCTCTGTCTTGTCGCAGTCTCACCTCACTCGCTGGGTCCAAAGCAGCATCATCTGCCCAGTCCCCATCCCACTTAATCTCTAAGCATCATGTTTTACCGCGTTTCTAACACTTTGCACTCCTGAAATCATCCTAACAGCAGGTGGAACCAGACACCCTGCTGCCTCTGGGTTTTGACTAAAGCTTGCAACCTGGGGATAATGAATGGGAAGTAGCTGGGCAGCCCTGTATTCTGAATAGAGCTGTTGGGTGCTTGTAAGACTAGCCGAGGGAAAGTGGGATTGATTTTGTGACCACCGCCCCATCCCAGATATGTCAGTGAAAGCTAGAAATTTCCAAGGAAATTGGTGGGAGTGCATTCAGAGGAGTAGATAGCACTGTGAATTTTTCTCCTTCCCTTCCATAGAGGGGCGCCCCCGCAGGTCACAGCCCAGCGATGGGGAGCCGGAGATGAGGGTGCCCATGAGAAGGGGATGCTGGTAGCTTACGCCGCAGCCAGGGGTCCTGAGCTGCAGACGTGTAGTGCAGCCACAGGCCCGATGCTTGGTGACAGAGCTCTTGTATTCTTGGGGCTTGGGGTTGTCTGGGAACACAGAGACTGGAAAATCCAGGAGGCAGCCTCAGGTACCAACTAGAGAGAAGGTAGCTGCACACGTGTGCACACGTGTGCCCTGTGGGAGCACAAGGGTTTGTGACTTTCCTGCGGCCACGTGGGCTCTGAAGAAGGTGAGCAGGTTTAAGGGGCTTGGGTGAGATGCCCTCCCCTCAGTACCCAGAGGGCTGCTGCTGGGACCAGAGGACCAGAGTAGAAAGAGGCTCTGAATGGGGTGGCTGGGGACATGGGATGTTCATCAAAACTCAGCTCACGAGGGCATCCATCTGCAATAGACTGGAAGAGAGCCCTCTCTGCTATAGTGCCCCAGGGAAGAGCCTGCATCTGGATGACCATGTGCCATGCTGGAGAACATTCCAGTCAGCCCATGTTGGCCAACAGAAAGTCACCAACAGGCCCAGCTAAGACAGAAGACCCTGCCTCTACTCTGCCAATCCTCCTCCTGCCCTGGGCCAGGGTAAGGATGGTGAGGAAGGAAAGGAGAGTGAGGAAGCCAGCTGCGCTTTTCTCCCCTTCTCCCCCACTCCCCTCCCCTCTCCTCCCCTCCCCTCTCCCCCCCCACCTCCCCGGTCTCCTTTCCTCTCCTCCCCTCCCCTCTCCTCTCCTCCCCTCCACACAAGAACTGAGGCACCAAGACAGGTCTGAGCTCACGGGCAGGCGAAACGTTTAAACTGCGTGTGAGATTGACATTTTAATTGGATGGGACTTTCCAATGCTTGAAAACTGAAATTATTATTGTGATGAGAACCGAAGTGATCAGAAATATAGGAGAATAGCCAGAGATGTTGTAAAATGATTGTAAAATGGAGAGGAAGGAAAACGAGAGAATACAGTTAAAGATAGAGTTTGGAGAAAGGAAGGTGTTTGTTGTTTGTACCCCTTCGTCAGTCAATCAATTGGTTACCTTCTGCTTCACTTAGTTGTTAATTCATTTCCTTCCTCCTCACCTCCACTTGACTCTAAGCTCAGCAAGATCAGAGACTGTTCCTTTTTTCAAGGTCTCTGCTGTATCCCCTGCACCTAGAATGGCTACTGGAGAATGGCACATAGTAGATGCTCAATAAATATGGTTTGGATTAGTGAAAGAACAACAAAATAGGTGCTCAAATGTGTTGATTTATGGGTATGACCTATTTGATTATGCTGTTCGAATCTTTTATTTTGTACTCGAGGAATGAGTTTGCCCTGGTTAAAGTAGCCCAGAAAACCTGGGCCCGGGAGCTGAGAGGACCAGGGGATGGATTGCCCAGGTCAGGGCATCAGGCCAGGGCCACTATTTCCCAGACACGGGGCCACTGGAGGCAGGGAGCATAGAGCCTCAGGGAGTCGGTTCCTTGGGGCTGGCTGGGCGTGGAGTGAAGGCTGGGCCTGGCCTCAGTTCTGGGACACAGGTGTGGCTGAGCTCCTGCTGAGAATAGATTTGGAAGGGCTGGAGGCTCAGGGCCCCCAATGTAAGACCTCCCAGTGTCCAAATGAGAACCTTTTCCTGAGTACTTGGGCCCCGCACTTGACATCATGTGCGTTAGTCTTCAGGCCACCAGAAGGGGGCAGCGCCGTCACGCCATTTTGCAGAGCCTTGATAAGCCCATTTGGAGTTCAGCCCCTCCCGCCATCCTCACTATCCCTTTTCGTCCCAGACTTCTTTACCTGAAACTTCATGAAGCACTTTTCGCATCGGTTTCGTCTGAGGGGAGAGGTTGGGGAAAGGAGGGTGTATTTGCCTCTTAGGGTCACCATAACAAAGTATCACAGGCTGGGGTGGTTTAAGACAGGGGTCCCCGGGCAGGTCGTGGTGGCTCACGCCTGTAATCCCAGCACTTTGGGAGGCTGAGGTGGGCGGATCACTTGAGGTCGGGAGTTCAAGACCAGCCTGACCAACATGGAGAAACCCCATCTCTACTAAAAATACAAAAATTAGCCAGGTATGGTGGCGGGTGCCTGTAATCCCAGCTACTTGGGAGGCTGAGGGAGGAGAATGGCTTGAACCCAGGAGGCGGAGGTTGAAGAGTCGAGATCGTGCCATTGCACTCCAGCCTGGGCAACAAGAGCGAAACTCCATCTCAAAAAAAAGAAAAAAAAAAAGACAGGGGTCGCCAATCCCCTGGGCCACGGATGGGTCTGTGGCCTGTTAGGACCCCGGCTGCACAGCAGGTGAGCTGGCGAGCAAGCATTACCGCCTGAGCTCCGCTCCTGTCAGATCAGCCGCCGCATTAGGTTCTCATAGGAGCATGAACCCTATTGCGAACTGCGCATGCGAAGGATCTAGGTTGCTCACTCCTTATGAGAATCTAACTAATGCTAATGCCTGATGATCAGAGGCGGAACAGTTTCATCCTGAAACCATCTCCCACCCCACACACCCTGTCCGTGGAAAAATTGTCTTCCACTGAACCAAAACCGGTTTCTGGTGCCAAAAGGGTTGGGGACCACTGGTTTAAAGCAACAGCTACTTATCCCTTCCCAGCTCTGGAGGCTGGGAGTCTGAAGTCAGGGTGTCAGCAGGGCTGTGCTCCCTCCAAAGGCTCTAGGAAAACCCTTCCTAGGCTTCCCTGGCTTCTGGTGGCCCCAGACACTCCTTAGCCTCGCGCTGCATCCCACTAACCTCTGCCTGTCTTTGCACACAGCCTTCTTCACTGCCTCTCTGTATCCACTCTTTTTTTTTTTTTTTTTGAGACAGAGTCTCACGCTTGTCACCTAGGCTGGAGTGCAGTGGCGCGATCTCGGCTCACTGCAACCTCTGCCTCCTGGGTTCAAGCAATTCTCTTGCCTCAGCCTCCCGAGTAGCTGGGATTATGGGTGCTCACCACCACACCCAGCTAATTTTTGTATTTTTAGTAGAGACGGGGTTTCACCATGTTGGCCAGGCTGGTCTTGAACTCCTAACCTCAAGTGATCTGCCTGCCTCAGCCTCCCAAAGTGCTGGGATTACAGGCGTGAGCTACTGGCCCCGGCCTGTATCCCTTCTTTTTATAAGGACATCAGTCACTGGATTTCGGATAGACCCCAAATCCAAGATGATTTCATCTTGAGACCCATAACTGAATTAAACTTGCAAAGATGCTATTTCTGAAAAAGGTCACATTTGAAGGTTCTGAGTGAATATGAATTTGGGAAGGACGCGGCTCCACCCACCACAGACGGAATCTTGATTGAGAACACATTTTGCTCCAGGGACCGTGCAAAGCACCTTCATCCTTGACAAACTGGAAGGGAAGCAGTATTATTTCCAGTTTTGTTGTTTTCTAGACAAGGAAAGTGAGGCTCAAAGGGATTCAATGACTTGCTGCAAGTCACACGGCTGCTTGCAAGGGGAACTGGGACTGGAACTCAGGACAGCAGACTCCACACGTCTCTATACTGGCTTATGAGCAGCTTGAGGACAGAGGTTTTGGTCTTCGTCGTTCCATCTCTCTTCTCCTCTCATTTCTGGGCCTAGTGCTCTGCATACTGATGGCTTTGAAAACTGATAAAAAGAAGGGAATAAGGCCAGGTGCAGTGGCTCACAGTTGTAATCCCAGCACTTTGGGAGTCCAAGGCGGGAGGATCACTCAAGCCTAGGAATTTGAAACCAGCCTGGGCAACACAGTGAGACCCTGTCTCTACAAAAAATTGAAAAATTAGCTAGGCGTGGTGGCATGTGCCTGTGGCTCTAGCTACTTGGGAGGCTGAAGTGGGAGTCACTTGAGCCCAGGAGTTTAAGGCTGCAGTGAGCTATGATGGTGCCAGTGCACTCCAGCCTGGGTGACAGAGCAATAAATCAATACATAAATAAAAATAAAAATAATAAAGAGGAGTATGACTGACCTGCAGAGATTCAAGTGCTGACCCTCATGGCTGCTGGGGTGCTCACAGATCTCCCCCACACCACACTCTGTGGGGACAAGTGAGAATGCCCTCTCTTACTACCTTGCTGCATCTGCTCCACTGAGGAACGTTGCAGCCCCTATAATCTTAGATCTACACTAGCCCTGGAAAGCAGGAAGGGCAGCCATAATGATGATAAAAATCTCAACCACAGCTGCCATTGATCAAATGCCTACTGGCCTACAGGGTCTAGGCCAGACTGTTTCTATGCCTAATGTCTTGGAATCTCCAGGGCAGCCCAGCTAGGTGACCCTTAGTATCCCCATTTTGCAGATGGGAAAATCGAGGCTCAGAGAAAAGAGTGTGACTTTGGGAGCTTGGAAGAAGTTGAGCTAGGATTCTGGCCTGAGTCTCCCTGAGTCTGGAGTTGGTGTTCTTTCTGGGGCCTATCTTGCTTTTTCTCCAGCTTCCCTGCCACAGCTTCCCAGTGTGACCAGTGATGGACACCTCTAACACATAGCAGACTCCCTCAGTAAAGGGAGGAGATGGAAGGATCCTGGAAGCAGAGCATACAGGCTGTCAGTCAAGAGGATACCTGCATCCTTGGGGAGGGCCCTCATGCCTCTTTGAGCTTTAAATGATTTAAGAGGGGGCAGAAGTCATTTCCTGGAGATCCAATTAAGGCAAATGAATTTGCATCTCCTAAATCGGCTCACAAAAATCTTGACATGCTCCCAGTGGATTTGGGGGTGAGTTTAGGAGGGTTGAATACCCAAAGAAGATTTTTTAAATTAGTCAAGATGCTTTTTGTTTTATTTCTCCAAAAATTCAACCTGATACGGCTTTAAAAATAGAGAGAATCCATTACATGGAACTAAGAAGTCCATAGATCAGGCAGGCATCAGGCACAGTTTGAGCAGGACTTTGGCATCATTTTCTGTGATGCGTAGCCCCTCCCCAGGCAAGTTTTGTTATCATGGCTAGTTCCCTCATGGTAGCACAATGGCTGTAGCAGCCCCAGCCCTTACTTTTGCAATAAACTCCTTCCAGAGAGAAAGAAAGCATCTCTTTCTCCATCCAACAAACCAGATTTCTGAGCTTAAATCTTATCGAACTAATTTAGGTCAAGTGCCTTTCCTGTACTAATGATGAAGGCCTAGAGAACCAATGGAATTAAGCTGCTGGGTTCAAGCCCATCAGAGCCTATTCCTGGAGCTGGGAGTGGGATGATTCCATCTCAACTGCTACAGGACAGGGAAAGGTTGGTGCATGTGTTGGAAGACACATCAACATCCACTACAAGGCTCTCTAGGGACAAGGGAAGTGGAACTGATATTCTTTGAGCACCTGCTATGAACTAAACCCAATGCATTTTGACAACATATTGCATGGTAAATAATTTTACTTCCATTTTTGAGATGAGTCAACGGAGACTGAGAAGTTTGTAGCTCATAACACTCTTGAAGTTAGTAAGTGGTGGACTATGGGTCCAAACCTTGCTCTTGGCATCTTCTGAAGGGTTTCTGGCTCTGTTGCCTCTCTCTCCTTCTTCAGACCCCTCAACCCTCCTTGAAGTTGGAGAGCTGTGATTGGGGGATGCTGACATAGTGATCTGAGGATTTCTAAAGGTGGACAGAATCCAGTGTTAACAGTGCCAGGAATTTGCAGAATATGCTAATTTTCCCTGGCACCATGACTCAATATTCTCCTCATCAGATTGTTTGGCAAAGGTACCAAGAAGGCAAGAAGTTTATTAAGGTCCCATAACAACTAATTATGGGCCAAGAACAGCAAGAGCCAGGAGGCCTGAGTTCTAACTATCTCTTATCTCTGTTGCTTTAAAATGTTCCTTGTATCCTGGGCTAAAGTGTTTCTGTTTTTGGCACTGATGGATGCTGTGGGCACCTTCATCCAGGCTTCTTTGATGGGTCTCATTTTGGTCAAGACACCTTCACCCCAGGTCTGATTTTGAGCTCCTTGGGGCCTTCCAGAAACTCATTCCAATCTAGCAGACCTCCTTACCTGCCTCCTACCTGAAGGCTCCTGGCAAACCTTTGTGTCCTTCGGGGTCTTACATCTCATACCTCCCTTAGGAGGGGCAGGACTCATTTTCCCTGGGGGACAGAAGGGGAAACTGAGGCTCAGAGAGTTAAGCTTCTTGCCCAAGGTCATGATACCTGATGACCAGAGACAGGCTGTGAACTTGGGTCCATCAGACACCAGTGTCCAAGTGTGCCTCTTCTGTGTGGGGCACTGGGAAGAGATTTGAAGGGAAGATGGCATGCCATCTGTGTTCTGAAGGATGAGGGAAAAGTTAAACTATTAAGTGATTCTTTCATTGATACAGGGCTTTTCAGATTAGTGTGTCATTGCCCATGGAAGCATCCATTCATTCAGTTATCCATCCGTCTCTTCAACAGCTGTTTATGGAACACTTACCATGTGCTAGGCACTGAGGATACACTGTTGAAGAAACACACACAGTTTCCCTGCAGGGACCTTCCTTCCAAAGCTCTGAGAGCTTGGGAGGGTCCCCAGATCTAGACAGTGTCCCCCATGACTGCAGCTCTCCATATAGAGCTCAGTAGGAATGTGCTGTCTTCTCTATACCTTCTATTAGAAGGAAAGAAGAGAAGGAAAGAATGAAGTAAGAAAGAGGACAGAAACCCTGTCTTTATAAAGGGCTATGCTCTCATTATATAATGTCTCAACAGTAGTGAGAGACACACCAGATGTCAAATCATCATTCCCATTTGACAGACTAGGAAACTGAGGCTTGGCCAAATGATGTGATTGGTCTAAAAAATCACACATATTAAGTGAGTGACATTACTAGGATTCACTTTGGTCCCCAGACTCCTCAGTTACATTGCCCTTCATGCCAATCAGATGGCAAAGGGGAAAATGTCAGTTAGCTCCCTCCCTCCCTCCCTCCCTCCCTCCTCCCTCCTTTCCTCCCTCCCTCCCTCCCTTCCTTCCTCCTTTCCTCCCTCCCTCCCTTCCTTCCTTCCTTCTTTCCTTTCTTTTCTTCTTTCCTTTCTCCCTCCCTCTCCCCCTCCCTCCTTCCCTCCCTTTCTTCCTTCCCTCCTTATAAGAGATATAGAGAAGATGATGCATTCTTGCTAGGCTCTATGTGGAGAGTTGCAGAGTCATGGGGGACATGACTTTGCAACTAGACCTAGGGACCCTCCTGAGCTCTCAGAACTTTGAAACCAAAGTCCCTTGCAGGGAAGCCGTTAGCATGCCTGCAAGTCATTGCAGCCAACCCAGGGTTTTTAATCAGGCAGCATTTAAACCATCCCATTTTGTCTGTGATTACGCCCGGATGTTTACATCATTTATAATGAGACAAATTGGGACAAATTGCCAAGGACACTTATGTAAATGAAACCAGCAGAAATGCTCCCATCTCCAGTGGTCGGTTGGAGGGCTTCTTTCACTTTCCTTTCTCCCCTGGGGATGTCGTGGAGAAGAAATGGTACTTTGTATTCTGAAAACCTCCTCCCTGGGCAAACAGACTATTCCCTGTAAGACAACTGTTTTATATCTCCGGTTGTAATTCTCTCCTGCATCTTATTTACTCTCTCACCTACCTCGAAGGAAAAGTAAGTGTGCAATAGATGCAATCACTTTAATTTTCTCTGCCATTCACTGCACAGAGAATGGGTTAGATCTGCATTCCCTGGAGGATCTCTGCAGAACTGTAGGTGGGTCATAAAAAAAGAATCCTTCATTCAATTTAGTTTGGGGAACAGGGCTACAAAAGTTAGCCCAGAGTTTTTTCCTGCAGGACATTTCAGAGCCTTTGATATGCTAATGAGCAGTGAGACTCTTTAAGAGCAGATGGTGCTTTTAGGACCCTGGAGGCCCCATTGCAGGAGATCTTTTAGGGAATTGAGCAGAACCAGCTTTGGGAAAGTGCTGTGAACACTATCTCTAGAAGGGCCTGGACCCCCTCTGTCTGCTGTAATTTGTAAGGCTGGTGGCTTAAGATCACTTAGAGTCTGGAGGGTGAGGTCCCTCAGTGGGCAGCAGGCAGCAGCAGCCAGGGACATATGGAAGCCAGAAGATCACGGTGCATTGTCTGGAGGGGTCAAAACCTGACAGTGGTCCAGCTTTCCACTACCCATCTTAACCTGCCGGCTCAAAGAGATCTTGCTTATCCGGCCTTTTTGTCTTTGTTTCTGCTGTGTCCCTATCTGGGATGCCTTCATGCCTTCTCTCCTCTCCACCCTTCTTGTCCACAATGCCCCAGTCTGAGTGCTGACGCTTTGCAGGGAAGGCCTGTTATCTTGTAATGCTACCTTGTCTTCCCCTCCAGACCTGGGGTCTTCATTGCAGGGACCCTGTGTTCCTATTTTAGCTCAGAGAAAATATTTGTTACACATTCACTAGGTACCAGATTCTGGGCCCTAGAGATACCAAGACAAATAAGACATGGACCCTGGCCAGAAAGAGTGTGCTGCTTGGTGGAGGCGACAGATTAGAAATCCCAGTTACAACTCAGTGTCATAACTGGGGTGATGAACAGGGAAAATCAAAGAGCAGAGGTGGGCAGAGGGGACCCTAGCCCAGCTCAGGGACATCCAGGAAGGCTGAATTCCAGAGGACATTCAATCCAAGCAGTGGCACAAGGCAGAAGTAGGAGTTAGCCAAGTGAAGGCAGGTGTATGGAAGCATGTTCCAGGCAGATGGAATAGCCTGGGCGAAGGTCTAGAGGCAAGAGAGAACATGCAGGTTTAAGAAACTGGATGAAGGTGCAGTGTGGCTTCCTTTGGGGCAGCATGGAGGGTCCGAAACTGATGAGTGCCAGATTGAGTATCTAAGGAGGATGCTGAAGAGGAGAGCATGGAACCCCACCTCTTTCACATTACAGAAGGAAACTTGGGCCAGAGAGAGGTGGGCTCTCATGGTGAGCACACAGACGTGAACGCAGAGATGCCGCCATCCTTACCCAGCCCCTGCAAGGCCTTCCTTCCAACCTGACTCTGAACAAGAAATTATTTCAAAATGAGAAGCATGCTCCAGACTGAAGGCCTGTGTCCTGGCCACTGTCCTATCTGTCGAGACAGTCATTATCCACCTTAACTACGATGATGTGAAGCTCCACGGAGATGGGATGCCTTTTCCCTTTGATCCCTGATGAATCCCAAGGCCCACCTCAGTGTGCCTGGCCCAGGGTAGGTGCTCAGAAAACATTGTTGACTAAATAAATAAATGAAGAAAACAGTTATGAGTACCAGGCCCTTCTACATTTATGATCATCTTACCAATTCTCAAAACTACCCTATGGAATAAAAACTGTTATTCTCAATTTTTGGGGAGGCTCAGAGAAGTGAGTGATTTGAGCCTATAAGGGTTCCATCATCAGCCATTGGAAAAGCCAGGATTTGAATCCAAATGTGCAGATTCCCACTACTCCATATTTAAAGCCCTATCAAGTAGACATGACATTTCTCAAAAGGCTGCCCCCTGTGAAAGTGGTCTTGTTCCCAAACATCTCAGTCCTGCCTCTTCCAAGGCTGATGCAACTCTCGCCTTTCTGGAGGAAAAATAATAGTAAAACAACAACAAACCCAGCTACTGTTTATTATAGGAAGCACTCACTATGTGCCAGATGCGTGCCAGGACATTACTTGTACCAACTCAATTAATCCTTACAACAACCTTATTATGTAAGTACTATTAGTATTAGTGCTTTATGTGTCAAACGCCATTTGACACATAAAGAAACTGAGGCAATTTAAGTAGTTCCAGGTCCCAGTGTATGAGTGGTGAGGTCTGAATGCAAGGACAGCAGCTGGGCTTAGAGCCTGTAATCCTCTGTTACCATGGCAAGTGGAGGGTACCAGGTGCCAGGGAGTCTTCCTTGCCCTTTGCCAGCTTTAACCTGGTGGAAAAGCCCAGGCTGCTGGGATTCTCCCTGCAAGGAACTAGCAAGATCGGGATTGTGACGGTGATGAGCCTTTTCCTAGGACAGACAATTAATCAGGAGTATTAATGAAAATGCCAGCTCCATGATTGCAGAAACTTAAGTATTTTATTGGGAACTGAACTCAGGCCATTAAAATGTTATCACAGGCTTGTCAGTCTGCGTTCCGTGTGCTTCTGCGAAGGAGCCACGGTCTTAATGAAACTGTTTGGTGCTTTTGGAGCTGACGGTTCCTGAGTGTGCTCTGCCAGGAAAGGTGATTCACCACAGTAGCTACGTGCCCAGGCTGTGGGAAAGTGGCTTTCATGTTCTGTTTTTTCCTTTTTTTGTTTTTTGATTTTTGAGATGGAATCCCACTCTGTCGCCCAGGCTGGAGTGCAGTGGCGCGATCTTGGCGCACTGCAAACTCCACCTCCCGGGTTCAAGTGATTCTCCTGCCTCAGCCTCCCGAGTAGCTGGGATTACAGGCGCCTACCACCACGCCCAGCTATTTTTTGTATTTTTAGTAAAGATGGGGTTTCGCCATTTGGCCAGGTTGGCCTTGAACTCCTGACCTCAGGTGATTCACCCGCCTTGGCCTCCCAAAGTGCTGAGACAACAGGAGTGAGTCACTGCACCCGGCCCATGTTCTGTTTTGCTTTAACCATCTGTGAAGCTCCTACCTTACAGCACGCACTGAGAGGGGGTGTAAACAACAGAGAAACAGGCCTTGCCCTCAAGGAGGAATCAAATACATAAAGATGGTAATGTGGATGTGCAGGAATGCAGTGATGTTAGAAAGCTCAACTCCAGCTGAAGGTGGATGGGAGGCTTCTGGGAAGAGACAAAACAATGCAAAGAGCATTTGTTTCCTGGTGAGTTGCTTCTCTCCCTCCAAATCTGATAGGGCTGATTGCAGAAAATGGTTATCTGAAGGTTTAGTGTACAACAGGCATTCTCAACGGGGGAGAGAATTGGTTCTTGTGGGAATGCACGTGTGAAAAAATCCCCTTTTTACGTTTAAAAAACAGATTTTGCATAAAGTATGTAAACAGAGAATATATTTCTGGTATTAAAATTTCATGGTTGGTTGGGGTGATTAAGAACAAAAAGTCTCAAAAGGCAATGATGAAAATGAAGTTGAGATCACTGGCAAGCTGCCAACACTTAGAAGATGGCACCACTGGAATGCATGTGTCCTCCTGGCCATCTGGCAGATAAGAAACTGCATGAATTATAGCCCCTAGTGAGGAGGGGGCCCTGAAGCCTCAGACAGCTTCCACTGCCTGCCGAATGGGCTGACTGTGTTTACAGCATTCCTTTTCTCCCAACCCGGACCAGTAGCATCCTGTCAATGGCCCCATCTGCAGGGAATCAGGCTTTCCTCCTGGCTGCGGCAATATTTAGGAAGATGATTAGGGCAATTCCCAGGACAGGCAGTCCTTCCTCGCCAGCTGTTCCCATCTGCTTTGTGACACAGCCAGATGAACCATGCCTCCCCGAGGGACACATCCTCAACAATTGTGTTTCCAGGGACTTGTTGGTGGCTATGCAGGAATTGAACACTTCACTTCATCACCTCCCCAGTAGACACCGGAGCTGGGGCCATCTCTTGTTGAACTTATTCTGTTCAGGCTGGAAGCCACTGATGCATTCATGCTTGTTCCCTCTCCAGGGCCACAAAGAGCCAGCCACACAGACACCAAGTGGCCCCTGTGAAGGATTCACATGACACAACAATACCCATGTTTGGGCCTTGAGTTCCCTTTTTAAGAAGCTCTTTGTCATCCTTCGTGGTCTAATATGACCTTTTTTTCTGACACTTCTTTATAAATTTAGTTATTTATTTTATTAGTAAGAACAGGCTAGGATCTGTGACAGTAACAACCCCCAAATCTCAATGACTTAAAATACAAAGGTACATTTCCAGCTCCCGGCCCTCCCCGCCTCCTTTTCTTCCCTTCTCTTCTTCCTCCTTTCCCTGTGGTCTCCCCAACTATTTCTCTCCCTCCCATCTCCTTCAGGTTCAAATCTTGGCTCTCTCACTTATTAGCTGTGTAGTTTTGGACATATCACTTTATTATTTTCATGCCTCTGTTGCTTAATCTTTCAAGTAGGGGGCATTAATAGTACCTATTAATGGAGTTTTGGGAAGCTAAATAAATTAGTGCATATAAAGTCCTCAAATCACACTTGACATAAAATAAGCACTCAATTAATGTTTTGTCTAATTATTAGCTATTTTACTCTGTCTCCAGGGAAGGGATGTGACAATGAATTAAATAGGCTTTCCCCTCACAGGCTCAATGGATGGAGCGATGGACACACACAGGTAGTGGCAGGGATCCATGCAAAACCGGTGGGAGGCGAGATGAGGAATCCAGCAAGAGGCAGAGAAGGCCAAACATGGAGAGAGATTTAAGCTGGAATTTCAGGGAAACACAGGCATATGCCAGGTGGAGACAGGGTGGAAGGGCATTGGGAACAAAGGGATCAGCTTCTGGGGATGTCTTCAACAGAGGAGAGGCACGTTCAGGTGTGAGTTCTAGAAAAATGTGCTATGCTGGGTGTGTGTATGTGAAGAGCGGATGGGACCAGGACTTAGCCCTGGGGCGCAGAGGAACCTTCAGGAGGCTATTGCCACAATCCAGGGAGAGAGGAGAGACCTGGGGGAAGGAACCAGCGGGCCCTATAGATTGACTGGGTCTTGGGAGGGGGTGAGGAGTCCACTAGAGGTTTCTAGCCTGCCCCACTTGGGGGAAGGGCAGGACACACGGCCATTATCTGAAAGAAGATACAGCATGGGTCAAATTGAGTTCTCTGAATTACAGCCGGCCACATTTGCTAAAAGCCCAGCCTCACATTGTCAGGCTGGAGCAGGGCGATCCGTCTGTTCTCCTCCTGCCACCATGACAACGGGACTCCACTCCATTAAACCAATTTACTCCATCTTCCTAGACTCAGGAAAATGGGAGCGAGCTCTGGGGAGGCCTTCTGATTCCTGACCTCTGGCTCACCCTGGGAAGCACTGCCTCTTCAGCCTGCGGGCAGAAGACTGGCTGGCTGTCACTCTCCCAAGCTGTTGATGAGGTTTCAGCCATAGGCTCTGGATCCTCCTCTCTAGTCATCCCCATTAGTCTCCGAAAGGGAGCCGCCAGGAGAGCAAGTGCCTCTTACTGGTGATGGCTTAGTTACGCTAATTGCACTTAATTTCTCTGTGCTGTGCCCAGCAGGGGCCTGCTGAGAGCTTGCTAGGCATTTTGCACAGCTGGCTGGCCCTGGAAACCAAGGCATGTGGCTAGGGAGGAAATTTGGAAAAGGGAAGGGATGGGAGAGTGGCCTAGAGTGGGACCCACTCCATGTGGGGTGTTTTCTGGCCCCTCGTGCGTGCAAGCCTTCAATGTTGTCATTGGGTGTCTGTCTGTCTGGTTTCCCCGTGGGCCATGAGCTCGCTGGTTGCAGAGAATCTCTTGTGGACATGATGTGTCTGGCACATATGGAAACCTGACAGGGTAGACAGTTAAGTGCTTGTGGATTAATCGAGGTGTGGGGCCATTATTCACTTGAACATGAACTCCAGGAGGAAAAGTACTTCTGTCTATTTCATTCACTGCTGCATATTCAGCACCTAGGCCAGTGCCTGGCTCGTGTTCAGTTAATATATATTAACAGAATGAATGAACAAATCCTCCCTTCCAGCACTTTGCACAATAGGTGTGGTAGACTGTCATTCAGTAGCGATTCTCCCTTCTCTCTCTGTCCTTCCCAGCCCCACTGCCTGTGGGCTTGGCTGTGTGACTTGCTTTGACCAATATGATGATTAGGAAACCAGGCCTGACTCCAAAGTTCCTGCTCTTTCCTCTGAAAACGATTAGGTCAGGAAGAGGTTACCCTTTGAGGAAGGTGGAGTGGGCTTGGGAGGTGTTGGGAGGTGGGTGTGCCGGGTTCCTGGCAGGCAGCCAAGGCTATGGACTCCAGGAGAGAGGGAAGGCTAGAGAGACACATGCTGTCTGTGTCTTCGACCCTGAGTGGATGTATGTGATACCTCCTTGCAAGGGCTATGTGGATGATTCCACATCTTCTGACCTTTTCCTGCTCTAATCAATTAACCCTAAGCTCTCTGCCATACCCCTCTGGACCTTGGCTGCACTTCGTAGTGTGGTACTTTTCATGGGAATTGACCTCACCTTTCGAAGATGCTGTGGGGCCCAGGGGAGAGAAATGAGCAGCACCAAATGTGAGTATTTGTTCTGCTTAGCTCTTTGGGTCCAGGGCAAGCCAAGTCCCTCTTGTAGCCTGGACTCTCACAGCTATAAACTAGGGGCTTGAACCAGATACATTCTAAGCATCTGTCCTGCTCTAGTTCTAAAAACTGATGCACCTGCTTCCTTCCTGCCCAGCTGGGGCTAAAAAATCAGAGACTAGAATTGCAATATGAGAAAATATCTGCAAGATCCTCAAGAAACACTTGATGAATTTGAGTGCCACTGTCAAGCCAGAAGGCCTGGAATCAAATCCTGGCTTTGGCACTTAATACCTGTGTGACTTTTGAAAAGTCAGTTCATTTTGGGGGGAACTCAGTTTCCTGATGCAGAAAATGGGTAATAATAACTACAGTGCAGAGCTGTTTAAAGGCAAATGATATAAGTGAAAGAACCCCGCACATACTAGGTACTCAGTAAGTTTGGAATATGCATCTGAACAATAATCATCCAGGACAGATGGTGGCAGGAGACATGGACATAGGTTTGATGGCTTGGAGGTTTACCTACAGGAAACACACTCTAGCAGTTCATAATCGTGGGAACATTTATAAGGACTCATTAGCATACTAAGCACCATACTAAGCATACGGTCTGTTAGCCCATTGAATTTTTACAGCAACTCCATGGAATACATAAAATAGTCATTTTCCTCTTATACATGAAGAAACTGAGGCAGAGGGAGGGAATTAAGGGAATTGGCCAAGGTCACTCAGTTAATGAAAGGTGCACCTAAGATTCAAATTTGGGTCAGCCTGGCTCCAGAGTCCTGGCTTCTAACAGCAATGCTGGGATATTCTCCAGGCTTTCACTACTCAGAAGTGTGCATGAGCATGAAACCAGCCCATCATGCTGTGTGTCTGGGTGACATAGCTTGGTGCCTCTGGAACTAATTTCATTAAGCTGTGCCTTGAGAAGGTTTCATGAGTGTATGCTAAGTAGGAAGTTAAGAAAAAGGCCTATTAAGTACATGATGGTGTTTATAATGGGGATTTGGTCAATATAATAGCTCACTGTGTCATGCAGAAATTTCTCTGCGATATCAATGTTAGAAGCTGGTGTGTATTTATTCTAACATAAGTGGTTCGTACTCCTCAGCATGTATCATCATCACCTAGGGGGCTCGTTAAACCAGATGCCTGGGCCTGACTCCCAGATTCGAGGGTGGAGAGGGACAATCTAACAGGTTCCCAGGTAGTGCTGATACTGCTGGTCAGGAGACCATGTCTTGGGAACCACTGCTATAGAGATTTACCTAACAGATCTTGTTTTCTTCTTTGCAAGGGCTGCTAGGAAGCTAAAAGCCAAATTAGGACCCACCCCAGCAAGAGCTCATGCATTTTCCATTCTAGCTTTATGTCCAGCTTCCTTTTTTTTCTTGCATTTTTCCATTTGTCACAATTTACTGACTTAAATGAATGAGCAAAGTAGTATTTGTTTATTTGTTTGTTTGTTTTTAGAGACAGGATCTTGTTCTGTCATCCAGGCTGGAGTGCAGTGGTGTGAT